>NC_000019.10:42998449-43301480 GCF_000001405.40 Homo sapiens | reverse complement strand
TCATTCTAGCTGGCATGCCCTGTCCAGCACATCTTTCTCCATGCTTTGGACTTCCTCAGACAAAAGCTGACTATTCTGCTCCTTTTCTGCTCACACTGTGGCCTGACTGCACCCCCTCCCCACCCCCAAAAAAAACACTGAAATTAGCCAGAGTTGCCACTTCCGCCAGGCTCCATTATGAGCCATTGTCTTCAGGTCACCAGGAGAATGAGCTTTCACTGTATCCTGTTCCAGGGCTCTTTCCTTCTGAGAGGCTGACTCATGGAACAGGCCACCAGATAGAAATGAGTGGTTTCTCCATCCACTCTTATAATTACCTGACAGGAAGACCGACAGGTCCATCCTGCTCCCTGCGCAGGCAAAACTAATTTATGAAGAGGGTGATTTGTAGTAAAGAAAGATTTTAATTAGCCCAAGGCTGCCAAACAGGAGCTTATTTTATTATTACTCAAATCAACCTCCCCAATGGCTAGGGTTGGAGTTTTTCAAAAAGTTTGAGGTCTAAGGAATGGGTCCTGGTGATTGGATGGGAATGAAATCATGCAGGTGGGGGAAATCGTCTCTGTGTGTTTGATCTGCCTCTGACTGGGGGCCACATGACTGGAGGCATTGCTCACGGGTCTGGATGAGGCCAGCTGGTTGCCAGAATGCAAGTCTGAGAAATATCTCAAAAGACCAATCTCATAATCTATAATAGTGATGTTATCTATAGGAGCAATTAAAGAAATCACAAGTCTTGTGACTGCTGGCCACATGACTCCTGAGCAATAATGGATTATAGAAACTATGACTACATTTTAGCAGGATTTTGGTCCCTCCTATAATCCTAATGTTATGGTCTTGTATTACTTTGACAAAGACCATCCTTGAGTAGGAGGGAGTTTATTTTAGTAAGGGGATATTATCATTCTTGCTTCAAAATTACACTGTAAACTAAATTCCTCCCATGGTTAACCTGGCCTATGCCCATGAATGAGCAAGGACAGCCAGCCTCCAGCTAGAGGTAAGATGAAGTCTGCCATACTAGCTCCATCTCGCTGCTGTAATCTTTGCAAAGGTGGTTTCACTCTCTCCACTGACTCACCAGGGGATCAGAGGAAGGACATGTCTACAGTCCCCAATGCCCACAGGCTTATTTTACCCATTTCACTCCAACCTCATCCTGCTGTGGTTGTCACTCAGTTGTAACAAGTAGAAAGATGAATAAACTTAAAAATCAAAAACTCTTTTCGACCGCTCAGAGAAGCAAGGTCTCAGAGCCAACTCCCCCATAAATTGGAGAGACCCACAGGTAAATACAGAGCAGCACGTCTTACCTGAGCAGAAACCCAGGCCCAGAAACTCAGTGGGGTGTCTTTTGCATCCTAGCCACCGGCTGACCTTATCCAGACACAGTCAAAAACCCTGAACTGTAACTGATGAATTGCTGAAGGCTCAATGTGGACAAGGCACAGAGTTAAACACTCCAGCAGATGGATCAGGTATGGGATTAGGAGGACAATTTTATGGCTCTCACTTCCTGGAACTATACCAGGTTTTCACAGTGAATATTCAATAAAATTCCCCTCATCTTTCTTGTGGGGGATGGGGAGGAACCACTTAGATGGCAGTGAATTCAATTCTTCCTGGCAAGACCTGTATTCATAAAGATTGTTTTACCATAGCCGAATCAGCTGGGGTTTGATGGAAGCTTAACTGGCCTGGTGAAGGGAAAATGTCCAACTCCAGCCCCCTCTAGCCATCATATCCCACCTAAGGAGGAGAAAATACTGAGAGGCAGTTGTGACATTCACAACCCAGGGAACAGACCTCATTCAGGACCACAGAACTCCTCCCTCCCCACATTCACCACTATATCATTGAAGGCCGGCTCACCCAAGTTCCTTTTACCCAGTACATCATGTCTGGCTTTCAAAAAAAAAAAAAAAACAGAAAAAAGTACAAGACAGGCTATGGCAAAAAAAAAAAAAATGTGGTTTGAAAGAGCAAGGATCAGAACCAGACACAGATATGGCAGAGATGTTGAAATTATCAGACTGAAAATTTAAAGCAACTCTGGTTACCAGTTATGAAGGAAAAAGTAGACACCATGCAGGAAAAGATGGGTGATGTAGGCAGAGAGATGGATATTCTAAGAAAGAACTTTAAACAATGCTATAAAAAAAAGTCTATAAATGAAGAAGCCTGGTAGCCTGGGCACAACTGAGGAACAAATATCTAGCTTGAGGGTGTGTCAACAGAAACTTCTAAAACGGAAACAGCAAAGTTTAAAAAGAATGCGAAAAAAGTGGAACAACTTATCCAGCTTTCTTTCCAATATTTTGTATTGACAATAGCATATTTTATATTTTGGAGTTGTGGGACCACTTCAAAGTCTGTAACATACACATAATGAGAATAGTAGTGGTTCCTGGGACAGGATGGAGCTGGCCAGGTGGGTGCTGTCTGATGGGTTTGCTGCCAGTTTTACACACACCTGTGTCCTCATGATGACACCATTGTCGAAAGGTGGGGTCCTTCAGGTGGGGAGATGCATGAGGCACTGGCGTCTCCCTTAGACTCTGCCCAATTTAAACAAATGTAATCAAACTCTAGTGTTTCTTGAGATCAAGAGAAAATGATGAAAGCATTTCACATGCCTCTTTTGGGCTCCTCCCCTTTTTGCCTAACTGCACAGAAATTAGAAGCAGGGAGCTCTTTCTAAATTCACTAACATAACACACATCACTTCTCTTAATTTGGCGTCATTCCTCACTTTATGTAATTGACACACCTAAGACTTTCTCTCTGATCAATCCTGTCCTCCCAACAGAATGCACATGCCTCCCACTACCCAGGGAGTTGCTAATTCCAAACCATCTTCAGCACCTTTCTTTGAGCATAATGTGATCCAACTGGAATTCAGAGCAGACCTAAACCTTTTTATGTTATCAAGATGAATACTACTTCCAGCAATCGATCTTAGATCTTTGGGCCGTTAATAACAGTGTCCACTTATAGAAAAAAAATGTTTCCTGCAAATTTTCATTTTACTATTGTCAGAACATGACATGAAGTCCAAACTCATGATGAATTTTTAAATGCAAATGTTAGTAGTAAACATTGAGCATCCCAAATCTAAAAATCCAAAGTCTGAAATGCCCTAAAATCCAACGATTTTGACCCCTGATGTGATGCTTAAAAGAAATGTTCACTGGAACATTTGGATTTTGAATTATTAAAATATGAAATGCTAAACCAGTAAGTATACTGCAAATATTCCAAAATCAAAAAAAGTAGGACATCCAAAACACTTTTGGTCCTAAGTCTTATGCATAAGAAATACTCAATCTGTATGAAGTATAGGCACCAAGCTGTACAGTAGACCTCTAGAACTTTCTCATTCTGCATCACAGAAACTGCAGACCCACTGAACAACTCCCTATTCCCCCCACTGTTTTTGATATGTAGTTCTTCTGAAATATTCTGAATATAATATTTTGAAAATTAATCCCTTATCAGATGTATAATTTGCAAATAGTTTTCCATCTCATGGGTTGCCTTTTCACATTCTCGATAATGTTGTCCTTCTTCATTAATAGGCTACATCAACAACTCACTAATCCAGTTGAGAAACAGAAGCTAAATGGAAAAGCCACCTTATTTGATATGTTAAATTATATAAAAAGCATTTTCAAATGATAAGTGATAAGTGATGCTAAACCTTCTCTAAGTTTTATTTATGGGTATGTTACTGATGTGAGTGTCCCCAAAATTATGAGATTCCTAGAAACTGAATATGTTATTATAATAATCATGTCATATTCCACAGAAGTTAGTCAGAATGTAATATGCCACAGAAGTAACTAAATTTCTATGTGAGCTGTCTTTATCATTTATTCCTTCTCTTCTTTTTTTTTCCATGACAGCTGCTTCAGGACAAGAAAGTTCTTTTGGTCTCTCAGTTGGGGCCACTGTCAGCATCATGATTGGAGTACTGGCTGGAGTTACTGTCTTTATTATACCAAACTCTTATCAGAGTTTTAACAACAGTCATTTTACATGTTGGTGATTCACAGATAGTTGTTTTGATTCTTCCTGAAAGCATCTGCAATCAGCTACAGTCCAAAATTGCTTCTATTTCAAAAGATTTATGGAAAAGATACTGACAAGTACTCTTGCATACAAGTTTCTGAGCAGTTCAAGATTATACCACTGGACTCTCTATGGACTTCCAAAACTTTAACAAACAGGCTGATGCCTTCATGAAATATGCCAACCTAGGCCAAGCTTAACAAAAATAATTTCATTGAAATAAATGATAATGTGGATAATGTTTTTATAATTTTTATTTGAAAATTTGCTGATTCTTTAAATGATTTTTTCCAGATTTATGGAATTTTTCTTCTTTTAAGCTAGCTATATCTAAAGCAATTTGGTAAAGTATACTTTTGGAAACAATAATTGAAGCCCATTTATTTTTGCTCTTTACCTAACTGTCCCAGGATTGGGAAACTATTCATGAGTATTCATATGTTTATGCTAATACAGTTATTTGCACAAGTTTAGTAAGAATCTTCTCTCTTTACAAAAGGACACATTTCAAAACATTGGTTATATTACCAAGGCTTTGACTGAGATGTTATATTTGAGAATATACATAGAATGGACCCATAAGTACTGCAGGCAAAGTCTGAAGATGGCCTTCATTTGGCTTCCTCATCTCAAGAGGTTTGTAAAAGTTTAATCTGAGACTCCTTATAAAAACGTCTAGCGATGCAAACTTTAGGAAGAGTCTCTGTGGTCCAATGCTACTCTTGATGCACTTATGTAAAGAATCCCGGCAAAGTTTGATAAGACTAAACCTACTTTGGAAACAAATTTATCCTACTGGGATTATCTTTGGTAAAAATAGATATTCTTATAGAGAGAAAAATAACGTTGAAAATAAAAAGTGTAGTATACCTGCTATGAAATTGCAGCTCTGTTCATTGTTTTTGAGTTTTTATTATTCACCGGTAGACTGAACTAGACCCTGAATTCTTCTAGTTCCTCCCATCCAATTTTCTCTTATTGAATCAGTAAGAACAAAATCTGCTTTATTCCTGAAGCCCTATAAGTTGGAGGTGGAAAGCTCAATGTAAATTTCACGGGAAAACCCTCGTGTCTGAAGTATGAGTCACTCAGAGCTCACCAATATGTTTGACACCATAACTACAGACACTCAAACTTAAAACCAGGATAAGAAGTTGACAACTTCACACTGTCAAAAGCTTTTCCCAAGTTGTCAGAACAAGTCTCCACATCAAAATCAGGCTCTTACCCCTCTTAATTTGTCCATGCTTATGCCTGCCTCTTTCACTTGGCAGGATGATGGTATCATTAGAATTTCACATGAAGTAGCTTCTGAGAGTAGTGTAACAGAGTGACAGATATATCATGTCACCCTCAAATTTTTACATAAGATATCATTTAGTCCACCCAATGGCTGACATTAGCACCATCTTTAACACAATTGTTTGTTCAAATGTACAGTGGTCCCTTTTAAAGTTACATTTTCAGACTCGTTCTCATTCCCTGTTTTAATTTAATGAGCCATCGAATGCTACATAATAAAATTGTTCCCTACCAGCTGAACAGGGAGGAGCCTGTGCAGTTTCTGACACTGATTGTTGCACATAAACAAATACATCGAGTATCATAACAACTCAATCACAAAAGTTACCAAACATACTACTTGGTTAAAATTGCTAGATTCTTCTGGCTCATTCTTTGATCTATTCTATTTTACTTGGTTTGCATCTTGCCTAAAGTGCATACTCCAAACTTTTGGTATTATCCTCCCAATAGTCATACTAGTAGCCTCTCTGGTGTGATAAATTCTACAGGTTTTTAAATTCTACAATTTGGTGTGGTGAATTCTACAAAAGTTTTTAAAAAGTTTTGTGTGCAGCCATCAACAAATACCAAAGGGTCTCTCTTTGGCTGAAATGACAAAAACTCAAAGAAATGTGTGATCAGGAAGACATCATAAACCTATAAATGATGGAAGCCCAATATGATGGTTACTGAGATGAATGCCAATGCTTTAAATTTTGGTCACACTCTCACCTAAGTGAGAGCCTAGAGACTCCAAAATAGAACCACTCATGCTAAATGCTACAGTCTACAACTGAAATTTTAATGAAGCAAAGAGATACCAGAACAGACCTTTGTTTTTTGTTGAAAACAGGAGATTCCACTCTACCTGAGACAGCATAATAAAAGTTTCCTCTGCTTTAACTTTTACAGAAAAGTGACCTGAAGTACCCTAATGTTCACCAATTTATTTATTTATATGGCTTTGTTTACTGGTTCCCACTTGACAAAACCCACTGTTTTGTTATTGTATAGCCCAGGGAGGGCTGTCACTATATTTGTAGAGTGAGAGCTGCCTCAAATAATAAATGAAAAATAAAATCTATAACTACATTAGTTGTAATTTTGTCTTTTGATGCATGCTCACACCCAGCATTGGCCAGTGGAGTCTCACAGGCTCATCATTCTCACACGGATGCCCCTGCTTTTCTTTGTCACTTACAAGGACACTTCTGATTACAATGGGCCCACCCAGATAATCTAGAATAACATCTACATCTTAAGATTTTAATTTTATCACCCCTGCACTGTGTTTTTACCAAGAAAAGTAAATGCACAGGTTCCAGAGCTAGGGTGCAAACATTTTAGGAGTCCGTTATTCTGCCTAACACAGGTAACTTTCATAAATATCACCCACAACAAAAACTTGCTTTGCCTTCCTTCTGTGTCTCTTTTCTGTCTGTGCACAAACGTCAAGGTGAAAGACACAAGCTCTATGAAGTAGCTGGATGACTCTAGACCACTCATTTGAGCTGCCTCAGCCTCTTTTCTCATCTTCAGCAGAAGGGTGACCGTTCACGCATCAGAAAATGAAAGTGGAAGAGTAAATCAAAATGTGTAAGATATTAGTCACAGAGCAAGGTACCAGATGAGCCCCTGGGTAAACTTTTGTTTTTTTTTTGGGATGGAGTCTCACTCTGTCACCCAGGCTGGAGTGCAATGTCACAATCTCAGCTCACTGCAACCTCCGCATCCCAAGTTCAAGTGATTCTCCTGCCTTCAGCCTCCTGAGTAGCTGGGATTACAGGTGCGTGCCACCACGCCTGGCTAATTTTTGTATTTTTAGTAGAGATGGGGTTTCACCATGTTGGTCAGGCTGGTCTCAAACTCCTGACCTTGTGATCCGCCCACCTCGGCCTCCCAAAGTGCTGGGATTACAGGCATGAGCCACCATGCCCAGCCGGTAAACTTTTTTATCAGACCTTTCCTTTCACCATTCCATTTCTGTCACCCTCACCCATCTTCTCCTCTGACTTTTTTCTCTTCAGTGACTTACTTGGTCTAATATGCTGTTTAGCATCAAAAGCCACACTACAAATTCTTTTGTGACTCTCTTGGAATGTTCTTGTGATGTCCAGAACCTTGGAAGCCTAAGCCTTACATCAGTGTGCCCTGAATATGAGATATGGGGTCAAAGGAGATTATTTTGGAGCTTTAAGTTTTAAAGACTGTGCTGCAAGGTTTCAGACTTTCATGGGGCCTGTATCTTATTTCCTTCAGCCTATTTCTTCCCTTTGGAATGGGAGTATTTACCCAATGCCTATACTTCCATTGTGTCTTGAAAGTAACTAACTTGTGTTTGAATTTACAGGCTCATAGGTAAAAGGAACTTGCCTTGTCGCAGATGAAACTTGCTATTTTGGACTTCTGAGTTAATGCTGAGTGAGTTAAGACTCTAGAGACTGTTGGGAAGCCATTCTTATATTATTAAATGTGAGAAAGACATGAGATTTGGGAGGGAAGATGGAGAGAATAATTTTTTTTGGACCTTTACCCCCACCCAAATCTCAAGTCAAATTGTAATCTCCAAAGTTGGAGGTGGAGCCTGGTTGGATGTGATTGGATCATGGAGGTGGTTTCTCATATGTTAACACCATTCTCCTTGGTGCTGTTATAGCAACAGTGAGTTTTATCTGGTTCTTTACCAGTGTGCAACCCTTGCTCTCTTCCTCCAGCTCCCATTATATAAGATGTCTTCCTCCACCACTGGCTTTCTCCATGATTGTAAGTTTTCTGAGGCCTCCTCAAAATCTGAGCAGATGCCAGAATCATGCTTACTCTACAACCTGCTGAATCATGAGACCATTCAAACTCTTTTCTTTATAAATTATTCAGGTTCATGTATTTGTCTGTAGCAATGTAAAAACAGACTTATACAGCCTTATTTTCAGTAGAAAAAAAACTAGGGAGTAAACCATTCTAACTATGTACCAGATGCAAAGCCCAAGACAAAGAACAGAGCTATGAAGAAAATGCCTGGATAATCCCACCTCTCCCAGCATGGCCAAAAGGCACAGCTGGAGGATGGGATGGGTTTTGTCCCCAGTTCTTACTATGGTCACTCATCTAGAACTCAGAATTTAAAGCTTCAAATATAAAGACATAAGCTCACAGACAAATTAAGAAAATGTATATATACACAAGCAACTCTTTGATGACCTTAAAACATCTAGTAAAGACAATATAAACCTGCCTGCCAACAGACATAGGCAAAAGTGTATAAATTAAATTATGAAGACATTTCTACTTTATTTTACCAACAATTTTAAAGCTATCTATATTCACCAAAGGTTACTAAAATCACATATATAGAAAAGCATTTGGGCTTATTCACTTAATTTGTGAGTACTCATTTATTTTTACATTAATTTGATACTATGTGTAAACAGTATATAAACGTGTGACATATACATATATGTGATGAAACATATATATGTTCACATAAAGATAGAGAGAGACAAAAAGATTCTAGAATTTTGATTTTAGGAGTTTAGGCATGAGATCAGTAAAACCCACCATTTTAAAGGATAGTTGGATTCAAATTGCTGTCTTGTAAATGGTAAAGGTTAACATTTATCTGAGGAAGGCTTTACCTAGTTTTAGAGAAAATACATAGCACATTTACATCTCAAAGCAAAGAGAGAGAGAGAGAACTTAAGCTTTTTCAAGAGAAAATTTGGTGTGTTCAAGGAAGATTAAAAATAGATGCCAAGGTAACACAAAAAAATAGAAATTTACCATGGGGTTTTATTTTTTTATTATACTTTAAGTTTTAGGGTACATGTGCACAACGTGCAAGTTAGTTACATATGTATACATGTGCCATGTTGGTGTGCTGCAACCATTAACTCATCATTTAACATTAGGTATATCTCCTAATTTCATGGTGACCACCAGGTAGAAGCCACATTTGCATAATAAAAGAATAGGATGGGAGGGCCAGTCTTTTTTCAGGCTATGTAAATGGAACACCTGGTCAAAACAATCCCCTGGACCCTATGTAAATCAATCACTGCCTCCTTAAGTCTCTGTACAAAATCAATTGCATTCCACCCCAAATTGGAGACCCTCTCTTGGGTGACTGCTTTCTCAGTATGAGAAAGCTTTTTCTCTCTCTCTTCTTTTTTGTCTGTTAAATTTTTCAATCCTAAACACACTCCTCATGTGTTTCCATGTCCTGAATTCTTTCTCAGTGTGTGACAAAGAACCATGGATAGATTCCCAAACAGAGTCATTTTATTTGGGAGTTCTCATCTGGGATTGTGATCAGAAGAGAAGATAGAAACATCAGAATGGTGAGTATGGAGCAAACCTCAAATCTGTCCTTTAATTTCAAGGTTCTCTTCCAACTAGTTTCCTTTCATGGAGAACCTCACCATCACATGAGGCTGGGGGATGTCCTGGAACAGCTGAGAATTTCTGGCCAGGACACACCCTGATGTTATTCAAAGGCTTCTGGACTGAACACAGCCTCCGGCAGCCCATCCAGATGTTGGTAATGGGTCTCCTAATTTGCTATCCTGTTGCAAATTTGTTCTTCCTTTCTATCCATGGTCTCTATGTCTCCTATTCTTTCTGTGTATGCAATATGTGGAAATTTTTACAGTTCAGGGAAACAGTTCTGTTAGGAAAGATCGGTAAATGCTATAATAACTAACCCAATAGGTGTCTCAGTCTCTCTCTCTCTCTCTCTCTCCTTCCTTTGGTAAGCACGTGGTATTTCTAAGCCAACAATGTCATCTAGTAGAAATAGAAATCCTCCTCATAAGGCACATTGTTGGTCCTTTGCCATAACACTGCACTTTTCCAATTCTCTCTTTTTGCACTGATAGAAAAGCCCTTTCTGTGAATGGGAAAGCTCTGCTTTCAACAATTAGGAGTAAAATGTCTTCCATAGCCAAATTTTAGTTCTGATACTGCTGCATCAGCAGGAAAAACTGCCATTAGGTCCCTACATTCATTTAAAGTACCTATTCTATCTCCAATTAGAACAGTATTTAATTAGTAAGGATACTTTAAGAACAGAGTTAACCAGGACCACTTTTCTGAGGGTAAATGCTTTAGCACGTATCTGGCAACTGGCACATTCCCTCTGTTAAAGAAAGCTTGCTCAAAGGCAACTGTTACAGTTTCTCGAGAGATCCATTTTTCAGGAAGCCAGGCAGATCACAGGCAGATAAGCTAATGTTGCATGGGTAAAGTGTGGCTAATCCCATCACTTCATTTATCTAGTTCCATGGCTTACAGGGCCACACCTACAACCATGGGCAGCACATTTAACATAGTGCCGGGACTCAGGAACCAAGGAGAGAAAACAGTTGGGGGGACGCTCCCACTGTCTTCCACTCCACTCTGGGTCTCAATGAAATAAGGAGGACTATAAGGACACTTTTATTCTCACTTCTTTTTCTCAATGGCTAACAGAGCATCTTCAGCTTGCACCCCTCTGGAGCGCACTCTGAGGCACTAGAACTCTTTTAACCTCAGGACTTTCAAGAGAAAAGCAACTCATTCTATTTTGCAAAATGACAGGGCATTTTTACTAAACCTTTACAAGCATTGTAACAGCAACCCAGATTTTTTAACAGCCATATCAGGCAGGCTTATAAAGAATAATATCCTAGAATTAGAAAAGCAACTTCCAAGGGAACCATCTGAGAATCTCCATAATTTGGGGTCCCTCCAAGTTCCCTTCTCATTACAGGACCTTAGGCAAATAAAGTAAGACTTAGGCCAATTTTCAGACAATCCTGACAGGTATATAGAAGCTTTCCAGAATTTAAGTCAGGTGTTTCACCTCACATGGAAGGATGTTATACTGCTCCTAATCCAAACCCTAACTGCAGCTGAAAAACAGGCAGCTCTGCAAGCAGCAGAGAATTTTGGAGATGAGCAACATATCTCCTATAATACACCAAAAGGGAAGGAAGGAGATACAGAAAGTGAAGAAATAGCAGAAACACCATTCCAAATAGTAAGTGAAGCAGTACCTCTTGACAACCCTGATTGAAACCCCAATAGCCCTGTAGATGAATGAAAAAGAAAAACTAAGGCCAGACCTCTTAATTCCTCTAAACTGTCTAGGATAGACTCAAAGCCAGATGAGAATCCTGCAGCCTTTATGGATAGGTTGAGAGGGGCACTATTAGCACACACCTTTTTATCTCCTGATTCAGTCAAGTGACAGCCCATTCCAAAAGATAAGTTTATTATACATAAAGCTCCCAATATTAGAAGGAACCTATAAAAGGCAAGCTATAGTAGCAGATAGCACCTTGGAAAACCTTCTGAGGGTAGCCACTTCAGTCTTTTATAATAGGGACTAGGAGAAGGCCCAGAAGAAAGAGAGAAAGCTCAAGAGAAGGACAAAGCCTCTAGTAGCTGCTTTGCAGAGTTGCAAAGTCCAGGATCCCAGAGGTGTATCCACTAGTTGCTCTCGGTGTGGCAAGCCAGGGCATTTGAGGAAGAAGTGTCCAAAGAGCAAGAGGAAGCCACCTTGACCCTGTCCAGCCTGTGGTGGAGACCACTGGAGATGCAACTGCTCCCAGAGATGGAGGTCACTGGGTTCAGAACCAGTCTCACAGTGGTCCAGCAGGACTGATGGGTCCTGGGGCTCAAACCCCTGGCTCCAGCAGCTCAAACTGCCATTACAGCACAGGAGACACAGGTCATTCTGGAAATTATAGGGAGGAAAGTAGACCTCCTTCTAAACACTAGATCTAGTCTCTCTCTTTTCTCCTTTCTTATCCAGGCCTCCCCTCTTCCCATAGCACAACCATAAGGGGTGTCTCAGGAAAAATTCTAATCCAATATTTTTCTCAGCCTCTTATTTGCAGTTAGGAGGACCTATTTTTTACATCTGCTTCCAAACCACTGTCACAATAGCTCTACTAATCAGAAAAGCCTCCAAATTAACCCTAGGAAAAAACGGTTTACACCCCCACTTAATGTGGCAAAATTACTTTCCTCTAGAGGGAGCTCTTAGCTAACAATCAGCTGGTAAAGCAAGAAATACGTAAGGTAGGATAAGCAGTAGTCACTCTAAATAATATCTCTCTTCAGGTGCAGGTGCTCAATCAGCTAAACAAACAGTTAATACAAGAGCACTTAAATTAAGCAAGGGAAAGGTAGCTAACATTTACACTGATTCCAAGTATGCTTTTTGAGTTCTTCATGCTCATGCTGCCATTTAAAATAAAAGGCATTTTCTTACCACTAATGGACTTCCTATAAAATATCACCAAAAAATTAACAGGTTATTATCGTCAGTTTTCTTTCATGAGAAATAGCAGTGATACATTATAGAGAACATCAAAAAGGGAACAGATGAAGTAGCCAAAAGAAATAGGTTCACTGATCAGGCAGCTAAGTCACTGGCAAGGCATCAACACACCTCAAAGCCTTCTAATCTAGGAAGACTCCATAAGATAAATTAAACCTCAGTACCTTCCTGCAGAAATAAAATAGGCCACTTCTCAGGGTATCCTTTCCAGTCCTCAGAATGGCTGTAGTCAGAGGATGGCAAACTCCGTTTGCCAGCCTTCAGCCAACGAGAAATCCTTAAAATCCTTCATCAAGCTTTTCACGTAGAAGAGGATAAAACTTATCAATGTGCTCACAGATGATTTTCATATAGAAAATCTCTAAATTGGTTAAGCATGTAACCTCTCTAGCTCACTTCCAACAGGACACATGTAGCAAAAGCCCAACCCCAGGAAATAAGACCACCCTTATTTAACCCAGATTTGGTATTAGTAGAAACTCTCTTCTCTCTCCCTCTATCTCTCTCCTTAAGTTAAGTGGTTAAAATGGCACATTATATATATACACACATATATATATATACACACACACACATACATATATATACATATACACATATACATACACACATATATATGTGTGTATATTTATAGACATATGTATCTACATGTCAAATTTATATGAATATATATTCACATCTAACAAATACAAGTATGTATGTGTTTCTATATACACACTCAACCACAATTTTTTGAAAAGTGTTTGGTGAAAAAAAAACCCGCTGTGTAAAACACACCCACCCTAATCACATAGCCCTCATACACTTCCATGCAGACCTCTCATGACATTATCTGCAGACAGGTTCAAGAAGTACCGTCCAGCAAACAGCACATGCACAACATAAATGTATTTGCAGAGACTCAGAGCTAACCTGGAGGCACGAACCTCGGCACTGCCAGGACACATACCCTTCCCCATGGATTCTGACTTTATCTGACCCAGCCCACTATCCAGATCTTGTTGTGGGGCTGGGGTAGAGAAAGTCACAAAGCCTGTTCCCTGGACACTCTGTGTGACACTCAAGACCACCCCCACCCCATCATTAGGTCTCCCCACACAGGTCTGACCATCATGCATCGTGAGGAGGACTCTAGCATAGGCTCAGAAACCATACAAAAGAATTAGCCACAGAGAGAAACACTGAGCTAGAGGAGCTGGTTGCTGACATGGAACAGGTTCCCTGTAGTTCAGGAGTCCAACTCGGTCTGAATTTCCCTCACTTCATAAGCCAGGCACCCCTGAGAAACAGCTTTTTCCCATGGTCTCCTCTGTGGTAACACATTAGGGTCCCTCGCTGTCAAGATTCTAGAGATGGAAGAAACCTGGACAGCACACATCCCAGCTTCACCCTTCCTCTCTTTCTCCCTCCCTGCCAGGAATCAGGGCTCAGGGCTCAGGAGGAAAGGCACAGCCCAGTGAGGCCAGAGTTGGTGAGATGTCTGAAAGGTGTTCAGTGAAAAAAGTGCATCCCTCTTTCATTCTACCTGATGAGCCCTGTCCTGCACAGCTTCCTCCACCCTGAGGACTTCCCCAGACACCCTCTCTAACAAAGCTGACTGCCCCGTTTCCTTTCTGCTCACACTTAGGCCTGTCCTGCCTTCTGGGAAATGTAAAATGCACCAAAATCAGCCAAAGCAGCCACCCCTGCCAGGATCCATAATAAGGCAATGTCCCTGGGTCACCAAGAGAATGAGCTTCCACTGTGTCGCAGTCCAGGGCTCTTTCCCTCTGAGAGGCTGACTCATGAAACAGGCCACCAGAAAGAGATCAGTGACTCCTCCATCCATTCTTATAATCACCTGACAGGTTCTTGCCCTCTGCGCAGGCAAAGCCAATTTATTGTGAAGGTGATGTGTAGTAAAAAATGGTTTTGCTTAGCCCAAGGCTGCCAAACAGGAGGATAGAAGTTTATTATGACTCAAATCAGCTTCCCCAGTGGCTCAGAGGTTAGAGTTTTTCAAAAACTTTGAGGGGCAAAGTTCTAAGGAATAAGTACTGTTGACTGGCTAAAGATGAAATGATGCCGGTAGGGGAAATGGTCTGTATTTGTTGAATCTGCCTCTGAGTGGGGGGCCACATGACTGGTTGAGCCATTGGTCATGAGTCTAGATGAGGTCAGCTGGTTGCCGGAATGCAAAAATCTGAGAAACATCTCCAAAGACAAATCTCAGATTCTACAATAGTGTTGCTATCTATAGGAGCAACTAGGAAAGTCACAAATCTTGTGACCTCTGGACACATGACTCCTGAGCAGTAAGGGATTATAGAAACTATGCCTGCATTTTAGCAGAATTTGGGCTCCTGCATAATTCATGGTCTTTTCTTAGATTTACCACGGTAGTCCCCGACAAGGAGGGAGCTAATTTTAGGGAGGGACTATTATCATCCTTGCGTCAAAGTTAAACTATAAATTCCTTCCATGCTTACCCTGGCCTATGCCCAAGAATCAGAGAGGACACCCAGCCTGAGGCTAGAGGTGAGATGGGGTCAGCCAAGCTAGCTTCCTCTCACCATCATATGCTTTGCAAAGGTGGTTTCACTTTCTACATAGACTCACCAGGTGGTCAGACGCTGAAGGACAGACCTGCAGTTTCCAAAGCCCATGGGCTCATTTCACCCATTTCACTCATGACTCCATCCTCAACCTGCTGTGGGGCTCATATCCTCCAGTCATGCCCTAGAGACTTCGAATTTCCGCCAGGCATGTAAGTAGCTTAAAAATTTTCACTCAGTTCTAACAACAAGTAAAAAGCTGAACAAACTGAAAAAACAACAACTCATTTAGATTTGTCAGAGAAGCAAGGTCTCAGTGCTAACTGGCCCACATATTGAAGAGACCCACAGGCAAATACAGAGCAGCGCACCGTACCTGAGCAGAAACACAGGCACAGAAACCTCAGCGGGAACCAGTGCTGGGGTCAGAAAACCTCAACTCTAATTGAGGAAATTCTGGAGGCTCAGTGTGGACACAGCGCAGAGATAAACACACCAGTGGATGAATTAGCCTTGGGAGTAGGGGGACAGTTTTATGACTCTTAGCTCCTGGAGCTCTACCAGGTTCTCACAGTCAATATCCAAAAAGAATCCCTGCATCCTTCTTGTAGGAGAGAAGGGAAAAAAACACTTGGAAAGTTGTCAGTGAATTATATTCTTCTTGGTAAGACCTACATTTAAGAGGAACTATTTTACTGCAGCCTAATTAGCTGGGGTTTGATGGGAGCTTAACTGGCCAGGGGGAGGGGAAATATCCAACTCCAGCCTCCTCAAGTCATCATATCCCACCTAATGGAAAGAAAAACCTGAGAGGCACTTGTGACATTCACAGCCCAGGACACAGATCTCATCCAGAACCACAGAACCCTTCCCTCCCCTCACTCACCACCATGTCACTGAATGCCTGCTCACTCAAGTCCCTTTTACCCAGTACATCATGTGTGGTTTTCAAAAAAATACAAGACAGACTATGGCAAAAAAAAAAAAAAAAATAATGCAGTTTGAAAAACAGAGCAAGGATCAGAACCAGACACAGATGTGGTAGGGATGTTGAAATTATCAGACTGAAAATTTAAAACAACTCTGGTTAAGGATTATGATGGAAAAAGGAGACACCTTTCAGGAATAGATGGGTGATTTAAACAGAGAGATGGCTATTCTAAGAAAGAAGCAAAAGAAATGCTAGAGATTAAAAACACTTTAAGCGAAATAAAGAATGCCCTGCATGGGCTTACTGGTAGGCTGCCCACAGCTGAGGAAAGAATCTCTAGCTTAAGTGTGTGTCAATAGGAACTTCCAAAACTGAAACAGCAAAGTTTAACAAGAGTGAGAAAAAGTGGAACAACATATTCAGCTTCATATTCAATATTTGGTATTGACAATAGCATATTTTATATTCTGAAGTTGTATTTTATATTTTGTAGCCTACAAAGGCTGTAACATACACATAATGGGAATACTGGTGGTTCCTAGGACCAGGTGGAGCTGGCCAGGTGGGTGCTGTTTGATTTACTGCCTGTTTCATGCACACCTGTGTACTCATAATAACAACAGTGTCATAAGGTGGGGTCCTTCGGGTGGGGAGATGCATGAGCCACTGCTGCCTCACTTAGACTCTGCCCAATTTAAACAAAGTTAATCAAACTCTAATTATATGACCCTGCTCAATTCACAGTTCACCAGTATTGCTGCTTGATTCACAGTTCAGAAGTCTGTGCATCTCCCACACAGAGCAGGTGGCCCCATGGTCTCTGAGCCCTCAGATCATCATGCATCCATCTGTCTTTTGACACACAGAACTGCTGTGGGCTTTTAAGGACTTGGATTGGCTGAGAGGTGGGAGATGTCAACTCTGATTGGAAAATGCTCGTGGAGAAATCAATGGTGCCACACAGGGGAATCTTCTCTGTTATCTGCACAGTGAATCTGCCCAAGCCCTATGTCACCAGCAACCCCGCGGAGGATGAGGAGGCTGTGGTCTTAACCTGTGAACCTGAGACTCATGGCACAATCTACATGTGGTGGGTAAATAGTCATAGACTCACACTCAGTCCCAGGCTAAAGATGTCCAATGATAACAGGGTCCTTGCTCTACTCAGTGTCACAAGGAGTGACACAGGACTCTATGAATGTCAAAGGAAGAATGTAGTGAGTACCAGCCACAGTGACCCAGTCACCTGGATGTTCTCTGTGAGTATCCTCTTTTCCTTCATGGACAAGGCTGCCAGCCCAAATCCACATAACACGAGGCCAGGCCTCTCAGTCCCTCTCAGGTCCAAGTATGAAGACACTTACCCCTGGACCCCCAAGCTGGCCATGACTTTCTGTCCCAGGCAAACCTGGGTAGGCCCAGGAAGGGAGGGGCTTCTCCGGTCTTAGGGGACTCTGGTTCCATAGCTTGCGATGGGAGAACACGTGAATGTCTTAGACTCCTCCAGTTCAGTGAACACAGAAGAAATTTGGCTGGGACTTCAGGGTTGTGACTTGGCAAAAAGGAACATTGTGTCCCTTTCACAGACCAGGAGCTTCCCATTCCCTCTGATAACATTACCTGTGGCTTTATTCTCTTTGCTCCAGATGGCCCAGATGAACCCACAACTTATTCTTCAGACACCTATTACTATGCAGGGTCAAACCTCAACCTCTCCTGCCTCATGGGCTCTAACCCATCAGCAGAGTATTCTTGGCTGCTGAATGGGAATAACCAGCAAACAGGACAAGAGCTCTTTATCCCCCAAGTCACTACAGAGAATAGTGGGGACTATCTGTGTTATGTCCATAACCCAGTCACTAATGGCAAAAACTTCGCAACCAAGAAAATCACAGTCCCTGGTAAGTGGATCGCTGGAGCATTGGCAATATGCTTTCAGGTGAAGCCTATCTGGCTTTCCAAGAAAGAGCCAGGAAAACATTTTTATTCTCAGCCTGTGTCCCATGCACAAAAGTAAATCCCAAATTTTTCTCCTGAACACTCCCAATTCATATCTACAGATTCTCTTCCCTTTGTTTTCCAGATTTCTGGTGGATGACCTTGGGTCCAGCCTGAGAAATGTAGGGAAATGGCTTTATCAGCCCCAAGCACTATGCAGTATAAGGGCCTTCACAGACGGAGAAAGAGGAGGGTCCTCATGGTCAAGCTGTTTCTGTCACCAAAACATCCCTTCTGTCTCCTTTGTGTGTGTGTCTGTGTGTGTGTACTCCATGAGCTGCGATGAACATCAGAGGCTTCAAAACAAGCCCACACTTTTCCCCAAATGACAGGAGGAAGCCCCTTGGGTGAAGCAGAAGCAGCTCAGACTCTGCTCCCTGCATTGCTGTGGGCTCGCTCAGTGACCGACCCTGCCCTGACTCCAGCCGGGGGGTGGGGCAGGCATGTGGATAAGGTGCCTGGGTGGCCGGTTCTGAATCTGGCTAAATCGAGCTGCCAGTAGAAGCTAAGCCTCCCATGGGTAAGGCTTTAAAAAATGGGAATAGGACTGTGTCCTGGCTCTGAAGTCACTGCCTGTGTGAGTTTGTGGACACAGCTCCTGGAACACAGCACAGAGGACAGTGAGTGATGCACACTTGGAGAAATAGGGAGATTAACTCACAGAAGCTCCCTATGGCAGGGAAGGAACAGTGACAAAAAGTGTGTATTTATAGAGAGGGTAAGAGTACCAGACACTATATACGTAAGACTTACCATTAACTGTTTCTAAGTGTGCAATTTACTGTTGTGTTACTATCAACACTATCTATTTCCAGTGCTTTTTTTATCCTACTATACTAAACCTCTGAACCCGATAAATGATAACTCTCATTCCTTCTCCCCTTAACCCCTGGTAATCACCATTCTAATTTCTGTCTCTATGTAATTGACTATTCTAACTATCTTACATAAATGGAAGTATATAATAATTATGCTTTTGTGTCTGGCTTATTTCACTTTGCATAATGTCTTCACGGTTCATCCATTTTGCACCATGTGTCAGAATTTTATCCCTTGCTAAGATTGAAGAACATTCCAAAGCATGGATATACCTTTTTGTTCACCCACTTATCTTTCAATAGACTTTTCGGTTGTTTCCACCCATTGGCTATTGTGAGTGATGCTGCTGTGAACATCAGTGTACGAATATCTGTTCAAATATTTTTCAATACTTTTGGCTGTATGTCCGGAAGTAGAATTGCTGGTTCAAGTGGTAATGCTTTAATTTTTTTTAAAGAAACTGACATACCATTTTCTTTTCTGTTGTTGTTGATGTTGAGACAGGGTCTTGCTCTGTCACCCACACTGGAGTGCAATGGCTCAATCTTGGCTCACTGCAACCTCCACCTCCCAGGTTCAAGCAATTCTCATGCCTCAGCCTCCTGAGTAGCTGGGATTACAGGCACATGCCACCATACCCAGCTAATTTTTGTATTTTTAGTAGAGATGGGGTTTCACCATGCTTGCCGGGCTGGTCTCAAACCCCTGACCTCAAGAGATCCACCCATCTCAGCCTCCCAAAGTGCTGGGATTACAGGCATGAGCCGGCCATGTCATGCCATTTTTTTCCACAGTGGCTATAACATTTCCCATTCCCATCAGCAATACACAAAGAGCTTCAATTTTTCCACGTACTTGAAAACACTTGTTTTGTGATGTTGTTGTTCATGTTGTTTTTATCAAAGCCATCCTAATGTGTGTGAGGTCGTGTATCACCATGGTTTTGCTTTGCAGATCTCTAAATATTAGTAATATTGAGAATCCTTGCATGCCCTCATTGGCCATTTGTATATCTTCTTTAATAACATCTCTCTTTTAGTCCTTTGTCCATTTTTTAATTGGGCTTTTCTGTTTTTGCTGTTTTTGATTTGTAGTGTTCTTCATGTATTCTGGAAATTAATCCCTTATCAGATATATGATTTGCAGAAACTTTCCCTATGTCATAGTTTGCCTTTATACATTCTTGATAATGGCCTTTGATATATAAAAGTTTTTAATTTTCATGAAGTCCAATTTATCCCTTTTTTGTTGCCTATGCTTTTGTAGTTGTAACTAATAAATCATTCTGAAATTCAATATCATGAAGCTTTTTCCTTATGTTTTCTTCTAAGAGTCTGGTAGTCTTCACTCTTCCATTTAGGTCTTTGATCCATTGTGGGTTCATTTTTTTGGATATGGTGTGAGGTAAATGTTCAACTCATACTTGTCCATGGATAGCCAGCTTTCCCAGTATCACTTGTTAAAAAGACTGTCCTTTCCCCATGGAATGGTCTTGGCACTCTTGACAAAAATCATTTGGCCATATATGCAAGCTTTTTTTCTGGGTTCTCTATTCTATGGCATTGGTTTCTATGTCCTTTTTTATGCCAGTACCACACTGTATTGATTACTGTAGCTTTGCAGTAGATGCTGAAATCTGAAAGTGTGAGTCCTCCAGCTTCCTTTTTCCTTTTCAAGATCGAAGTTTTTAATTCCATCTTGGACATGCTGCACTCAGATATTTTTGAAGGTTTTGGGATATGAGAAAGGCTGATTGCTATTTTCTATGACTTTAGAACTTTTCACCTTTTCATAGTTGCATCTTTCTCTTGGTGTCTCAGTTGTGGCAGCCATGAATGGCCTCCATGGCAAGGACTTGACTGACAGAGGGCCCAGGTCAGGGCATTCCAAATTCACCTTATATATGATAAGTCTATATGGATATACTTATTTGTATATGATAAAATTGGCATTTATATTACATATGTGAATTTTATGTATAAATGGCCTAGTGTTTATGTGTTACCTTTTTTCATAGATATGGAAATATGTATATATTTTAAATTGTTATATACTCTATATTTTTAGATTATTATATATTGTATATAAATATAAAGAGAGAAGTATGTATATGCTTTTTCCATATATATATAGAAAAAGAGAACACATAAAACACTAGGAGGCTGTGGGCACAGCGCATGGGACACAGAACAGAGGACAGCGAGTGACACACACTTGGGGAAATAGGGAGATTTGGCCATGGGAGCTCTGCATGGGAAGGAAGGGGCAGTGACAAAAAGTGTGTATTTATAGAGAGGGTAAGACTAGCAGACACTACATACATATATAACATATGTCAATTTTATTATATGTAAGTGTCCTGATGTTTTATGTTACCTCATTTTCCATATACGTATATGGAAAATATGTATATGTTTTTCATTACTATACATTTTATATTACATATTTTATTATATAATATGTATAAATAGGTATATGGAAATATATATATTTTTCCTATACACATGAAAAAAGAGGTAACACATAAACACTAGGACATGGTTACTGGCTACATGTGGGAGAGACAGAAAAAAGCTAAGTGCAAAAAAATCAAGCCTGGTATGTTAGTTTATGCCCACTGAGATGCATCCAAGATGAGATTAGACATGCAGGATAATTTATTAGGAAAAATGCCTGTGAGGGAAAGTGGGGCAGGCATGAAAAAAGTCTGGGAAGCTTTGGGACCACTATCAAATCTGATTCCTGTGAAGGAGAAAGAGAAAGAAGATTTAGCTACAGTTCAAAGAGATCATGGCAAGACTGATGGGGAGTCTCCCCACCAGTCACCCAGGAGAATGAAACAGAGGCTCATAGAACTGGGCTTGCTTTCATATCCCTGCTGGGAGCTTCAGGAAAGTGAGGACTCTATGCAAAGTAGGTTGTCAATTTGGAATGCACTGATCTGGGCCTTCTGTCAATCAAGTCAATCGATTATTAATAAATCAATTATTAGCTGGGAGTGCTGGAATTACCTAGGGAATTTTTTCAACATACATAAGCCTATACTTTCTCGGCCCTATTCATTAATGGGCTCCACCAAGAACTCAGTAATCCTCTTGAGAAACACAAGCTGCCATGGAGACCTGACAGAGTCTTATTCATACCTACCACAACTGACACACTGAGAAAAAGATGCAACCATGAAAGGGTAGAAAGTTCTAATGACACAGAAAATAGCAGTCAGCCTTTCTCACATCATAAAGGCTTCAAAAATATCTGAGTGCAGCATGATCAGGATGAAATTGACAGAAGACTGATCACTAACCTAGAAACACATTGATAGAGAAAAAAAACTGTAAGAATATAGTTGGCTAATCATCTACCAGCAACCCTCCCACAAAATTAATGTAATCCCCAAAGGAACAAGTAGAAACTACTTCATACTTAGTGATGGTTACTAAGGTACCACACTGTAAAATAACATCACCTTTATTCCTTCTCTTCTTTTCTTTCCATGACAGATACTTCAGTACAAGGAAGTTCTCCTGGCCTTTCAGGTAGAGCCACGGTCAGCATCTTGATTGAAGTACTGGCCAGTGTGGCTCTGATCTAGCAGCCCTGGTGTAGTTTATTTCAGGAAGACTGCAGGTATGATGGCCTTTCCTTTTGTCCTGTTTCCTGCAGGGCTGACTGCCATGCTTGGGAGAGAGAAAGGACTTCTTTGCCTGTATCTGGGACTGGATCTCCTCCTCCTCCCACTAAACTCCTGCTTCTCAGCACTTATTCCTGCTGGTCTCTTCTCCCCTGTTCTTCATGCTCCCTGTACCCCACTGTCTCCTACAAATGATGATCCTCAGCCTCTGCTCATTTGTTTCCCAGATTCAATACCTTATAAAACCCTCTTGATCCTTTTTTTAACATCCTCACTTTTGTCATTCTCTCCATTCCCACAACCTTAACAACTGCTAGAGATACTGCTTGACTTATCTCCAGTCTTTGAAATCTTCCTTGTGTATGACTGCCTTATTACCTTCCTAAATTCTAGTTAACTCACCTATTCAAAAATCTTCAGGGATCTACTCTTGCCTATTTGATAAGTTCACATTTCTTCTCTTTACTAATTTTTATTGCTTCCATTCCCTCTATTCCCTAGTATAATTCCTCCATTCTAATTAAATCTGTCTTTCTACACATCCCTTCCCCTCCACCTGATATACACATAGAATGCTTAGTTCCAATGCTATGGCTAAAAACAGGGTGATCTCCCATCTACCATCTGCAGTATGGGATTACCCATACCCTTCATCACAAGCAACCTCTGACCTCCTGGAGAACAATGACTCTAGCATTAATATGTAAACCTGAGACTCAGAACACAACCTACACGTGATTGAGAACATTTTCCTGATGACCAACCCATATGTTCATGAAAGATACAGAAATGAAGAAGGTAAGGTTTCTACCCCAAGGAACATAAAGCCTAAGATAGATGATAAGACCCAAAAAATAATTATAATACCAAAATAGAAAAACGTGAATGCCACAAGAAATCAGAGAAATCTGATGGGAAATACAGCTACACATTGGAACCACTGGAAAACGTTTTTTTAAATGGATGCCCAAGCCCCACCCATAGGATCCAATTTAATGGTCTAAAGTGAGACACAGGCATTGGTAATTTTTAAGTCTTCCCAGGTGCTACTAATGTGTAACCAGAATAGAGAACAGCTGTTCTAATAGGTAAAACTTAGACCTCAATTAATGCTTATTAGCTGGGAGTATTAGAATTATCTAGGGATATTTTTCAACATACATATGCCTATACTTTCTTGGCCCTATTCATTAATGGCCTCCACCAAGAACTCAGTAATCCTGTTGAGAAACACAAGCTACATGGAAAAGCCACTTTATTTGATATGTAAAATTATATGAAAAGCATTTTCAAATCATAAGTGGTAAAGGATGCTAAACCTTTGCTATGTTATATTTATGGATATGTTACTGATATGATTGTTCCAGAAATTGTATGAGATTCCTAGAAATTAAATATGTTATCAGCCATAATGTCATATACCACAGAAGTAATGAACCTTTTATGTGAGCTGTGTTATCATAATGAATTCTCATCAGAGTTTTAGCCATAGTCATTTAAAATCTTTGTCATTCACAGACGTTGTTTTTAGTCTTCCTCAAAGCATTTCCAATCAGCTACAGTCCAAAAATGCTTCCTTTTCAAGGAGATTTATGGAAACGATGCTGACAAGAACTCTTTAATACAAGTTTCTGATAAATTTCACATTATACCACCGGACTGTCTAAGAACTTCCAAAACTTTAAGAAACAGGCTGATATCTTCATAAAATTCTCAGTGTACCAAGCAGGAAAAATATTGATTTCATTGAAATAATTGATAATAATGAGGATAATGTTTTTATGATTTTTATTTGAAAATTTGCTGATTCTTTAAATGGTTTGTTTTCTAGATTTATGGAATTTTTTTCTTTTAATCTATCTATAGCTTATAGCAGTTCAATAAACTATACTTCTGGGAACAATTATTGAAACATTTACTTTTGCTCTCTACCTGACTGCCCCAGAATTGGGCAACTATTCATGAGAATTGATATGTTTATGGTAATACAGATATTTGCACAAGTACAGTAACAGTCTGCTCTCTTTTTAACACGACACATTTCAAATCATTGGTTTTATTACCAAGGCTTTGACTGGGATGTTATATTCAAGAATATAGATAGAATGAACCAATATGAACTGCAGGCAAAGTCTGAAGTCAACCTTGGTTTGGCTTCCTGTTCTCAAGAGGTTTGTAAAAGTTTAATCTGAGATTCCTTATAAAAACTTAGAGCAAAGAAAATTTTAAAAGAGAGCCTACATGGTCCATTGCTACTCTTGCTGCACTTATGTAAAGAATCAGACCATGTTTGAAGTAACTCAACCTATTTTGCAAACAAACTTATTCTACTGAAATTATCATTGGTAAAACTAGAGATGCCCATAGAGAGAAAAATTATGTGGAAAATAAAAACTGTAGTACACCGGTTATGAGATTGCAGCTCTGTTCATTGTTTCTGTGTTTTTATTATCCACCTGTAGACTGGACATTACCCTGAATTCTACTAGTTCCTCCAATTCCATTTTCTCCCATGGAATCACTAAGAGCAAGACCCACTCTGTTCCA
Organism: Homo sapiens; assembly: GCF_000001405.40. Classification (NCBI taxonomy): domain Eukaryota; kingdom Metazoa; phylum Chordata; class Mammalia; order Primates; family Hominidae; genus Homo; species Homo sapiens. The sequence continues at coordinate 43,276,341 of NC_000019.10, read as the reverse complement.
GAAGCCCTATAAGCTGGAGTTGGACAACTCAATGTAAATTTCATGGGAAAACCCTTGTACCTGACGTGTGAGCCACTCAGAACTCACCAAAATGTTCGACGCCATAACAACAGCCACTCAAACTGTAAACCAGGACAAGTTGATGACTTCACACTGTGGACAGTTTTTCCCAAGATGTCAGAACAAGACTCCCCATCATGATGAGGCTCTCACCCCTCTTAACTGTCCTTGCTGATGCCTACCTTTTTCACTTGGCAGGATAATGCAGTCATTAGAATTTCACATGTAGTAGCTTCTGAGGGTAATAACAGAGTGTCAGATATGTCATCTCAACCTCAAACTTTTATGTAACATCTCAGGGGGAAATGTGGCTCTCTCCACCTTGCATACAGGGCTCCCAATAGAAATGAACACAGAGATATTGCCTGTGTGTTTGCAGAGAAGATGGTTTCTATAAAGAGTAGGAAAGCTGAAATTATAGTAGAGTCTCCTTTAAATGCACATTGTGTGGATGGCTCTCACCATTTCCTAAGAGATACATTGTAAAACGTGACAGTAATACTGATTCTAGCAGAATAAAACATGTACCACATTTGCTAATACTGTTCTCTTAAAATAATTTTAAAAGAATGGGGTGAGCCCTCCCATGTGTCCAGGCCAGGTCTCTGAACAGAATCCTCCATCTGCAGTAACAATGCCTAAGAAGATGACATGGACTTGGTCCCGATATGCAGCCATTCCTGTATACCCATCCCCTGCTGCAGGGCCGTACCATCCCAGGGCCCAAATCTTCAGCTGCAGAGCTGACAGAGAACATGGGACACCCAGCATCCCTTACCTTCTTCCAATCCACTGCAGTGGCTACCGGCATGGCCCATTTATCCCTGAGGACACCCATCTGCTGACCCACAGTTTCTAAGAGTCAGACTTTCCTGGCTTCTCTGAGCCCCAGCTACTTTCACTCTGCTGAACCCTTCTTCTCCCCACAGGTGTCATTGACTTAGCAGACACCTCTTTCAGCTGCAGCTAACAGGTAAGCCAAGACCCAGACCCCAGAGGATAAACAAGGATTTCAAAACCTACTGTGTGCAATGGAGATGCCCACTTGTGGGCGGCAGGACACCCAGTTGCCGAGGCAAGAGACTGAGTGCACGAGCCTTTCCAGTACAATAAAATATAAAAGAAGAATAGTTATACCAGATATAGATCTTAGATATGATTATATATGAATATCATTAATCATTAATTGGTAGCAATTACTCTTTATTCCAATATTATAATAATCTTTGGTCTATAATCATAACCTAGGAAAAGCCAGGCCATACAGAGATAGGAGCTGAGGAGACATAGTGAGAAGTGACCAGAAGACAAGAGTGCGAGCCTTCTGTTATGCCCAGATAGGGCCACTAGAGGTCTCCTTGGTCTAGTGGTAACGCCAGGGTCTGGGAAGATGCCGGTTTCCAGGCGAACCATGATGTAGTGGTAGCCTCAGTGTCAAGGAAAAACACCCACTACTTAGCAGACTGGGAAAGGGAGTCTCCCTTTCCCCGGGGGAGTTTAGAGAAGACTCTGCTCCTCCACCTCTTGTGGAGGGCTTGACATTAGTCAGGTCGACCCGCAGTTATTCAGATGCCTAACTGTCTCCCTGTGATGCTGTGCTTCAGTGGTCACACTCCTAGTCCGCCTTCATGTTCCATCCTGTACACGTGGCTCTGCCGTTTAGTTAGCAGTAGGAAATTAGCGAATGTACTAAAAGTCTGTAATAAGCAGAAATAATGGTGTAAGCTCTCTCTCTCTTTCTCCTCTCTCTCTCTGCCTCAGCTTCCAGGCAGGAAAGGGCCCTCTGTACAGTGGACATGTGACACATGTGGCCTTACCTATCAATTGGAGATGGCTCACACTCCTTATCCTGCCCCTTTGTCTAGTATCCAATAAATATCAGCACAGCCTGGCATTCGGGGCCACAACTGGTCTCCACATCTTGGTGGTAGAGGTCCCCCCAACCCAGTTGTCTTTTCTTTTATCTCTTTGTCTTGTGTCTTTGTTTCTACAATCTCTCATCTCTGCACATGGGGAGAAAAGCCCACCGACTCTGTGGGGCTGGTCCCTACACCCACTGTACAGAGACATAAAGAAGTTGAGATGTATACAACTCCCCCAACAACATTGTATCACAAAACAATGTCCTCTCTGCCCCTCATCGTGGAATTCACTGTCTCTCACCACATGGGCAAGTGCTTCCAGGGTCTCACAATTCTTCCACAAGAGGCAATGCACACTTTAACATAGCACTTCAGCAAATAAAGTGGTGACAGTTTACCTACTTAGATTAAGTTTCTTAAAAGATTCTCCCAAATTTCCCCCTGAAGAAGACAGAAAAGGCTTTCCCAATTGTGAAACATTGGCTTCCCCACCTTTCAAAAAAGGACCCCAGAATAGCCAAAACAATCTTGCCAAAAGAAATTGTAGGACTTGAACTTTCTTATTTGAAATCTCACAAAGGAGTACAATTATTAAAACAGAAGCTGCTGGCAAAAGAATGGACATAAAGACAAATGGGATAGAATTGAGAGTCTAGAAATAAACCCTCACACTTATGGTCAATTACTCTTTGAAGAGGGTGTCAAGACAATTTAATGGAGGAACAATTCTCCTTTCTAATGATAGTGCAGAAACAACTAGATAACCACATGCAAAACAGTGAATTTAGATAACTCTACCTCCCACCATATCAAACAATTCTCTAAAAAATTGATCAGTGAGTTAAATATAAGATCTATAACCATAAAAACATCTTAAAATAGACATAGATGTAAATATTGATGACCTCAAATGTGCAATGGATTCTTAGATATGATACAAAAGCATGAGAAATAAGAAAAAAATATACATTGGGCTTTATCAAGATGTGAGCCTTTTGTACATCAAAGGAAATTATCAAGAAAATAATTAATAGATACAGAATGAGAGAAAATATTTGCAAACCACATATAGGCAGTTTTCATGTCCAGATAATATAAAGAACTAGCTACAACTCAATAACAAAAGGACAAACCATCCAATTTATAAATGGGCAAAAGACTCAAATAGACATTTCTTCAAGGAAGATATACAAATAGTCAAGAAGGACATGAGAAGATACGCAACATCATTAGTCGTTAGGAAAATACAAAGTCAAAGCATCAATGAGACACGACAACTCACCTACAAAACTGGCTACCATTCTTTTAAAATGTTAAATAACAAGTACCAGTATTATGTAGAATTTGGAATCTTCATACATTGCTGGTGAGAATATAAAAAGGAGAAACAGTTTTGCTTTTCCTCAAAAAGCTAATCATAGAATTCTCATTTGAAACAACTTCCATTCCTAGGTATATACCCAAAGAATTAAATCCAGGGACTCAAACAGGTACTTGCATGGGAATGTTGATTGCAGCATTATTCACAAAATATAAAATATGAAAACAATCCAAGTGCTCCTCAACACATCAATAAATAAATATGGTGACACATACAACAGAATGTTAATCTGCCATAAAGAGGAATGAAGCTCTGATACCCACTGGAACATGCATGGACTTTGGAAATATTATGCTAAGTGAAATATGTCAGAAACAAATTAACGTAAGTGTATAATTCCATTTATATTAGACATCAAGAATAGGCAAATTCATAGAGACAGAGTAGAGATGATCAAAGTCTAGGGTGGAACATACAAGGAGGTATTGTTTAAAAGATACAAAGTTTCAGTTTAAAATGATAAAAATTTTCTAGGGAAAATAGTGGTGATGGTAATTTAACACTGTGTATGTGGTTAATTTCACTTGATTGTGCATTTTAAAGTGGTTGAAATAGCACATTATTCACAGAACTGTGAAAAATAGATTTCTATTATATCGTTCACCCAAGCTAAGGTGTTTGTTATGGCAGCTGAAGCCCATGAATACATCATCTGACCCAGTGTGTCAATGAAACACATCAGTATTTCAATCAAATTAGCTGGAAGCTCCTGTCCCCAGGAGAATCAAAGGCCCCAAAACAAGAGCTCCAGCAAGGGCTCAACCAGCACAGGTCCCATAGGGCAGCCTCAATGTCAGGCCCTGGATGGCATGTGAGGCAACAGCAATACAACCACAACGTGAAAATGTAAGTATTTTTACTACTTCCAGACACTAGGGAGCACTCGGCACACCTGGAGACCACAGACACAGTGGTCAGTGACCCCATGCAGGGAGGAGAGAAGAGACCTGTAAGCGAATGGCTTTATTAAGTCCAGGGTGTTATCTGACAGGTTTCCAGCAGGGAGCTTTAATGGATGTGTTCAAAGCAAGCAGCAAACACTGGGACCAGGAGCTCACGCTGTGACTGAGAGGTAGTCACTTTAAATGTGAGGGCGAATGTCAGAATTATCAGTTTAAAGAAAGCAGCTTGAGAGAGGGGAGCCCAGCACACCAAGCAGGAGAGATGCCTCTAAGATTTTATCTCTGGACACCAACTGGAGCCACTTGAACCAGACACAGTATTGAAAACTACCATGGTGACCAAGCCCTGCCTCTGATTTGAGGCAAATAAACTTACACCTTAAAAAATGAATGCCAAGGCAACATGACACTATGAGCATCATGACATCCAGGGACACCAGCAGGGTGTGGTACTGTGCCCTGGAGTCAGAATCCTGGGTTCTGGTCCCTGGGAGTGAGAAAATGAAAATGACTTGTCCTTGCCCCCCTGACGTTGATCTTCCCACCCTGCTGCTCCCTCTTCTGCTCTCAAACCCATGTGCAGTGCTCAGCCCCAGGCATCACTGCCCCCAGGGTATTCACAGTGTTGCCTACTGCACACAAACACAAACTCACAGAAGGTGACAAAAATCTGCGTTTGGGACATCTGATTGTGAAAGAGGGATAACAGTGAACGTAGAGCCACAGAGACTGGGACTCACGGGGCTGGAAGGTGAAGGAGCTGTAACATAACATATGTGTGACCTCGTGTGAAGTGGAATAAAACATGCAGCCTGGCCTGGGATTGCTGCCGTTCACACTTCCCTCCCTGTCCACCAGAGGGCGACAGAGTCCCTCCCAGCCTGGAGCCTTCCCAGGGGATGCCAACCTCCCTCAGCGGAACCCACAGCCCAGCAGGGTCCACCCTCACCAGGGTCACTTCGGCCCAAGTCCTCAGCACCCTCCATGCTCCCCACACGGACTCTGTCAGTTCCTCCCTGACCTGGCGGCCGCCAACCTAACACCACTCCCTCTGCAGGGAGCTCCTGCCCCACACACCTGCTCCTTCCCTGGGCCCAGCTAAAGGCATCTCCCAGGGCAGCGCTGGTGCACGCGACGCCACACTGGGCGCTTTCCCCTCGTGAACTCTCTCCATCCTCATCAACTCTTTCTGTCACTGCTCCCTAAATGCCTGCCCCTGCTCCATCTGTCCTGTTCTCTGGGGCTTCCCAGGCCAAGCCTAGCGCCGACACAGAACAGCGGCTGCCTGAGGGCCCACAGCCTCCCCGGGAATCAGCCAGGCACCCTGTCACCTGCCTGCCCCCTGCACCCCAGGGGGCTCAGAGAGCGTGTGATGGTCATTCACAGGTACCATCCGGGATGTGGCCACCTACCCCCAGCTGTCCCTTGGGAAGACAGACCTCTCCTGTGTACTTGCGTGGAGAAGGGCGGTGTTATTGCTCTTTGCTCCCAGAACACAACTCACCCCCACCCGCCCTCTCAGGTGTGAGCAACGTCCCTCCAGAGAGCCTCTCTGGTCACTGCCTGTTCCTCCTCTACAGACAGCAGCTTGGCCAGGTCAAAACCCTCAGGACAGACCCCTGGGTGTGTCAGCACATGGAGGGCTGAGCCCATCATGGCCACGGAGTAAGTCGGGATGAATCTCTCCAGCTCTGAACCCCTGCTCTGTCCCAGGCTCCCCCTCCTGCGTCTCAATGAGCCATGTCCCGCGGGGTTCCTGGGTAACTCCCCACTTCCTCCTGCACCACCACGGGGAAGGTGTGGTGACCACAGGACAATCAGCTGGGCAGAGAAGAGAGGACATCAAAGATGGTCAGGGAGAACATGAGAAACCCTGAGCTCCAGCTCAGCCGCCAGACCCCAGGGAGCCATAGACTGACAGAGAACTGTCCCTTTGACTATGGGACTCACAGCCCCCACTGAGCAACCAGCACAGGCCTCTCCTCCTAAGAGGCATGAGAGATTCACCCTGCACACCTCCAGGAAGGACAGTTTCCTCTGGGACACCCAGGTCCTGAAAGTCCATCCTTGGAAGCTGCAGTCAAGCTTGACACGATTAGAGAAAGGAAGGGTCCCTCTCACCAGGCAACACACAGCTCACCCACAGCACAATGGGGTGTCACTGTGACAGGGACCTGGTGCATCTCCAGCCTCCTGCACTGAAGGGGAGAGCCAGATGGGGATGAAAGAGGGTAAAAGGCATGAATGTGCACCCCAACCCAGAGCCATGGGGACAGCAGGAGGCTGAGGCCCAGGACTGTGCTTGCCCAACCTGCAGGGTATGTGCCTGACTGTGTGGGTCTGTGTGTGTCTCTTCTGTGTGTGTGTGTGTGTGTGTGTGTGTGTGTGTGTGTCTGCACAAAGTGTGTGTTGAGGTTTGGTGAAAGAATCACTGCTGAAAAAGGCAGAGGCCTCCACAACTCCCAGGGACCTGAAACACAGACAAAAGGAAAAACAGAAGGAGGGACAAGGAGGCAGGACTGAGAGAGAAGGGGACAGAGAGGTGTCCTGGGACTGACCCCGCCCATGAGCTTGAGAAGTGCTCCTGCCCCGGGAAGAGGCTCAGCACAGAAGGAGGAAGGACAGCACAGCTGACAGCCGTGCTCAGACAGCTTCTGGATCCCAGGCTCATCTCCACAGAGGAGAACACACAGGCAGCAGAGACCATGGGGCCCCTCCCAGCCCCTTCCTGCACACAGCGCATCACCTGGAAGGGGCTCCTGCTCACAGGTGAGGAGAGAACTTCCTGGGAGAGGACAGGGGGAGGAAGCGGAGTGACTGGATGGGGTCTCCTGGAGAGGATGGGGTTGTAAAATAAAAGAAGCCAGCTCTTAGGGAGGCTGAGGTGGGTGGATCACGAGATCAGGAGTTCAAGATCAGTCCGGCCAATGCAGTGAAGCCCAGTCTCTCCTAAAAATATAAAAAATTAACCAGGTATGGTGGTGTACTCCTGTAATCCTAGCTACTCGGGAGGCTGAGGTGGGAGAATCATGTGAACCCGGGAGGCAGAAGTTGCAGCTAGCCGAGATACCGCCACTGCACGCCAGCCTGGGCGACAGTACGAGACTCCGTCTCAAAAAAAAAAGAAAAAAAGGAAAGAAGGCTCTGTTGCAGCCTGGATAGGGGAAAATACACCAGAGAGGGACAGGGGTCAAAAGAGGAAAGTCACATTGAACCGGAATTGGTAAGAGGTAGGAAAATCTTAAGTGTTCTGTTTTCCTGATTAATCATCCGGGGCCACCACATTTTGAAAAATGATAATAATAACTATATCAGATGACACTTCAAATAAAAATATAAGCAGGACATGAAACACTATCCTCAGCAAAAAACCTCAACAATTGGGGGAAAAAAAAACACCCAGGGCATGGAGGGCCCTGAGAACTCTCACATCTACAGGAGTCTGCAGCCTGTCCCAGGCACTGGGGTGCAACCAGGATCACAAAAGTCCCTGTCCTCACGGAGCTCACGCTGTCATGGGGAGGAAGACAGACATGCGAAGAGATGTAGAATGTGAGATCAGGTGTTGACAAGAACCCTGGAGGGAGCAGAGCAGGGAAAGGTCAGAAAGGGAAGACCCAGGGTCTCTGAAGGAGGTGTCAGGAAAGAAGTCTAAGGATGCCCTGATGTGAGCAGGACCTGAGGGCAGTGTGGAGGGGGCCGTGTGGACCCCTGGGGAAGAGGATTCCAAACAGAAAAATGCCAAGGTCAGAAGTGTTGAAGGAATGGGGGTCATGCTGCTGACCTTGACCTAGTAGGACAGTAGGACACACACACATACACATACACAAACACACATGCCCGTTTTTTGTGTGTGTTTGTTTGTATGTGTGCGTGTGTGTATCTTCAAGGCTGAGGATGGAAGAGACCTTCTCAGGACCCAGGGCCCCATCTTTTCACCACAATACATAGGTCTCAATATTAACTGATGCTGTCTCCCCCTCCTAGCATCACTTTTAAACTTCTGGAACCCGCCCACCACTGCCGAAGTCACGATTGAAGCCCAGCCACCCAAAGTTTCTGAGGGGAAGGATGTTCTTCTACTTGTCCACAATTTGCCCCAGAATCTTCCTGGCTACTTCTGGTACAAAGGGGAAATGACGGACCTCTACCATTACATTATATCGTATATAGTTGATGGTAAAATAATTATATATGGGCCTGCATACAGTGGAAGAGAAACAGTATATTCCAACGCATCCCTGCTGATCCAGAATGTCACCCGGAAGGATGCAGGAACCTACACCTTACACATCATAAAGCGAGGTGATGAGACTAGAGAAGAAATTCGACATTTCACCTTCACCTTATACTGTGAGTGATTCCACATGATCCCTGGGTGTTGGGGGGAAGGGGTCATTTCTACTTCACACACACAGGATTGTCAGGCCTGGACTCTGCCTGTGTCACTCTCTGCATTATGTCCCATGCTGGGGTTTGGGCATTTAGTGCAGGACACACACAGAGGAGACAAATTTCAACAGATCAGAATTCCTTTCCCGCATCCAGACCCTGCAGACACTCGCTGCAGAGGAAGGACAGTCTGATGGGGGGACTCAGCAGGAGGAGATCAGTCTCAGCCAAGCACATCATGCCCTCTTCATAAATTTGACCCTGAGAAAGACCCTGGAGAACTGAGTAGGGCTTGGCTTGAGGGGACCCCTGAGATACTCTCAGAGAAGCTCAGCCCTAGAAGCCTCAACCCCAGACCCCTGTCCCTAAATCCTTGCTCCAGTTAAGCTGAGGAGCCTGTGCCAGTGCTGGGTTGTGGCTTCTTGGGCAGGCCTTACTGGGACCAAGAATTTACCAGCTGTCTGAGGACTGTGTCTCCTGGAGCTGTTCACCAGCCAGGGCTCAGCCCTCAGAGTCTCATCTGGGCAAGGACAGAGCTTTTTCAGCTGACACTCAGAGTGGAGAGGACAGAAAGACAAGCTTTGTAGGACATCAGCCAACTGCCTTGGGAGGCTTAGGACAGTCCATAGAAAGTCTAATGTCCCCAGAAGCAGAAACAGAAGGGAGAAGATGTACCTGGTAGCAGCTTGTCCACAGGGATCTGACATAAGGTGCTTTCTCATGGAAGCAAATTAATAATAAATGCTGCTTGTGTGAAACCTCCACTGTGCCAAGCATTAGGTCAGGTGACTGTGAATCATTTAACATTTATTCACAGATAGCATGAAAAGCCACAGTCCATTTGCCATTTAGTTTATTTGATTGAGAGAAAACTGAGGCACAGGAAGGTGCAGTCACTGAACCAGAGTCACACAAACACAAAGGGGAGATCAGGGTCACATGAGGTCTGTCTGCAGCCACAGGCCTATCCTCTCCTCCACCAGAAGTGAGGGCTTACTGGGTTCCAAGGACCCCATAGTCATTTATTGGCTCAAATCCTCTCTTCTTAGGCATCCAAACCTCAGAGGAGTGAGAGCAAATGGTCAGCTGATTAGTCTGTATTCCAGAACTAAATCACCTGCCTCAACCATCAGAGTCAGTGCAAAAAATATGTCCAGGCCTCCCCCTCAGATCTTAACCCCCATCACTGAACGTGAAATCCTGTGTTTCCCAAAGTGTCCATGTCACTGTCATGAGAGGATCAAGGAGAGGACCTTGTTTTCTTTCCCCACTCACACCCTACACCAGCACAGGCCCAGCGAGAGACACACACTCAGGAGCTCTCACATAATGAATGAAGAACTTGAATGAAGAAATGAATGATCCAAAACCTCTTTAGAGACTGAATTTGCATGCAGAATCCTAGGAGGTTCTAGCCACACCTGTCCCTTGTCCTTCAGAGGCTGACACCCACGTTTCATCCCCCCACTACCTCTTGCCCCTAAAGCCACCCCACCTCATGTAACTCTGAAGCTCTTTGGCCACCGGAGGGTTCTCAGGGCTCCTTGGTCCTGGACTGTGGAACTGGGGGCACCTGGGCCCTGGGGTCTCTGAAGTCAGTGTCTCCCTCACTGCTCACTGCCATGGTGTCTCTGCCTCTCTCTGCTTCTCTGTGTCCCTCATCTTCCTCCCACTTCATTCTGACTGGCAAGCCCTGTCCTGCACAGCTTCTTCCCCCACCCCTAGGCCTTCCCCAGACATTCCCTCTAACTAGGCTGGCTGTTCGGTTCCCTTCCTACTAACACTGTGGCCTGGCCCACCTCCCAGGAAATAGGAAAGGCACAGAAATCACCTGGAGTTGCCACTCCTGCCTGGCTTCATCTCCAGCCAATGTCCCCAGGTCACTAAGAGAAATATTCCACTGTATTCCCATCCATGGCTCTTTCCCTTTGTCAGTCTGACCTGTGGACAAGAACATGGGACAGGGATAGGCAGTTCCTCCATCCACTCATAATTGCCAGACAAGTTCTTCTGGCCTCCTGCACACACACACAAAAAAAATTATTGAAATGGTGGTCTGTAGTCGGAGAAAGATTTTAATGACTCCAAGTCTGCCAAACAGGAGGACGGATGTTTATTATTACTCAAATCAGCCTCCCCAGTGGATCAGGGGTTAGAGATTTTCAAGGATCGTTTCAGGGGCACAGGACTAAAAAATGAGTACTGCTGATTGTTTGGTGATGGAATCATGCGGCCGGAGGGAAATGATTTGTTTGTGCTTGAATCTGCCTCCAGGTAGGGGCCACATGACTGACTGAGCCATTAGTCATAGGTATGGATGAGGTCAGCCGGTTGCCAGAATGCAAAAGAATGAGAAACATCTCAAAAGACCAATCTCACGTTCTACAATAGTGATGTTATCTATAGGAGCAATTAGTTACAAATTTTGTAAACTCTTGCCAAATGACATCGGAGCAGTCAGGGATTATAGAAACTGTGACAACATTTTAGCAGAATTCAGTTCCCTCCTATAATCTTAATCTCATGGTCTTTCACTAGTTTGACAAAAGCAGTCCCTGGGCAAAGTAAGGGTGTTAGTTTTATGGAGGAACTATTATCATTCTTGCTTCAAAGTTAAACCATAAAATAAATTCCTCCCAAGGTTAGCCTGACCTATGTCCAGGAATGAGTGAGGACAGCCAGCCTGAGACTAGATGCCAGATGGAGTCAGCCATGCTAGTTTCCTGTCACTGTGTAATCTCTGCCCTGACTAACCAGGGTGTCAGAGGCTGGAGAGGCCTGCAGTCCCCAAAGCACATGGACTCATTTCACCCATTTCATTTGTGACTCCATCCTCAACCTGCTATGGAGCTCACATTCTCTGGTCACTTCCTAGAGACTTCTGGCTTCCTGTCAGGCATATAACAAGCTTGGAATTTGTCACTCAGTTCTAACACTAAGTAAAAAGCTGAACAATCTCAAAAGTCAACAACTCATTAAAATCCCTCAGAGATGGCTGGGCTCAGTGGCTCAAGCCTATAATCCCAGCACTTTGGGAGGCCGAGGCGGGCACAAGGTCAGGAGATGGAGACAATCCTGGCTAACAGGGTGAAACCCTGTCTCTATTAAAAATACAAAAAATTAGCCGGGCGTGGTGGTGGGCGCCTGTAGTCCCACCTACTTGGGAGGCCTAGGCAGGAGAATGGTGTGAACCCAGAAGGCGGAGCTTGCAGTGAGCTGAGATCATGCCACTGCACTCCAGTCAGGGTGACAGAGCGAGACTCTGTCTCAGAAAAAAAAAATGCTGTCAGAGAAATGAAGAATGCTTTTGATGCTTACTGGTAGACTGCACACAGCTGAGGAAAGAATCCCTAGCTTGAGGATGTGTCAATAGAAACTTCCAAAACTGAAAAAGGAAAGTTCAAAAAAAGTGGGGAAGAAAAAGTGGAACAACATATTCAACTTCATATTTAATATTTTGTTTTGACAATAGCAATTTTTAAATTTTGTAGTTGTGGGACAACTACAAAGGCTGTAACATACACATAATGGGAATACTGGTGGTTTTTGGGGACCAGTTGGAGGTGGCCAGGTGGGTGATATCTAATGGTTTTACTGCCTGTGTCTCATACAACTATTTCCTCATGATGATGCCATTTTCATAAGTTGGAGTTCTGCATGTGGGGAGACACACGAGCCATTGGCATCTCACTTAGAATCTTCCTGATTCACACAGACTTAAATTTTAGTGGTGTTTCCTGAGCTTAAGAGAAAATGAAGAAAGCATTTCACCTACCTGTTTTGCAGTCCTCCCCATTTTTCCTAATTCTGCACAGAAATTAGAAGCAGGGAGTTCTTTCTATATTTACTAACATAACACACATCACTTCTTTTAATTTGGCATCCTTCCTCCCTTTATGTAATTGATGCACTGACCAGTTCGGTCCTTTTAACGGGACTCTCTCTACTTAAGGAGCTGCTAATTTCCAATCACCTTTGGCATCTTTCTTTGAGCATAATGTGATCCTGCTGGAATTCACGGCACACCTAAACCTTATTTTGGTCTCAAGAGAAATACTACTACCAGCAATTGATCTTAGATGTTTGGACCATCAGTAAAAGTTTCCACTTATGAAAACATTTTAATGTTTCCTCCAAATTTTTTTTTTTTTTTGTTACTAGAGTCAGAACACAACATGAGGTCTAAACTCCTGACAACTTTTTATGGGAAAATTACAGTATAACAAATTGAGCATCCCAAATCCAGAAATCCACAATCTGAAATGCTCAAAAGTCAACACTTCTGACCACTGATGTGATGCTAAAAAGAAGTGCTCACTGGCGCATTGTGGATTTTAAATTTTTCAGATTTGGGATGCTAAACCAGTACATGTACTGCAAATATTCCAAAATAAAAAAAATTAGAAATCCAAAACACTTTGTTTTAAGCTTTCTGAATAAGGAGCACTTTATCTGTATGAACTATAGGCATGAAGCTGTACAGGAGATCTCTAGAACCTCCTCATCCTGCATAACTGGAACTGCACACCCACGGAACAACACCCTATTCCCCTGATCCCAGCTCCTGCAAACTACTATTCTACTTTCTGATTCACTCTGGAATCCACTGATAGGAGGTACATAGAGTAGTCAAACTCAGATCAGACAGTAGAATGTCCAATGAGAGAAAGTATCTGCAAGACTTCTTCCCAAATATTGGTCTAATATCCACCAAACGCATATGGTCCTTGAGGGCCAGACTTCCATCATCTGTTCATGTTCACCCTTTCCACCAGTCAGTTCTGCATTTGCAAACATCCACATGTATTTCTAGAAAGATCCACATGGTCCTCACCTGCCCTCTACAGGGGGAAGGGAGCATCATGGACCCAGAACAGGGAACATGGTCTTGGTCGAAAGCTATCAGCTACTGCCTGGCCCCTTCACTCTTTGTAGGTCATTCCTTGGACTCTGCTCTATCGTTAGAGGTCACTGGCTCAAGTCAGTCACTATGAGACACCTGGGAAAACTGCAAACTGCCCCACCTTGTGGCTCCACTGCCTGATGTCTTAACTGACCTCCCGGCTTGACTCTGGTCTCCCCTGTGTTATTTCTGCTGAAGTACCCAGTCCCAGACCAGGCTTTCCAATACCCAAAGGGTTTAAGGACAATGGGAAGTTCCATCACCCATCTCTAGGATGTCCTTGGCAAGGGAAGCTGCAGAGAAAACATACCTCAGGGGGCAAAGTAAGACTGAAACTAAGAGGATTCCAGCACTGCATGCTCCAAGTGAGGACCACAAGTTGGGCCAGTCAGGCAGTTGGAGACGGAGGGACTCAAAGAGGCATCAGGGGCTGTGACTGCTGGTCCTGTGTCTTTCCATGACCCAATGCTGCTGCTCAATTCACACTTAAGAAAGTCTGTGCTTCTCCCACATAAAGCAGGCAGCCTCACAATCTCTGAGCTCTCAGATTGCCATGCATCTGTCTTGTAACACACACACCTGCCATGGGCTTTTAAGGACTGGGTTGGGCTGAGAGGTGGGAAATGCCAACTCTGACTGAAAAATGCCTTTGGAGGAATCAAAGGTGCCACACAGGGCAATCTTCTCTCTGTTTTCTGCACAGTGGAGACTCCCAAGCCCTACATCTCCAGCAGCAACTTAAACCCCAGGGAGGCCATGGAGGCTGTGCGCTTAATCTGTGATCCTGAGACTCTGGACGCAAGCTACCTATGGTGGATGAATGGTCAGAGCCTCCCTGTGACTCACAGGTTGCAGCTGTCCAAAACCAACAGGACCCTCTATCTATTTGGTGTCACAAAGTATATTGCAGGACCCTATGAATGTGAAATACGGAACCCAGTGAGTGCCAGTCGCAGTGACCCAGTCACCCTGAATCTCCTCCGTGAGTATCTTCTGTTCCTCTGTGAGCCAGGCTGCCATCCCAAATACACATGGCCAGAGGCCAGGCCTCTCAGTCCCTCTCAGGTCCAAGTACAGAGACCTTTACCCCTAGACATCAAAGCTGGCCATGACTTTCTGCCCCAAGCAAACCAGAGTAGGCCTAGGCTTGATCAACAATGGGAGAAAAGAGGCTGCTGTGTCATGGGAGACTCTGGGTCCACAGCTTGTGATGGGAGAAACAGGTGAATGTCTCAGGCTCCAGATCAGTGAACACAGCAGGGATTTGGCTGGGACTTCAGTGTTGCGACTTGGCTCACAGGGTCACTGTGGCCCTTCCACAGACCAGGATTTTCCCTTCCCTCTGACAATATCGCTTGTGACATTATTCTCTTTGCTCCACATGGCCTGGATGCACCCACCATTTCTTCCTCATACATCTATTACCATACAGGGGAATTCCCCAATCTCTCCTGCCTCACAGACTCTCACCCACTGGCAGAGCATTCTTGGCTGATTGATGGGAAGTTCCAGCACTCAGCACAAGTGTTCTTTATCCCCCAAATCACTAAAACATATAGAGGGTCTATGTCTGTTTCATCCATAACTCAGCCACTGGTGGAACAAATCTCATAATCAAGAGGATCATAGTCCCTGGTAAGTGGGTCCCTGGAGCACTGGCACTATGTTTTCCAGTGAAGTCTATCTAGCTGTCAGGGAACAGCCACCTGCCCTCTGCAAAGGGAGAGGGAAAATAAAAAACCCTGGATAGGGAATATGTTTCTGCTCCAAAACCACCAGCTTTTGCCTGTCCCTTCACTCTTTCTAGATCATTCTTTAGACTATACACTAACAATGAACAATCTGAAAGGAAGTTAAGGAAAGGATTTCAATTCACATTAACATCAAAAGGAATAAAATATTTTGGAATAAGTTTAACCAAAAAGGTCAAATGATTATACCCTGAAAACTACAAAACATTGCTGAAAGAAATTAAAGATGATATCAATATATGGAAAGACATTTCATTTTCATGGATTGGAAGAATCAATATTGTTAGAAAGACAATACTACCCAATTGAGTTGCAGATTCAATGCAACCCCTACCAGAATCCCAGTAACATTTTTTGCAGAATTAGAAAACTCTGTCCTAAATCTGACCTGACAGGATCTTATTAATGACTGCCACAACACAAACACTGAGAAAAAGATGCAACCAGAAAAGGTGGAAAGTTCTGATGACAAAGAAAATAGCAATCAGCCTTTCTCACATCCCAAAGCTTTAAAAAATATATGAGTGCAGCATGGCCAGTATGGAATTGACCAAAAACTAATCATCAAGCTAGAAAAGTGGTGAGAGAAAAAAAAAGGGCAAGAATATCTTTGGCTTATCACCTCCCACTTTTGCCTACTAATCTGATGCTGAAAAGAAATGCTCACTGAAGCATTTTAGATTTTGAATCTTTCAGATTTGGGATGCTAAACCAGTAAGTATATGACAAATATTTCAGAATAAAAAAATGTCAGAAATCCAAAACACTTTTTGTCCTAAGACTTATGCATAAGAAATACTCAATCTGTGTGAACTATAGGCATCAAGCTCTACAGCAGATCTCTAGAACCTCCCCACCTTGCATAACTGAAACTGCACACCCATGAACAATTTCTGATTCTCCCCACTCCCAGCTCCTGGCAACCAGCAGTCTCTTCTCATATTCACTCTGGAATCCACTTACATGAGGTCCCTAGAGTAGTCGAACCCAGGGGATCAGAGAGTAGAATGTCCAATGAAAGAAAATATTTGCAAAACTTCTCTCCAAGTTTGTCTCATATCCATCAAACACACATGGTCCATGAGGACCAGATTTCCAGCAGTTCATTCCCACACTTTCCACCAGTCAGTTCTGCATTTGCAAATGTCCACATGTATTTCTGGAAAGATCCACATGGTCCTCCTCTGCCCTCTGCAGAAGGAGAGGAAACTTAAAGAACCCAGGACAGAGAACATGGTTCTGCTCCAAAGCCACCAGCTCTTGCCTGTCGCCTTCACTCTTTCTAGATCATTCCTTGCACTCTGCTCTATGTTTAGAGGTCACTGGTTCAAGTAAGTCATCATGAAACACCTGCAAAAAACTGCCCCACCTTGAGCCTCCACTGCCTGATGACTGAACTGACCTCCAGGCTTGACTCTGGTCTCCTCTGTGTTATTTCTGCTGAAACATCCAGTCCCAGGCCAGGCTGCTAAGTATCTTCAGGGTCTCAGGACAATGGGAAGTCCCATTATTACTCATCTCTAGAACATCCTTAGAAATGGAAGCTGCAGAGAAATCACATATAGGGGGGCAAAGTAGGATGGAATTTGGAAGGGGCCCAGCAGTTGCACATTCCAGGTAAGGAACCCAAGGTGAGCCAGCCAGTCAACTGATTAGGGAGGGACTGGGAGGGGTACCAGGGGCTGTGACTCCCACTGATGTGTCTGTCCATGACCCAACACTGCTGCTCAATTGACACTTGAGAAAGTCTGTGCTTCCCTAAGACAGAGCAGGCGGCCTCACAGTCTTTGAGCCCTTAGATCATCATGCATCTGTCTTGTGACACACGCACCAGCTATTGGCTTTCAAGGACTCGGGTGGGCTGAGAGGTGGGAGATGCCAACTCTGATTGAAGTATGCCTGTGGAGGAATCAAAGGTGCCACACAGGACAATCTTCTCTCTGTTATCCACACAGCGAAGCTGCCCATCCCCTACATCACCATCAACAACTTAAACCCCAGGGAGAATAAGGATGTCTTAGCCTTCACCTGTGAACCTAAGAGTGAGAACTACACCTACATTTGGTGGCTAAACGGTCAGAGCCTCCCCGTCAGTCCCGGGGTAAAGCGACCCATTGAAAACAGGATACTCATTCTACCCAGTGTCACGAGAAATGAAACAGGACCCTATCAATGTGAAATACGGGACCGATATGGTGGCCTCCGCAGTAACCCAGTCATCCTAAATGTCCTCTGTGAGTATCTTTTGTTCCTCTGTGGGCCAGGACACCAGCTTAAGTCCAAACGACCAGATGCCAGGCCTCTCAGTCTCTCTCCGGTCCAAGTATAGACACCTTTACTTCTAGACATCCGAGGTGGCCATGACTCCCTGCCCTGGGAAAACCTGGGTAGGCACAGCCTTAACCAAGAATATAAGGGGAGTGGATGCTCTTGTCATGGGAGACTTGGGGCCCACAGCTTGTGATGGGAGAAACAGGTGAATACCTCAGGCTTCAGCTCAGTGAACATAGAGGGACTTTGGCTGGGACTTGAGGGTGTGTCTTGGCTCAGAGGGTCACTGTGTCCCTTTAAGAGACCAGGAACATCCCCTTCCCTCGAATGACATCACGTGTGGCTTTATTCTCTTTCCTCCAGATGGTCCAGACCTCCCCAGAATTTACCCTTCATTCACCTATTACCGTTCAGGAGAAAACCTCGACTTGTCCTGCTTCACGGAATCTAACCCACCGGCAGAGTATTTTTGGACAATTAATGGGAAGTTTCAGCAATCAGGACAAAAGCTCTTTATCCCCCAAATTACTAGAAATCATAGCGGGCTCTATGCTTGCTCTGTTCATAACTCAGCCACTGGCAAGGAAATCTCCAAATCCATGACAGTCAAAGTCTCTGGTAAGTGGATCCCAGCATCCTTGGCAGTAGGGTTTTATGTGGAGTCTATCTGGCTTTCAGAGAAGAGTCAGGAAAACATTTTTATTCCCAGCCTGTGTCCCATGGGCACAAGCAAATCCCAAATTCTCCTCCTGAACCCTCCCAATTTGTCTCTACAGACTCTCTTCTCCTTGTTTTTCTGTTTTCTTATGGCTGACCTTGTGTCTGGCCTGAAAAAGGTAGGGAGGGGGCTTTATCAGCCCTGAGCCCTATGTGGTAGAAGAGGCTTCAGAGAGGGACAAGAAGGAGAGTCCTCAAGATCAAGTTGCTTCTCGCTGTCACCGACACATCCCCTTCTGCCACGTCTTTTTTTTCTTGTACCTATTCCATGAGCTACAAGGGACAGCTGAGGCTTTGAAACAAGCTCACACTTTTCCCCCAGATGAGAGGAGGAAGCCCCTTGGGTGAGGGAGGAGCAGCTCAGACTCTGCTTCCTGCTCTGCTCCGGGCTCCTCTGGTGACTGGCCCTGCCTCACTCAACCTGGGGTGGGACTAGCGTGTGTGTAGAAAGGGCCCTGGTGGCCTGTCCTGAATTTGGCTAAATTGAGCTGCCAGTTGAAGCCAAGCCTCCCCCGGGCCAGGCTGCAGGGAAATAAGAAGAGAGGGAGCCTCAGGGCAGACTCCTGAGCTGCGTCCTGGCTCTGAAGTCACCAGCTGTATGAGGCTTTGGGCACAGCACGTGGGACACAGCACGGAGGACAGTGACTGATGCAGAGCTGGAGGAATAGGGAGATTCACCGTTGGGGTTATTCATGGCAGGAAAGGGGCAGTGCCAAAAAGTGTGTAATTATAGAGAGGGTAAGACTACCAGACACTTTATATATATCTAATATAAGACTTACCATTAACTATTTCTATGTGTGCAATTTAGTGTTGTGTAACCATCACACTATCCATTTCCAGAACTTTTTCCTCTTACCATATTAAACCTCTGTACCCAATAAACAGTAACTCTCACTCCTTCTTCCCCTAACCCTTAGCACCCATCATTCTACTTTGTCTCTATGTAACTGGCTATTCTAACTATCTTTTATAAATGGAATTACATAATAATTATCCTTTTGTGTCTGGTTTATTTCAGTTAGCATAATATCTTCAAGGTTCATCCATTTTGCATGATGTATTGGAATTTTATTCCTTGTTAAGGTTGAATAACATTTCAATGTATAGATACACCTCATTTGCCTACCCACTTATCTTTCAATGGACTTTTCAGTTGTTTCCATTTTTTCGCTAGTGTGAGTAATGCTTCTCTGAACATCAGTGTACAAATATTTGTTCAAATTTCTTTCAATTCTATGGGGAGTATGTCCAGAAGTGGAATTGCTGGATCAAATGGTAATTTATTGTTTAATTTTTTGAGAAACAGCCACACCACTTTTTACAGTGGCTATAACATTTCCCATTCCCATCAGCAATGCACTAGAGCTCCAATTTTTCCATCTACTTGCAAACACCTGTTGTTTTGTGTTGTTGTCATTGTTGTTGTTTATCAAAGCCATCCTAAATTGTGTGAGGTGGTGTAGCATTGTGGGTTTGATTTGCATATCTCCAGGTATTCGTGATGCTGAGGAACTTTGCATGGGCTTATTGGATATTTGTATATCTCCCTTGGATAAAACTCTATTTTAATCCTTTGTTCATTTTTTAATTGGGTTTTTGGATGTTTGTTGTTGTTGACTTGTAGCTTTTCATGTATTCTGGAAATGAATTTCTTATCACACATATAATTTGCAAATATTTTTATCATTTCGTGGGTTGCCTTTTTACTTTCTTGATAATGTTCTTCGACATATAAAAGCTTTGATTTTTGTGAAGTCCGATTTATCCATTTTATTTGTTGCCTATGCTTTTGTTGTTACAACCAAGAAATCATTGGGAAATCCAGTATCATGAAGCTTTTCTTCTAAGAGTTGTGTAGTTTTTCTCTTACATTTAGATCTTTGATCTATTGTGGGTTAATTTTTGTACATGGTGTTAGGTAAAGGTTCCAATCTTCTTGCCCTTGGATATCCAGCTTTCCCAATATCCTTTGGTGAGAACACTGTCCCTTCCCCATTGTAAATGCTGAAATCAGGAAGTGTGAGTCCTCCAGCTTCATTCTTCCTCTTCAAAGCTGTGTGTCTATTTAGAGTCATGAGATACAATATAAATTTTAGGACAGATTTTTCTTTTTCTGCAAAAATGCCACTGAGAATCTGATAGGAATTGTATTGAATCTGCAGTCACTTTGGGTAGCACTGTTCTCCTAACAATATTGAGTCTTCCAATTCATGAAAACAAAATGTCTTTCAATTTATTGATGTCATCTTTCATTTCTTTCAGCAATATTTTGTAGATTTCAGGTATAATCATTTCACCTCTTTGATTAAACTTATTCCTAAATATTTTATTCTTTTTGATGTTAATATAAATTGAAATTTTTTTCTTAATTTCCCTTCAGATTGTTCATGGTTAGTGTATTGAAATACAACAGATGTTTGAATGTTGATTTTGTATTGTGCAACATTACTGAATTTATTTATTAATTCTAATTAGGTTTGTTCAATCTTTAGGATTTTCTACATATAAGTTCAAGTTATCTATAAACAGAAATAATTTTACTCCTTCCTTCCAATTTGAATGTCTTTTTTTCAATTCTTGCCTAATTTTTCTGACTAGACCTTTCAATACTACGTTGAATAAAAGTGTCAAAAGCAGGCATCCTTGTCTTGTTACTGCTCATACAGGGAAAGCTTTCAGTCTTTCTCCATTGAGTATGATGCTAGCATTGGGTTTTTCACATATTGCCTTTATGTTGAGGTGGTTTCCTTCCATTCTTAGGATGTTTTCATTATGAAAAAATATTGAATTCATCAAATGCTTTTATTGATTCAATCTTATTACTGATTATAGTTATACTCATATTTTTGTGTGGTTCTAGGAGTTGGTCCATTTCATCTAGGTTATCCAATTTATTGGCATACAATTATTTATAGTACTTTCATCATCATTATTTTATTAGAATTGGTAGTAATCGCTTCATTTTTCTTTCTTTCTTTCTTTTTTTTTTTTTTTGGAAGAGAGAGAGACAGGCTCTCACTCTGTAGGCCAGCCCAGGATGGAATACAGTGGTGTGATTACGGCTCACTGCAGCCTTAACCTCCTGGGCTCAAGCAATTCTCCTTCTTCAGCCTCCCAAGATGCTAGGACTACAGGTGCATGTCACCATGCCCAGCTAATTTTTTTTTATTTTTTTGTAGAGACAGCATCTCCCCAGGTTACCTATGCTGGTCCAAACACCTGGTCTCAAGAAATCCTTCTGCTGTGACCTCCCAAAGTGCTAGGATTAAAACATGACCCACCATGCTCAGAGTCCATTTTCATTTCTGATTTGAGTAATTTTAAACTTTTCTCTTTTTTTCTTAGTCAATCTAGTTAATGGTTGTCAATTTTGTTGATTTTATTTTGAAGAATCAACTTTTGGTTTCATTAATTTCCTCTATTCTGTTTCCATTCTCCATTTTATGTATATCCACTCTAATCTTTATTATTTCCCTCATTCACTGTGCTTGGGTTTAGTTTGTTCTTCTTTCATATCCTGAAGTATTAAAGTAGGTTGTTGACCTGAGATCTTTCTTCTTTTTTAATGTAAGAGTTTACAGTTATAAATTTCTTGCACAAGACTCAACTTCTCTGAACCTCTGATTCCTTACCTGAAAATTGCAATGAGAGTACTTTCTTCTTACCATTGTTTTAAAGGTTTAATGCAGTCAATGAAACAATATGCCACACACAGCGGAACCAATGTCAGCTGCTATATTACTACCATCATCATTAGCCTTGAGGTCAAATAGTCCTAGAATCAAATCTCAGATCCACCTGTCACTAGCCATATGACACCAGGAAAGTTTTTACACCATGCTAAGCTTCTGTCTTTTCATCGGCAAAATGGAAATAATGTCTATGTGACAGGGTTATTGTGTGGCTTAAATGAGATACAGGTAAAGTATTGAGCACAGGGCCTGGCACATAGGAAGTGCACCTCAACAGTACCTACCTTTTTCCATATATATGGAAAAAGAGGTAACACATAAAACACTAGGACATGGTTACTGACTACTTGTGGGAGAGAAAAAAAAAGCTAAGGGCAAAGAATCAAGTCTGGTATGTTAGTTTTTACCAACTGAGATGCATCCAAGATGGGATTAGACATACAAGGTAATTTATCAGGGAAGACACCTGTGAGGGAATGTGGAGCAGGCATGAAGGTAGTATGGGAGAACCCACAGAACACTATGCAGAGCTGATTCCTGTGAAAAAGAAAGAGAAAGAAGTTTTAGGTACCAATGCAGTTCTAAGAGTATTTGCAAGGCTGATGGGGAATCCTCCAACCAGCCACCCATTAGAGTTAAATAGAGCCTCAGAGAACTAGGCTTGCTTTCACACCCTTCCTGGGAGCCTGTAGGAAAGAAGCTTTCTGTGTAAAGGAGGTAGTGAATTTGAAATGCACTGACCTGGGCCTTCTGTCAATCAGGTCCCTGCCATGGAGACCTGACAGAGTCTCAGTCATGACTGCAACAACTGAGACACTGAGAAAAAGAACAGGCTGATACCTTCATGAAATTCAAGACAAAGAAGAAAAAAACTCAATGTTATTGGACTAAATAATCAAAAGGATAATGTTTTCATAATTTTTTATTGGAAAATGTGCTGATTCTTTGAATGTTTTATTCTCCAGATTTATGAACTTTTTTTCTTCAGCAATTGGTAAAGTATACTTTTGTAAACAAAAATTGAAATATTTGCTTTTGCTGTCTATCTGAATGCCCCAGAATTGTGAAACTATTCATGAGTATTCATAGGTTTATGGTAATAAAGTTATTTGCACATGTTCCGTAAGAATCTGCTCTCTTTATAACAGGACACATTTGAAAACATTGGTTATATTACCAAGGCTTTGACTGGGATGTTATATTTGAGAATATACATAGAATAAACCCATAGGGAATGCAGGCAAAGTCTGAAGTGGGCCTTGGTTTGGCTTCCTAGTCTCAAGAGGTTTTTGGAAGTTTCATCTGAGATTCTTATTAAAAACTTCTAGCAAAGAGAAGTTTAAAAAGAGCCTCTATGGTCCATTGCTACTCTTGCCGCACTTAGGTAAAAAATCTGGGCAAGTTCGGTGAGACTCAACCTATTTTGCAAGCAAATTCATCTTATTGGAATTATCTTTGGTAAAAATAGAGACTCCGATAGAGAGAAAAACTAGCTGAAAAGAAAAACTGTAGTACACCTGTTACCAGATTGAACCACTGTTCATTATCTTTGAGTATTTATAATCCACTGGTAGACTGGACTGGACCCTGAATTCTTTTAGTTCTTCCAATTCAGTTTTCTCCAATGAAATCATTAAGAACAAGAGCGGCTCTGTTCCTGAAGCCATATAAGGTGGAGGTGGACAACTCAATGTAAATTTCATGGGAAAACCCTCGTGTTTGAGGTGGGGGCCACTAAGAGCTCACCAAATGTTCAACACCATAACTTAGAGACACTCAAACTGCAAACCACGACAAGCTGATGACTTTACACTGTGGACAGCTTTTCTCAAGATGTCAGAACAAGACTATCAGTCATGATGAGACTCTTACCTCTCTTAATTTGTCTTTGCTTTTGCCTGTCTCCTTTGCTTCCCAGAATAATGCTGTACTTAGGATTTCACCAGAAATAGCCTCTGAGAGTAAGTTAACAGTGTCAGATATATCATGTCAACCACACTTCGTTTTTTTTTTTTTAAGATGGAGTTTCGCTCTTGTTGCCCATGCTGGAGTGCAATGGCACAATCTTGGCTCACAGCAACCTCCACCTCCTGGGTTCAAGTGATTCTCCTGCTTCAGCCTCCCCAGTAGCTGGGATTACAGGCATGCACCACCATGCCCAGCTAATTTTGTATTTTCAGTAGAGACAGGATTTCTCCATGTTGGTCAGGCTGTTCTCGAACTCCTGACCTCAGATGATCTGCATGCCTCAGCCTCCCAAAGTGCTGGGATTACAGGCATGAGCCACCGCACCCAGCCCACACATTTTTACATAACAAGACATCCTTTAGTCCACACAAAGGCTGACGTTAGCTGCATCTGTAACACAACTTTTTCCTCAAATGTATGGAGTTTTTTTTAGGCTTCCACTTCTATACTTGCCTATTCTCACTCCCTGTTTTAATTTAACATAGACATGCAATGCTAGATAATAGAATTGTTCTCTACCAGCTGGACAGCGGGGAGTCTGTGCAGTTTCTGACACTTCTTGTTGCACATGGATAAATACATCGGGTATTATAGAGACTCAGTTGTAAAAATCAATAAATGTGCTGCCTGGTTAAAATGACTAGACTCTTCTGGCTTCTTCTTTGATCTATCCTATTGTAGTTGGTTTGCATCTTGCCTAAGGTGCATATTCCAAACTCTTGATATTTTCCTCCTGATAGTCATACTGGTATTCTCCCTCATGTGGTGGAATCTACAGATGTTTTTATTTCTGTGCAAATATTTGTGTGCAGCCATTCTTCAAATATCAAACGGTTTCTCTTGTGCTGGAATTACAAAAACTCAAAGAAATGTGTGATTTATGGGCTGGGTGCAGTGGCTCACATCTGTAATCCCAGCACTTTGGGAGGCCAAGGCAGGCAGATCACAAGGTCAGGAGTTCAAGATCAGCCTGATCAATATGGTGAAACCCTGTCTCTACTAAAAATACAAAAATTAGCCAGGCATGGTGGCGTGCACCTGCAGTCCTGTAGGGAGACCCCCAGAAACTACTGCTACAGAATAAAAGATGAAATGCTCTTGATTATTGTAAATACAAAATTGCACGCAGGATTGTGTAAACACAATGACAGGTTGGG
The DNA here is from genome assembly GCF_000001405.40 of Homo sapiens. Classification (NCBI taxonomy): domain Eukaryota; kingdom Metazoa; phylum Chordata; class Mammalia; order Primates; family Hominidae; genus Homo; species Homo sapiens. The sequence goes on along the minus strand of NC_000019.10, from coordinate 43,251,282 downwards.
CTGCGAGAATGAGCCTACAGCACGGGATGTGCTTCTGTTACATGGATGGGAGATAGAATTATGAGTTTAGAACATAGATTACAAATGCAACCTGATTGGAACACTTCTGATTTTTGTAAAACTCTGTTCCAATATAAAGAGTCTGGTCACAATCGGGAATCAGTAATATGCCATTTACAAGGAAGTGAAGATAATTTAAGTTTAGACATAAGCAAGCTGAAAGAACAGATTTTTGAAGCTTCTCAAGCACACTTAACTGCTTTACCCAGTGCTGAAGTTTTAGACAGTATCTCTGAGGGGTTATCTAATCTCAACCCCATTCAATAGGTAAAATCTTTGGGAGGATCCACTATCGTTAATTTTGTTCTGTGTATAATTTGTGCTGTTGGTTTATTGTTCATGTGTAAAATTGGAAAAAATGTTCTTCAATCCAATTGTGATCAGTGCCAAGCTATGATTGCTATGGTTCATTTAAATCAGAGAAAAGCAGAGATGTAGGGAGAACCCCTGAACTATTGCTACGGAATGAAAGATGAAATGCTCCTGATTATTGTAAATACAAAGTTGCATGCAGGATTGTGTAAAGACAAATGCCAGGTTGGACTGCCAGAATGAGCCAACAGCACGTGATGTGCTTCCCCCTGCAGAGAGCCTATGAACGGACATGCAGTCAGGGAGGTTTCACATTACCAAGATTCCTATCCCAGAAAAGCAGATGTCCATAGCTCTGGGAATGGAATGTGACCCTTACGGAGAGCCTATAAATGACCCTAAATCCCTCACTAACCTACCCCCACTCTCACTAAACTTAATAATAAATGCTGGTATATCCAGTGCATTGGCAGCATCGCAGGACCAGAAGGCAGTGACCCCTCTGGACCCAGCTTTCACTATCTTGTGTGTGTCTTTTATTTCTCAACCTGCCAATCTGCCTGGGAACAAAGAAAGAGCCCCGTTGCATTGCAGGCTGCTGGCCAGATCCTGCAATATAGTCCCAGCTACTTGGGATGCTGAAGCATCTGTAGAGGGAGAGCTGCCCCAAATCATAAATCACAAATAAAAGCCAATTACATCTATAACTAAATTAGTTGTAATTTTGTCTTATCACACATGTTCACAGGAAGCAATGGCCAGTGGAGTCTCTCAGACTGCATCATTCTCACCCTGACCCTCCTGCCTTCCTCTTTCACTCACAAGGACCCTTATGATGATACAGGGAGCCACCCAGATAAGCCAGAATAAGCTTTCCATCTCAAAATACTCAACTTCATCAACTTTGAACAGTGTTTTTGCCAAGAAAAGTAAATGCATTCCAAGTAAATGTGTTCCAAGAGTTAGGATGTGGATTTTTTTTTTTTTTTTGAGACAGAGTTTCACTCATGTTGCCCCGGCTGGAGTACAGTGGGACAATCTGGGCTCACTGCAATCTCCGCCTCGCAGGTTCAAATGACTTTCCTGCCTCAGCCTCCCAAGTAGCTGGCATTACAGGCGCCCGCCACCACACCCAGCTAATTTTTGCATTTTTAGTAGAAACGGGGTTTCACCATGTTGGCCAGGCTGGTCTCGAACTCCTGACCTCGTGGTCTGCCCATCTCAGCCTCCCAAAGTGCTGGGATTACAGGCGTGAGCCACCGCACCCGACCTGGATGTGGACATTTTTAAGAGGCCATTATTCTGCCTCATACAGGTCACTTTCATAAACATCACCGACAAGAAAAATGTTTTGCCTTCCTTCCATGTCTCACTTTTCTGTCTGCGCAAACCACAGTGAAACACACTAGCTCTGCTATGAAGTGGCTGGATGACCCTGGGCCACTCGTTTGACCTCCTTCAGCCTCTTTCCTCATCTGCAGTGTAAGACTGACTCTTACTGCATCAGAAAATGACAGTGGAAGAGTAAATTAACATGTGTGAGACATTAATCACAGAGCCTGGTACCTGATGAGCCCTTGGTAAACATTCCTTTCAGTTCTTTCCTTTCACCTTCCCATTTTTCTTGCCCTCACCCATCTTCTCCTTCAACTCCTTTCTCTTCAGTAACTTACTCTGTCTAACCTGCCAATTACAGAAGCCACACTACCCATTCTCTCGTGACTCTGCTGGAATGTTCTTGTGATGCAGTCTGCTATCCACTGAAGGCAATGGGTATTATTTATATAGAGAGGTCTGTTTGCAACAAGAAATCCTTTTTCTATTCACACAAAATTTATACACAATTTCTCTTAACTTACACGTACCAGTCTCAATTCTACCCTGTTATTTCATACATGTACTTCATTATTTTATTCTTTGGTCTTTCTCCTTACACCTTAAAAATTAGGACAGTACAAAAACAAAAATAATGACCTGGGCCAGAAGAGGGGATTCCTTTAGCAAGATGAATGCTTTCCTTTTTCAAGATGAATGAATGCTATGTGTAAGGCAGACCTGAAGCCCATTTCTGGGTTTGGCTTACATCAAAGCCATTTGACTCTAGGACACATTCTTAAATTCCCAAGAGATAATGATTGTCACGGAAGCCACACCCACTATGAGCATTCCTACTGTTGGGTAAAGGAATGTTTACAGAATGTTGTGCATTCTGTTTACTCCTCCTAAATTCTTCCACTCCTGGAAGTTAAGCTTCCCCACTAATCAGCTTCATCTCCAGCTGGCCTGCCTGGACCCTGACTGGAAAATACCTCCCCACTCTGGATGGCCAGGGTGGCACCTTTGTCTATTCCCATAATTATAATAGCTCACACTGATGCAGCACTCACTATGTACCAGGCACTATCCTAAGGCCTTTCCAGGTAACTACAGTCCTCACCAAAAAATCCCAAGTGCGGGCCGGGCGCGGTGGCTCATGCCTGTAATCCTAGCACTTTGGGAGGCCGAGACGGGCGGATCACTAGGTCAGGAGATCGAGACCATCTTGGCTAACACGGTGAAACCCCGTTTCTACTAAAAATACAAAAAATTAGCCGGGCGTGTTGGCGGGCGCCTGTAGTCCCAGCTACTTGGGAGGCTGAGGCAGGAGAATGGCATGAACCTGGGAGGCGGAGCTTGCAGTGAGCCGAGATCGCGCCACTGCACTCCAACCTGGGAGACACAGCGAGACTCCGTCTCAAAAAAAAAAAAAAAAAAAAATCCCAAGTGCCACCATCCCCGTTTTTACAGATTAAAAAAAAAACAACTGGGGAAGGAGCCAAGATGGCCGAATAGGAACAGCTCTGGTCTACAGTTCCCAGCGTGAGTGACACAGAAGATGGGTGATGTCTGCATTTCCATCTGAGGTACCGGGTTCATCTCACTAGGGAGTGCAAGACAGTGGGCGCAGGACAGTGGGTGCATGCACCGTGCACGAGCCGAATCAGGGTGAGGCATTGCCTCACTCAGGAAGCACAAGGGGTCAGGGAGTTCCCTTTCCTAGTCAAAGAAAGGGGTGACAGATGGCACCTGGAAAATCGGGTCACTCCTACCCGAATACTGGGCTTTTCCGACGGGCTTAAAAAAGGGCGCACCACGAGATTATATCCCACACCTGGTTCGGAGGGTCCTATGCCCACAGAGTCTCGCTGATTGCTAGCACAGCAGTCTGAGATCAAACTGCAAGGCGGCAGCGAGGCTGGGGGAGGGGCGCCCTCCATTGCCCAGGCTTGCTTAGGTAAACAAAGCAGCCTGGAAGAGGGAACTGGGTGGAGCCCACCATAGCTCAAGGAGGCCTGCCTGCCTCTGTAGGCTCCACCTCTGGGGGCAGGGCACAGACAAACAAAAAGACAGCAGTAACCTCTGCAGACTTAAATGTCCCTGTCTGACAGCTTTGAAGAGAGCAGTGGTTCTTCCAGTACGCAGCTGGAGATCTGAGAATGGGCAGACTGCCTCCTCAAGTGGGTCCCTGACCCCTGACCCCCAAGCAGCCTAACTGGGAGGCACCCCCCAGCAGGGGCACACTGACACCTCACGTGGCAGGGTACTCCAACAGACCTGCAGCTGAGGGTCCTGTCTGTTAGAAGGAAAACTAACTAACAGAAAGGACATCCACACCAAAAACCCAACTGTACATCACCATCATCAAAGACCAAAAATAGATAAAACCACAAAGATGGGGAAAAAACAGAACAGAAAAACTGGAAACTCTAAAAAGCAGAGCGCCTCTCCTCCTCCAAAGGAACGTAGTTCCTCACCAGCAACGGAACAAAGCTGGACAGAGAACGACTTTGACGAGCTGAGAGAAGAAGACTTCAGACGATCAAATTACTCTGAGCTACGGGAGGACATTCAAAGAAGTTGAAAACTTTGAAAAAAGTTTCAACAGGCAAAGAAGTTGAAAACTTTGAAAAAAATTTAGAAGAATGTATAACTAGAATAACCAATACAGAGAAGTGCTTAAAGGAGCTGATGGAGCTGAAAACCAAGGCTTGAGAACTACGTGAAGAATGCAGAAGCCTCAGGAGCCAATGCGATCAACTGGAAGAAAGGGTATCAGCAATGGAAGATGAAATGAATGAAATGAAGCGAGAAGGGAAGTTTAGAGAAAAAAGAATAAAAAGAAATGAACAAAGCCTCCAAGAAATATGGGACTATGTGAAAAGTCCAAATCTACGTCTGATTGGTGTACCTGAAAGTGATGGGGAGAATGGAACCAAGTTGGAAAACACTCTGCAGGATATTATCCAGGAGAAATTCCCCAATCTAGCAAGGCAGGCCAACGTTCAGATTCAGGAAATACAGAGAACGCCACAAAGATACTCCTCGAGAAGAGCAACTCCAAGACACATAATTGTCAGATTCACCAAAGTTCAAAAGAAGGAAAAAATGTTAAGGGCAGCCAGAGAGAAAGGTTGGGTTACCCTCAAAGGGAAGCCCATCAGACTAACAGCAGATCTCTCAGCAGAAACCCTACAAGCCAGAAGAGAGTGGGGGCCAATATGCAACATTCTTAAAGAAAAGAATTTTCAACCCAGAATTTCATATCCAGCCAAACTAAGCTTCATAAGTGAAGGAGAAATAAAATACTTTACAGACAAGCAAATGCTGAGAGATTTTGTCACCACCAGACCTGCCCTAAAAGAGCTCCTGAAGGAAGTGCTAAACATGGAAAGGAACAACCAGTACCAGCCGCTGCAAAATCATGCCAAAATGTAAAGACCATCGAGACTAGGAAGAAACTGCATCAACTAATGAGAAAAATAACCAGCTAACATCATCATGACAGGATCAAGTTCACACATAACAATATTAACTTTAAATGTAAATGGACTAAATTCTCCAATTAAAAGACACAGACTGGTAAATTGGATAAAGAGTCAAGACCCATCAGTGTGCTGTATTCAGGAAACCCATCTCACGTGCAGAGACACACATAGGCTCAAAATAAAAGGATGGAGGAAGATCTACCAAGCAAATGGAAAACAAAAAAAGGCAGGGGTTGCAGTCCTAGTCTCTTATAAAACAGACTTTAAACCAACAAAGATCAAAAGAGACAAAGAAGGCCATTACATAATGGTAAAGGGATCAATTCAACAAGAACAGCTAACTATCCTAAATATATATGCACCCAATACAGGAGCATCCAGATTCATAAAGCAAGTCCTGAGTGACCTACAAAGAGACTTAGACTACCACACATTAATAATGGGAGACTTTACACCCCACTGTCAACATTAGACAGATCAATGAGACAGAAAGTTAAGGATACCCAGGAATTGAACTCAGCTCTGCACCAAGTGGACCTAATAGACATCTACAGAACTCTCCACCCCAAATCAACAGAATATACATTTTTTTCAGCACCACACCACACCTATTCCAAAATTGACAACATACTTGGAAGTAAAGCTCTCCTCAGCAAATGTAAAAGAACAGAAATTATAACAAACTATCTCTCAGACCACAGTGCAATCAAACTAGAACTCAGGATTAAGAATCTCACTCAAAACCGCTCAACTACATGGAAACTGAACAACCTGCTCCTGAATGACTACTGGGTACATAACAAAATGAAGGCAGAAATAAAGATGTTCTTTGAAACCAACGAGAACAAAGACACAACATACCAGAATCTCTGGGATGCATTCAAAGCAGTGTGTAGAGGGAAATTTATAGCACTAAATGCCCACAGGAGAAAGCAGGAAAGATCCAAAATTGACACCCTAACATCACAATTAAAAGAACTAGAAAAGCAAGAGCAAACACATTCAAAAGCTAGCAGGAGGCAAGAAATAACTAAAATCAGAGCAGAACTGAAGGAAATAGAGACACAAAAAACCCTTCAAAAAATTAATGAATCCAGGAGCTGGTTTTTTGAAAGGATCAACAAAATAGATAGACCGCTAGCAAGACTAATAAAGAAAAAAAGAGAGAAGAATCAAATAGACACAATAAAAAATGATAAAGGGGATATCACCACCGATCCCACAGAAATACAAACTACCATCAGAGAATACTACAAACACCTCTATGCAAATAAACTAGAAAATCTAGAAGAAATGGATAAATTCCTCGACACATACTCTATTCCAAGACTAAACCAGGAAGAAGTTGAATCTCTATATAGACCAATAACAGGAGCTGAAATTGTGGCAATAATCAATAGCTTACCAACCAAAAAGGGTCCAGGACCAGATGAATTCACAGCCGAATTCTACCAGAGGTACAAGGAGGAAGTGGTACCATTCCTTCTGAAATTATTCAACCAATAGAAAAAGAGGGAATCCTCCCTAACTCATTTTATGAGGCCAGCATCATTCTGATACCAAAGCCTGGCAGAGGCACAACAAAAAAAGAGAATTTTAGACCAATATCCTTGATGAACATTGATGCAAAAATCCTCAATAAAATACTGGCAAAAAGAATCCAGCAGCACATCAAAAAGCTTATCCACCATGATCAAGTGGGCTTCATCCCTGGGATGCAAGGCTGGTTCAATATACACAAATCAATAGATGTAATCCAGCATATAGACAGAGCCAAAGACAAAAACCACATGATTATCTCAATAGATGCAGAAAAGGCCTTTGACAAAATTCAACAACGCTTCATGCTAAAAACTCTCAATAAATTAGGTATTGATGGGATGTATTTCAAAATAATAAGAGCTATCTATGACAAACCCACAGCCAATATCATACTGAATGGGCAAAAACTGGAAGCATTCCCTTTGAAAACTGGCACAAGACAGGGATGCACTCTCTCACCACTACTATTCAACATAGTGTTGGAAGTTCTGGCCAGGGCAATTAGGCAGGAGAAGGAAATAAAGGGCATTCAATTAGGAAAAGAGGAAGTCAAATTGTCCCTCTTTGCAGATGGAATGATTGTATATCTAGAAAACCCCATTGTCTCAGCCCAAAATCTCCTTAAGCTGATAAGCAACTTCAGCAAAGTCTCAGGATACAAAATCAATGTACAAAAATCACAAGCATTCTTATACACCAACAACAGACAAACAGAGAGCCAAATCATGAGTGAACTCCCATTCACAATTGCTTCAAAGAGAATAAAATACCTAGGAATCCAACTTACAAGGGATGTGAAGGACCTCTTCAAGGAGAACTACAAGCCACTGCTCAAGGAAATAAAAGAGGATACAAACAAATGGAAGAACATTCCATGGTCATGGGTAGGAAGAATCAATATCATGAAAATGGCCATACTGTCCAAGGTAATTGACAGATTCAATGCCATCCCCATCAAGCTACCAATGACTTTCTTCACAGAATTGGAAAAAACTACTTTAAAGTTCATATGGAACCAAAAAAGAGCCCACATCGCCAAGTCAATCCTAAGCCAAAAGAACAAAGCTGGAGGCATCACACTACCTGACTTCAAACTATACTACAAGGCTACAGTAACCAAAACAGCATGGTACTGGTACCAAAACAGAGGTATAGATCAATGGAACAGAACAGAGCCCTCAGAAATAATGCCGCATATCTACAACTATCTGATCTTTGACAAACCTGAGAAAAACAAGCAATGGGGAAAGGATTCCCTATTTAATAAATGGTGCTGGGAAAACTGGCTAGCCATATGTAGAAAGCTGAAACTGGATCCCTTCCTTACACCTTATACAAAAATCAATTCAAGATGGATTAAAGACTTAAACGTTAGACCTAAAACTGTAAAAACCCTAGAAGAAAACCTAGGCAATACCATTCAGGACATAGGCATGGGCAAGGACTTCATGTCTAAAACACCAAAAGCAATGGCAACAAAAGCCAAAATTGACAAATGGGATCTAATTAAACTAAAGAGCTTCTGCACAGCAAAAGAAACTACCATCAGAGTGAACAGGCAACCTACAAAATGGGAGAAAATTTTCACAACCTACTCATCTGACAAAGGGCTGATATCCAGAATCTACAATGAACTCAAACAAATTTACAAGAAAAAAAAAACAACCCCATCAAAAAGTGGGCAAAGGACATGAACAGACACTTCTCAACAGAAGACATTTATGCAGCCAAAAAACACATGAAAAAATGCTCATCATCATTGGCCATCAGAGAAATGCAAATCAAAACCACAATGAGATACCATCTCACACCAGTTAGAATGGCAATCATTAAAAAGTCAGGAAACAACAGGTGCAGGAGAGGATGTGTAGAAATAGGAACACTTTTACACTGTTGGTGGGACTGTAAACTAGTTCAACCATTGTGGAAGTCAGTGTGGGATTCCTCAGGGATCTAGAACTAGAAATACCATTTGACCCAGCCATCCCATTACTGGGTATATACCCAAAGGACTATAAATCATGCTGCTATAAATTCACATGCACACGTATGTTTATTGTGGCACTATTCACAATAGCAAAGACTTGGAGCCAACCCAAATGTCCAACAATGATAGACTGAATTAAGAAAATGTGGCACATATACACCATGGAATACTATGCAGCCATAAAAAATGATGAGTTCATGTCCTTTGCAGGGACATGGATGAAATTGGAAATCATCATTCTCAGTAAACTGTCGCAAGAACAAAAAACCAAACACTGCCTATTCTCACTCATAGGTGGGAATTGAAAAATGAGATCACATGGACACAGGAAGGGGAACATCACACTCTGGGGACTGTTGTGGGGTGGGGGGAGGGGGGAGGGATAGTACTGGGAGATATACCTAATGCTAGATGACGAGTTAGTGGGTGCAGTGCACCAGCATGGCACATGTATACATATGTAACTAACCTGCACAATGTGCACATGTACCCTAAAACTTAAAGTATAATAATAAATGAAAAAAAAGGGAGAGAAAGAATAAAATGGAAATTAAGGTAAAAGGATATATATATATATCTGCATCCTCTGGTGCATTTCAATCAAATAGCATGTGGCTGTCTACATAAGCAATCTAATTGTTTTGGATTAAAGAAAAAAATGATGGCTATATACATCCCTCTAATAGAATTACAGTTCCTCATCAGGTTTGTTCCTGTAGCTCCTCATCCTCATTAATAGCATTTTTGCATAGTCTGTCCTTATATAGCATTAAAACTGCCATCATTAGACTGGTAAAATTTTCTGTGCCTTATACCTGTGACTTTTTGGATTTGAGTAGATTGGACATTCTCTTCAGTCCTCCCCTCACCCCATGAGATTCATTGGAAAGAAACAAAAAGGAATGAATTTGAAAGAAGGAATTTATCTTTTCTTTTAAAATCGTAGTATAAGTATATTTTCGTCTCATTTCCTTTATGAAACCAATCCAAAGCAAACAAGAGAAGGAGAAACAAACAAATGTTATCTTTGATGAAGCTACAGATCCCCTATAACACTGGATCACTGTAGATGCAGGAAGACAGCCAAGTGTATGAGAAGTGGATGGAGGTATTTGGGAACTCCAAGAGAAGGTGTCTTTCTATGTGTGACTCAGGCACAGTTGACCCAGCTCATAGTTATCCAAAGTGGATGGGTGGCACACATTGAAAGGAAATGTGTCTATCCCATGCTTAGAAAGTTAAGATCAAGGTTCATGGCCTGGTTTTGGAAGCCTACATCATGTTTCAATCATGGTATAGGATAGAAGGAAGAGTCAATAAGATAAAAGCTACCTGGCCGTCTTTGCCCAAAGCTGCCTGGTGAAGATAAGTGAAGGTAAAATAATCACATTAAAATGTTCTGTAAAATGCACAACCTCCTTGTGAGCCTGGAAGATGTCCTGCTATGCTGGACCAGATAACCCACAGGCCAAGTCCAGCTGAGAAACATCCTAGAGATAACAGATTGAAACCCAATCTTCCCATTTGTTTAGCACATTCCTCTTCCCCTTTCACCAGAACTTTGCCCAAAATTCTAGTCCAAAAAGATGAGGAACAATGCTACTTAAAAAGGGTGGAGCCAGCCGGGGGCCTTTAAAATGATGCTGAAATGAAAAAAGAAGAACAGAACATGATTTATGAAGATGAGAAACAGAAAGATTATATACCACAACGCAGCCAAAAACCATGAACAAAGTTATTTCTAAGGAATCAATTAAAGACAATATTGTTTCTCTGAAATGAGAATTTAAAGAAGCAATATAAGGCTTTAAGGAAGAACTGATAATACATTAGGTTAGACGGGAATGAAAAGTGGGTGGGTAAAGCCTCAGAAATAAATTAGTAATAAATGAGAATGAAAAGGGAGTAGACAGAGTCTTGGAAACAAATTAGAAACAAATGAGAATAAAAACAGAATAGGCAGAGCCTCAGAATCTCAGAGAGAGACACACAAAAAGAGACTAAAATCAAAGGTCATGATAGAAGCAGCAAAAGGGAGATGAGACACCACTGAAGGAATTCAAAGGATGGTTTTGAGAAGAAAAAATGAGCATGTGAGATGGAAAAGAACAAAAAGTAAAAGACGGAAGACAGAGATAGAGAAAAAGAGGGGGATGGGAGGGGTGGTAGGGAAGAGATCAAATATCATTAACACCAAATGCCTTGCATGGGTTAAAAAATGAATGGAACATGAAAACAAATTTTCAAAGATACAATTCAAGGTGAAATTCCTGAAATACAGTGAAATTTGAATCTGCAGACAGAAATAGCCCAAGAATTACAAGGCTGTGTTTATATTGAATAATTAACAAATACCCCAATAAATTCCTGGTATTTGAAGTTATGGAAAGAATTCTGTGGATATTCAGAAAAAAAAAACCTAGGAGGCTAAGATTTCTTTATGTGACACATGAAATGCTAGAAGACAGTGGGGCAAGATATAAAAAGTCCTTGTCCCTTTTGTGTTGCTATAAAGAATACCTGAGGCTGGATAATTTATAAAGGAAAAGGGATGATTTGGCTTATGATTCTGGTGGCTGGAAAGTTCAAAATTGGGCATCTTCATCTGGTGATGGCCACAGCCTGCTCCCACTCATCGCAGAAGAGGAGGGGAAGCCAACATGTGCAGAGATTACATGAGCAAGGGAGCAAGAGAGAAACCGGGGCGGTGGCCTGCTCTTTTAACAACCAGGTCTTGCAGGAACTAATAGAGGAAGAATTCATTCACCATCAGGAGAGGACATTAATCTATTCAATGGGAGGGATCTGTCCCTCCCATTTCTCCAAAGAAGATGTACAAATGGCCAGCAAGCATATAAAATATTGATCAATATCACTAATCATTAAGGAAATGAAAATGCAAACCACAATGAAATTATACCTTATGCCAATTTAAATGGCTACTCCCAAACACAAAGCAAAAACCCCAGAAAATAATAAGTGTTAATGAGACTGTGGAACAATTGGAACCCCTGTGCACTATTCATAAGAATTAAAATGGTGCAACCACTGTGAAAAACATTATGGCGGTTCCTCAGAAAACTAAAACTAGAGGTACTGTATGACCTGGCCATTCCACTCCTGGGTATAAACCCAAAATAATTGAGAGCAGAGACCCAAACAGGTTTTGGTACCTCAATGTTTATAGCAGCATTATTTACAATAGCCAAAAAGTGAAGGCAACCCAATTGTCCATGGATAGATGAATGGATAAACAAAATGTGGTCTATCCATACAGTGAAATATTATTCAGCCTTCAAAAGGAAAAAAATTCTCACATATATTACAACATGAATGAACCTTGAGGACATTATGCTAAGTCACAAAAAGATACACAGTGTATGATCTCATTTATAGAAGTCCCTAGAGCAGTCAAAATCATAGAGACACTGAAATAGTTGTTACCTGGGGTGGGGAGGAGGAAGAATGAGGAGTTAGTGTTTCATGGATATGAATTTTCCCTGTTACAAGATGAAAAATACTCTCTGAAGATGGGTGGCGCTGATGGTTGCATAATGCAAATGTATTTCTAAACGGTGCACTTAAAAATTTTTAAGATGGGGTCAGGTGCAGTGGCTCATACCTGTAGTCCCAGCACTTTGGAGCTAAGGCAGGTGGATCATTTGAGTCCAGGAGTGCGAGACCAGCCTGGGCAACATAGGAAGAACTCGTCACTCCCAAAAATATAAAAATTAGCTGGGCATGGTGGTATATGCTTGTGGTCCCAGCTACTCAGCAGGCTGAGGTACGAGGATTGCTTGAGCCCAGGAGGTGGAGGCTACAGTGAGCCATGATTGAGCTACTGCACTCCAGCCTGGGCAACAGAGCCAGACACTGTCTACAAAATAATAATAATAATATGGCAAATTTTGATGTGTGTTTTATAATACCACCATTAAAAAATTAACACTGCTCAGCCTTGCCTCACTTCTGTACCTCTGCTCACTTTCACTCTTCCTGCTTCCATATCCTTGCTTTTAAATTCTACCAACTTTTTAAGGTCTAGTCCAACATGACCTCCTCCATGAAATAGTCCTTCTTGCAAACTGTGGAATGGAACTCTACCTTCTCTGAACGGCAATCAGTTTACTTAGGTTTTGATAGCCCTTCACTCACAAGTCCATATTTAGCGCTGCTCCAGGCAGGTCACACCACCACCCCTAGTGGCCCCACAAGACTATGTGTTCCCTAGGGGTAGAAGTCATATTTCCCTCCTCTCTTCGTCTGCCAACTGACTTATACATACATAATAAGCATTCGAGTTGAATAATTTGATAGTTATTTTCCTTTTTGTCAGAACTTTAGGGAAGATACTGGAATTGTCTCCGGTGCTTCTAAGGCTTTGCATTCTTTCATCATTGGACTATATATGGTTTCTCAGATAGCAATTTACATTTTGCAGAAAGACCTCAAACTCGCATAAAGCTCTTTGAATGAATCCAGATAAGCTGCTTCCTAAAGAAAGAACCTCCTGACTTCCTAATACTCCTTTCATACCCTAATCTTTAAACAATGTTTCTAGCAATAATTCCATTTTCCACATATGTAGCAGAAGATCTGAGTATCATCTAAAGATAAAATCACTATTTTTCAAATTTTATTAGGTTTCTGCTTAATGGAGAATTATCGCTGTCAGTACATCAGATCTAAACATATGGTCATTTAAACGAATAAAAGGCAAACCTTTCATTATGTTCTTTATGTTGTGATAAGTTGTATATGTTTGTATAGAAAATTTTGGGAAATGAGCAAAGTGTTTGGGTTGGATCGACTATTTCATATCAGTCTTTGTTTGTAAGCCACATTATTGTTAAGGAGTCAGTCAGAACCACCCTTTTTGGTAATTTTACCTGGCTCATACTTGGCAGATCTGGCTGTGAGCAGGGTTTAAAGTTGGCTTACTATATGGAATTATTTTTGGGACACCTTCAATGCACTCTACACTGAGCTAAAGCCAAAAAAAATATGAGGCTTAGCTCCTGACTCTGGTCAATCTACATTTGCTACATCCAAAGCAAATAATTTCTTTTTATTTATTATTACATAAGGAGTTCATTCTTATTATAAAAAGCATGAAACCAGCAGGAGCGGTGGCTCACACCTGTAATCCCTGCACTTTGGGAAGCCAAGGCGGGTGGATAACTTGAGTCCAGGAGTTCAAAACAAGCCTCAACAACATGGTAAAAGCCCATCTCTACAAAAAATACAAACATTAAGCATACATGGTGGTGTGTGCCTGTAGTCCCAGCTACTCAGGAGAGTGAGGTGGGGGGACTGCTTGAGCCTGGGAGGCACAGGTTGCAGTGAGCTGAGATTGCACCACTGCACTCCAGCCTAGGCAACAGAGTGAGACCCTATCTCAAAAAATAATTGGCTAAAACCCTTGCTGTCTTTATAATTTATTCCTTCTCTTCTTTTTTTTTTTTTTTTCCATGACAGCTGCTTCAGGACAAGAAAGTTCTTTTGGTCTCTCAGTTGGGGCCACTGTCAGCATCATGACTGGTGTACTGGCCAGAGTTACTCTCTTTATTATACCAAACTCTTATCAGAGTTTTAGCAATAGTCATTTTACATGTTGGTAATTCACAGATAGTTGTTTTGATTCTTCCTGAAAGCATCTGCAATCAGCTACAGTCCAAAATTGCTTCTATTTCAAAAGATTTATGGAAAAGATACTGACAAGTACTCTTGCATACAAGTTTCTGAGCAGTTCAAGGTTATATCACTGGACTGTCTATAGACTTCCAAAACTTTAACAAACAGGTTGATGCCTTCATGAAATATGCCCACTGAGACCAAGCAGAACAAATATAATTTCATTGAAATAAATGATAATGTGGATAATGTTTTTATAATTTTTATTTGAAAATTTGCTGATTCTTTAAATGATTTTTTCCAGATTTATGGAATTTTTCTTCTTTTAAGCTATCTATATCTAAAGCAATTTGGTAAAGTATACTTTTGGAAACAATAATTGAAGCCCATTTATTTTTGCTCTTTTCCTAACTGTCCCAGGATTGGGAAACTATTCATGAGTATTCATATGATTATGCTAATACAGTTATTTGCACAAGTTTAGTAAGAGTCTTCTCTCTTTACAAAAGGACACGTTTCAAAACATTGGTTATATTACCAAGGCTTTGACTAAGATGTTATATTTGAGAATATACATAGAATGGACCCATAAGTACTGCATGCAAAGGCTGAAGATGGCCTTCATTTGGCTTCCTCATCTCAAGAGGCTTGTAAAAGTTTAATCTGAGACTCCTTATAAAAACTTCTAGGGAAGCAAACTTTAGGAAGAGCCTCTGTGGTCCATTGTTACTCTTGATGCACTTATGTAAAGAATCCCGGCAAAGTCTGATAAGACTAAACCTACTTTGGAAACGAATTTGTCCTACTGGGATTCTCTTTGGTAAAAATAGATATGCCTATAGAGAGAAAAATAATGTTGAAAATAAAAAGTGTAGTATACCTGCTATGAAATTGCAGCTCTGTTCATTGTTTTTGAGTTTTTATTATTCACCGGTAGACTGGACTAGACCCTGAATTCTTCTATTTCCTCCCATCCAGTTTTCTCTTATTGAATCAGTAAGAACAAAATCTGCTTTGTTCCTGAAGCCCTATAAGTTGGAGGTGGAAAGCTCAATGTAAATTTCACGGGAAAACCCTCGTGCCTGAGGTATGAGTCACTCAGAGCTCACCAATATGTTTGACACCATAACTACAGACACTCAAACTTAAAACCAGGATAAGAAGTTGACAACTTCACACTGTCAAAAGCTTTTCCCAAGTTGTCAGAACAAGTCTCCACATCAAAATCAGGCTCTTAGCCCTCTTAATTTGTCCATGCTTATGCCTGCCTCTTTCACGTGGCACGATGATGGTATCATTAGAATTTCACATGAAGTAGCTTCTGAGAGTAGCGTAACAGAGTGACAGATATATCATGTCACCCTCAAATTTTTACATAAGATATCATTTAGTCCACCCAACGGCTGACATTAGCAGCATCTTTAACACACTTGTTTCTTCAAATGTACAGTGGTCCCTTTTAAAGTTACATTTTCAGACTCACTTGTTCTCACTCCCTGTTTTAATTTAATGAGCCGTCGAATGCTACATAATAAAATTGTTCCCTACCAGCTGAACAGGGAGGAGCCTGTGCAGTTTCTGACACTGACTGTTGCACATAAAGAAATACATCGAGTATAATAATGACTCAATCACAGAAGTTACCAAACATACTACTTGGTTAAAATTGCTAGACTCTTCTGGCTCATTCTTTGATCTATTCTATTTTACTTGGTTTGCATCTTGCCTAAAGTGCATACTCCAAACTTTTGGTGTTATCCTCCTGATAGTCATACTAGTAGCATCTCTGGTGTGATAAATTCTATAGGTTTTAAAATTCTATATTTTGGTGTGGTGAATTCTACAAAAGTTTTTAAAAAGTTTTGTGTGCAGCCATCAACAAATACCAAAGGGTCTCTCTTTGGCTGAAATGACAAAAACTCAAAGAAATGTGTGATCAGGAAGACATCATAAACTTATAAATGATGGAAGCCCAATATGATGGTTACTGAGATGAATGCCAATGCTTTAAATTTTGGTCACACTCTCACCTAAGTGAGAGCCTAGAGACTCCAAAATAGAACCACTCCTGCTAAATGCTACAGTCTACAACTGAAATTTTAATGAAGCAAAGAGATACCAGAACAGACCTTTGTTTTTTGTTGAAAAGAGGAGATTCCACTCTACCTGAGATAGCATAATAAAAGTTTCCTCTGCTTTAACTTTTACAGAAAAGAGACCTGAAGTACCCTAATGTTCACCAATTTATTTATTTATATGGCTTTGTTTACTGGTTCCCACTTGACAAAACCCACTGTTTTGTTATTGTATAGCTCAGGGAGGGCTGTCACTATATTTGTAGAGTGAGAGCTGCCTCAAATAATAAATGAAAAATAAAATCTATAACTACATTAGTTGTAATTTTGTCTTTTGATGCATGCTCACACCCAGCATTGGCCAGTGGAGTCTCACAGGCTCATCATTCTCACACTGACCCCCCTGCTTTTCTTTGTCACTTACAAGGACACTTCTGATTACAATGGGCCCACCCAGATAATCTAGAACAACGTCCACATCTTAAGATTTTAATTTTATCACCGCTGCACCATGTTTTTACCAAGAAAAGTAAATGCACAGGTTCCAGAGCTAGGGTGCAAACATTTTAGGAGTCCATTATTCTGCCAACACAGGTAACTTTCATAAATGTCACCCACAACAAAAACTTGCTTTGCCTTCCTTCTGTGTCTCACTTTTCTGTCTGTGCACAAACGTCAAGGTAAAAGACACAAACTCTATGAAGTAGCTGGATGACTCTAGACCACTCATTTGGCTCCCTCAGCCTCTTTTCTCATCTTCAGCAGAAGGGTGACACTTTGCGCATCAGAAAATGAAAGTGGAAGAGTAAATCAAAATGTGTAAGATATTAGTCACAGAGCAAGGTACCAGATGAGCCCCTGGGTAAACTTTTGTTTTTTTTTTGGGATGGAGTCTCACTCTGTCACCCAGGCTGGAGTGCAATGCTGTGATCTCAGCTCACTGCAACCTCCACATCCCAAGTTCAAGTGATTCTCCTCCCTTTAGCCTCCTGAGTAGCTGGGATTACAGGTGTGTGCCACCACATCTGGCTAATTTTTGTATTTTTAGTAGAGATGGGGTTTCACCATGTTGGTCAGGCTGGTCTCAAACTCCTGACCTCGTGATCTGCCCACCTCGGCCTCCCAAAGTGCTGGGATTACAGGCGTGAGCCACCATGCCCAGCCGATAAACATTTTTGTCAGAACTTTCCTTTCACCATTCCATTTCTGTCACCCTCACCCATCTTCTCCTCTGACTTTTTTCTCTTCAGTGACTTACTCGGTCTAATACACTGTTTAGCATCAAAAGCCACACTACAAATTCTTTTGTGACTCTCTTGGAATGTTCCTGTGATGCCCAGAACCTTGGAAGCCTAAGCCTTACATCAGTGTGCCCTGAATATGAGATATGGGGTCAAAGGAGATTATTTCGGAGCTTTAAATTTTAAAGACTGTGCTGCAAGGTTTCAGACTTTCATGGGGCCTGTATCTTATTTCCTTCAGCCTATTTCTTCCCTTTGGAATGGGAGTATTTACCCAATGCCTATACTTCCATTGTGTCTTGAAAGTAACTAACTTGCTTTTGAATTTACAGGCTCATACGTAAAAGGAACTTGCCTTGTCTCAGATGAAACTTGCTATTTTGGACTTCTGAGTTAATGCTGAGTGAGTTAAGACTCTAGAGACTGTTGGGAAGCCATTCTTATATTATTAAATGTGAGAAAGACATGAGATTTGGGAGGGATGATGGAGAGAATAATACTTTTTTGGAACTTTACCCCCACCTAAATCTCAAGTCAAATTGTAATCTCCAAAGTTGGAGGTGGAGCCTGGTTGGATGTGATTGGATCATGGACGTGGTTTCTCATATTTTAAGGCCCTTCTCCTTGGTGCTGTTGTAGCAACAGTGAGTTTTTATCTGTTTGTTTACCAGTGTGCAACACTTGCTCTCTTCCTCCAGCTCCCATTATATAAGATGTCTTCCTCTACCATTGGCTTTCTCCGTGATTGTAAGTTTTCTGATGGCTCCTCGAAAGCTGAGCAGATGCCAGAATCATGCTTACTCTACAACCTGCTGAATCATGAGACCATTCGACCTTTTTTCTTTATAAATTATTCAGGTTCATGTATTTGTCTGTAGCAATGTAAAAACAGACTTACACAGCCTTATTCTCAGTAGAAAAAAAACTAGGGAGTAAATCATTCTAACTATGTACCAGATGCAAAGCCCAAGACAAAGAACAGAGCTATGAAGAAAATGCCTGGATAATCCCACCTCTCCCAGCATGGCCAAAAGGCACAGCTGGAGGATGGGATGGGTTTTGTCCCCAGTTCTTACTATGGTCACTCATCTAGAACTCAGAATTTAAAGCTTCAAATATAAAGACATAAGCTCACAGACAAATTAAGAAAATGTATATATATGGAAGCAACTCTTTGATGACCTTAAAACATCTAGTAAAGACAATATAAACCTGCCTGCCAACAGACATAGGCAAAAACGTATAAATTAAATTATGAAGACATTTCTACTTTATTTTACCAACAATTTTAAAACTATCTATATTCACCAAAGGTTACTAAAATCACATGTATAGAAAAGCATTTGGGCTTATTCACTTAATTTGTATGTACCCATTTATTTTTACATTAATTTGATACTATGTGTCAACAGTATATAAATGTGTGACATAAACATGTATGTGATAAAATATATAACATATATATGTTCACATAAAGATAGAGACAAAAAGATTTTAGAATTTTGATTTTAGGGCTTTAGGTATGACATCAGTAAAACCCATCATTTTAAAGGATAGTTGGATTCAAATTGCTTTCTTGTAAATGGTAAAGGTTAACATTTATCTGAGGAGGGCTTTACCAAGTTTTAGAGAAAATACATAGCACATTTACATCTCAAAGCAAAGAGAGAGAGAGAGAGAACTTAAGCTTTTTCAAGAAAAAATTTGGTGTGTTCAAGGAAGATTAAAAAGATGCCAAGGTAACACAAAAATAATAGAAATTTACCATGGGGTTTTATTTATTTCTTATTAGACTTTAAGTTTTAGGGTACATGTGCACAATGTGCAGGTTAGTTACATATGTATACATGTGTCATGTTGGTGTGCTGCACCCGTTAACTCATTATTTAACATTAAGTATATCTCCTAATGCTATCCCTCCCCCCTTTTCCCACCCCACAACAGGCCCTGGTGTGTGATGTTCCCCTTCCTGTGTCCATGTGTTCTCACTGTTCAACTCCCACATATGAGTGAGAACATGCGGTGTTTGATTTTTTGTCCTCGTGATAGTTTGCTGAGAATGATGGTTTCCAGCTTCATCCATGTCCCTGCAAAGGACATGAACTCAACATTTTTTATGACTGCATAGTGTTCCATGGTGTGCATGATCCACATTTTCTTAATCCAGTCTATCATTGTTGGACATTTGGGTTGGCTCCAAGTCTTTGCTATTGTGAGTAGTGCCACAATAAACATATCTGTGCATGTGTCTTTATAGCAGCATAATTTATAATCCTTTGGGTATATACCCAGTAATGGGATGGCTGGGTCAAATGGTATTTCTACTTCTAGATCCCTGAGCAATCACCACACTGACTTCCACAAGGGTTGGAATAGTTTACAGTCCCACCAACACTGTAAAAGTGTTCCTATTTCTCCACATCCTCTGCAGCACCTGTTTTTTATTTAGAGACGTAGCTTTTAATTTGGTCTCTGTTCTTCAACTGAATCACTGTGCTCAAGATAGAGCCCATTAAGGAAGAGGGCCAACAAAGTCTTTTCAATTTTTAGATTCTAATCATTTAAATATGTAAAAAAGAGAACCAGTTGGAAGGGACAACATTTAGACATTAAAAATCAAGGATTTCACTGAATCCCAGGTCCCCAAGAAGAGGAAAATGCAATGGGGACCATACTTTGCAACACTTCCACAGAGTACTTTGCTACAAAGGTATTTCCTTAATTGTTTAAACTGTGTCTTTTGCATCTAAACATACAAAGAAATGAGTAGTCCTCTGAAGCTAGAATAATTTATTATAACCACTGTTAGTCACCTTCAAAACCATAGCTCCTATCACTGACCCAGCAACCATTACACACACAAGGTCAAATACTTTTACAGTACAAAGTAATGTAACAGGCAAAGAGGTCAGGTAACACAGTGGAGAAAAGAGCAGAGTTTTAGACCTGAGAGAAATCCGTTCACTTGCAACTCTTGGGGTTCCATGAGAAAAAAAACTATGGTTACTCCCCTACAGGAGAGTCTGTGTCATCTTTTCTGTTTTCCTAAAGGGGTCCTAATACAGGAGTTATCGAGAAATTATTTTTAGGCAGCTAGAAAGGGTAAAAGAATTCTTGGTGGAATTTTCCTTTAATAAAAAGCAGCCCCCAAACCATTTCTAACAGAAAACAGACTGAATGATCAGGCTGCAAGCACAGATATGCATATATAGCTGCAGGCAACTAAGAGCCAGGTACTCCCAATATGGCGGTTCCTGCCCTTTTTTCCTTGTCACCACATGTGCAGGTGTCATGGTGACCACCAGGTAGAAGTCACATTTGCATAATAAAAGATTAGGGTGGGAGGGCCAGTCTTTTCTCGGGCTATTTAAACGGCACACCTGGTCAAAACAATCCCCTGGACCCTATGTAAATCAATCACTGCCTCCTTAAGTCTCTGTACAAAATCAATTACATTCCACCCCAAATTGGAGACCTTCTCTTGGGTGACTGTTTTCTCAATATGAGAAAGCTTTTTCTCTCTCTCTTCTTTTTTGTCTGTTAAATTTTTCACTCCTAAACCCACTCCTCATGTGTTTCCATGTCCTGAATTCTTTTTCAGTGTGTGACAAAGAACAATGGATAGATTACCAAACAGAGCCATTTTATTTGGGAGTTCTCATCTGGGATTGTGATCAGAAGAGAAGATAGAAACATCAGAATGGTGAGTATGGAGCAAACCTCAAATCTGTCCTTTAATTTCAAGGTTCTCTTCCAACTAGTTTCCTTTCATGGAGAACCTCACCATCACATGAGGCTGGGGGATGTCCTGGAGCAGCTGAGAATTTCTGGCCAGGACACACCCTGATGTTATTCAAAGGCCTCTGGACTGAACACAGCCTCCGACAGCCCATCCAGATGTTGGTAATGGGTCTCCTAATTTGCTATCCTGTTGCAAATTTGTTCTTCCTTTCTATCCATTGTCTCTATGTCTCCTATTCTTTCTGTGTATGCAATATGTAGAAATTTTTACAGTTCAGGGAAACACTTCTGTTAGGAAGGATCGGTACATGCTATAATAACTAACCCAATAGGTACCTCCCTCTCTCTCTGTCTCTCTCTCCTTCCTTTGGTAAGCACATGGTATTTCTAAGCCAACAGTGTCACCTAGTGGAAACAGAAATCCTCCTCATGAGGCACATCGTTGGTCCTTTGCCATAACACTGCACTTTTCCAATTGTCTCTTTTTGCACTGATAGAAAAGCCCTTTCTGTGAATGGGAAAACTCTGCTTTCAACAGTTAGAGGTAAAATGTCTTCCATAGCCAAATTTTAGTTCCAATATTGTCCCATCAGCAGGAAAAACTGCCATTAGGTCCCTACGTTCATTTAAGGTACTTATTCTATCTCCAATTAGAACAGTATTTAATTAGTAAGGATATTTTAAGAACAGAGTTAACCAGGACCACTTTTCTGAGGGTAAATATTTTAGCACGGGCCATAACTGGCAACTGGCACATTCCCTCTCTTAAAGAAAGCTTGCTCAAAGGCAACTGCTACAGTTTCTCCAGAGATCCATTTTTCAGGAAGCCAGGCAGATCACAGGCAGATAAGCTAAGGTTGCATGGGTAAAGTGTGGCTAATCCCATCACTTCATTTATCCAGTTCCATGGCTTACAGGGCCACACCTACAACCATGGGCGGCACATTTAAGACAGTGCCAGGACTCAGGAACCAAGGAGAGAAAACATTTGGGGGGACGCTCCCACTGTCTTCCACTCCACTGTGGGTCACAATGAAAGAAGGAGGACTATAAGGACACTTTCATTCTCACTTCTTTTTCTAGATGGCTAACAGAGCATCTTCAGCTTGCACCCCTCTGGAGTGCACTCTGAGGCACTAGAACTCTTTTAACCTCAGGACTTTCAAGAGAAAAGCAACTCATTCTATTTTGTACAATGACAGGGCATTTTTACTAAACCTTTACAAGCATTGTAACAGCAACCCAGATTTTTTTAACAGCCATATCAGGAAGGCCTATAAAGAATAATCCCCTCATATTAGAAAAGCAACTTCCAAGGGAACCATCTGAGAAGAATCTCCATAATTTGGGGTCCCTCCAAGTTCCCTTCTCATTACAGGACCTTAGGCAAATAAAGTAAGACTTAGGCCAATTTTCAGACAATCCTGATAGGTATATAGAAGCTTTCCAGAATTTAAGTCAGGTGTTTCGCCTCACATGGAAGGATGTTATGCTGCTCCTAAGCCAAACCCTAACTGTAGCTGAAAAACAGGCAGCTCTGCAAGCAGCAGAGAATTTTGGAGATGAGCAACATATCTCCTATAATACACCAAAAGGGAAGGAAGGAGATACAGAAAGTGAAGAAATAGCAGAAACACCACTCCAAATAAGAAGTGAAGCAGTACCTCTTGACAACCCTGATTGAAACCCCAATAGCTCTGCAGATCAATGGAAAAGAAAAACTAAGGCCAGACCTCTTAATTCTTCTAAACTGTCTATGATAGACTCAAAGCCAGATGAGAATCCTGCAGCCTTTATGGATAGGTTGAGAGGGGCACTATTAGTGCACACCTTTTTATCTCCTGATTCAGTCAAGTGACAGCCCATTCCAAAAGATAAGTTTTATTATACAGAAAGCTCCCAATATTAGAAGGAACCTATAAAAGGCAAGCTATAGTAGCAGATAGCACCTTGGAAAACCTTCTAAGGGTAGCCACTTCAGTCTTTTATAATAGGGACTAGGAGAAGGCCCAGAAGAAAGAGAGAATGCTCAAGAGAAGGACAAAGCCTCTAGTAGCTGCTTTGCAGAGTTGCAAGTCCAGGATCCCAGAGGTGTATCCACTAGTTGCTCTCGGTGTGGCAAGCCAGGGCATTTGAGGAAGGAGTGTCCAAACAGCAAGAGGAAGCCACCTTGACCCTGTCCAGCCTGTGGTGGAGACCGCTGGAGATGCAACTGCTCCCAGAGATGGAGGTCACTGGGTTCAGAACCAGTCTCACAGTGGTCCAGCAGGACTGATGGGTCCTGGGGCTCAAACCCCTGGCCCCAGCAGCTCAAACTGCCATTACAGCACAGGACACACAGGTGATTCTGGAAATTATAGGAAGGAAAGTAGACCTCCTTCTAAACACTAGATCCAGTCTCTCTCTTTTCTCCTTTCTTATCCAGGCCTCCCCTCTTCCCATAGCACAACCATAAGGGGTGTCTCAGGAAAAATTCTAATCCAATATTTTTCTCAACCTCTTATTTGCAGTTAGGAGGACCTATTTTTTACATCTGCTTCCAAACCACTGTCACAATAGCTCTACTAATCAGAAAAGCCTCCAAATTAACCCTAGGAAAAAACGGTTTACACCTCCACTTAATGTGGCAAAATTACTTTCCTCTAGAGGGAGCTCTTAGCTAACAATCAGCTGGTAAAGCAAGAAATACATAAGGTAGGATAAGCAGTAGTCACTCTAAATAACATCTCTCTTCAGGTGCAGATGCTCCATCAGCTAAACAAATAGTTATTAAAATAACACTTAAATTAAGCAAGGGAAAGGTAGCTAACATTTACACTGATTCCAAGTATGCTTTTTGAGTTCTTCATGCTCATGCTGCCATTTAAAATAAAAGGCATTTTCTTACCACCAATGGATTTCCTATGAAATATCACCAAAAAATTAACAGGTTATTATCCTCAGTTTTCTTCCACGTGAAGTAGCAGTGATACATTATAGGGAACATCAAAAAGGGAACAGATGAAGTAGCCAAAGGAAATAGGTTCGCTGATCAGGCAGCTAAGTCACTGGCAAGGCATCAACACACCTCAAAGCCTTCTAATCTAGGAAGACTCCATAAGATAAATTAAACCTCAGTACCTTCCTGCAGAAATAAAATAGGCCACTTCTCAGGGTATTCTTTCCAGTCCTCAGAATGGCTGTAGTCAGAGGATGGCAAACTCCATTTGCCAGCCTTCAGCCAATGGGAAGTCCTTAAAATCCTACACCAAGCTTTTCACCTAGGAAAGGATAGAACTTATCAATGTGCTCACAGATGATTTTCATATAGAAAATCTCTAAATTGGTTAAGCATGTAACCTCTCTAGCTCACTTCCAACAGGAATTGACACATGTAGCAAAAGCCCAACCCCAGGAAATAGGACCACCCTTATTTAACCCAGATTTGGTATTAGCAGAAACTCTCTTCTCTCTCTCTCTCCCCTTAAGTGGTTAAAATGGCACTATATATATATATACATATATATATATATATACACATACACACACACACACATATACACATATACATATATATACACATATACATACACACATATATGTGTATATTTATAGACATATGTATCTACATATTAAATTTATATGAATATATGCTCACATCTAATGAATATAAGTATGTATGTGTTTCTATATATACACTCAACCACAATTTTTTGAAAAGTGTTTGGTGAAAAAAAAAACCCACTATGTAAAACACACCCACCCTAATCAGATAGCCCTTATATACTTCCATGCAGACCTCTCATGACATTATCTGCAGACAGGTTCAAGGATTTAAGGACATGAAACAGTCCAGGAAACAGCACATGCACAACATAAATGTATTTGCAGAAACTGAGAGCTAACCTGGAGGCACGAACCTCGGCACTGCCAGGACACATACCCTTCCCCATGGATTCTGACTTTATCTGACCCAGCCCACTATCCAGATCTTGTTGTGGGGCTGGGGTAGAGAAAGTCACAAAGCCTGTTCCCTGGACACTCTGTGTGACACTCAAGACCACCCCCACCCCATCATTAGGTCTCCCCACACAGGTCTGACCATCAGGCATCATGAGGAGGACTCCAGCATGGGCTCAGAAATCACACAAAAGAGTTAGCCACAGAGAGAAACGCTGAGCTAGAAAAGCTGTTTGCTGACATGGGACAGGGTCCCAGTAGTTCATGAGTCCAACTCGGTCTGAATTTCCCTCACTTCATAAGCCAGGCACCCCTGTGAAACAGCTTTTTCCCACGGTCTCCTCTGAGGTAACACATTAGGGTCCCTCACTGTCAAGATTCCAGAGATGGAAGAAACCTGGACAGCACACATCCCAGCTTCACCCTTCCTCTCTTTCTCCCTCCCTGCCAGGAATCAGGGCTCAGGGCTCAGGAGGAAAGGCACAGCCCAGTGAGGCCAGAGTTGGTGAGATGTCTGAAAGGTGTTCAGTGAAAAAAGTGCATCCCGCTTTCATTCTATCTGATGAGCCCTTTCCTGCACAGCTTCCTCCACCCTGAGGACTTCCCCAGACACCCTCTCTAACAAAGCTGACTGTTCCATTTCCTTTCTGCTCACACTGAGGCCCGTCCTGCCTTCTGGTAAATGAAAAATGCACCAAAATCAGCCAAAGCAGCCACCCCTGCCAGGCTCCATAATAAGGCAATGTCCCCGGGTCAACAGGAGAATGAGCTTCCACTGTGTCCCAGTCCAGGGCTTTTTCCCTCTGAGAGGCTGACTCATGAAACAGGCCACCAGAAAGAGATCAGTGGCTCCTCCATCCATTCTTATAATCACCTGACATGTTCTTGCCCTCTGCACAGGCAAAGCCAATTTATTGAGAAGGCGATGTGCAGTAAACAATGGTTTTACTTAGCCCAAGGCTGCCAAACAGGAGGATAGAAGTTTATCATGACTCAAATGAGCTTCCCCAATGGCTCAGAGGTTAGAGTTTTTCAAAAACTTTGAGGGGCAAAGTTCTAAGGAATAAGTACTGTTGACTGGCTAAAGATGAAATGATGCCGGTAGGGGAAATGGTCTGTATTTGTTGAATCTGCCTCTGAGTGGGGGCCACATGACTGTTTGAGCCATTGGTCATGAGTCTAGATGAGGTCAGCAGGTTGCTGGAATGCAAAAATCTGAGAAACATCTGAAAAGATAAATCTCAGATTCTACAATAGTGTTGCTATCTATAGGAGCAACTAGGAAATTCACAAATCTTGTGACCTCTGGACACATGACTCCTGAGCAGTAAGGGATTATAGAAACTATGCCTGCATTTTAGCAGAATTTGGGCCCCTCCATAATTCATGGTCTTTTCTTAGACTTACCAAGATAGTCCCCGACAAGGAGGGAGCTAATTTTCAGGAGGGACTATTATCACCGTTGCTTCAAAGTTAAACTATAAATTCCTCCCATGCTTACCCTGGCCTATGCCCAAGAATCAGAGAGGACAGCCAGCCTGAGGCTAGGGGTGACATGGGGTCAGCCAAGCTAGCTTTCTCTCATCATCATATGCTTTGCAAAGGTGGTTTCACTTTCTACATTGACTCACCAGGGGGTCAGAGGCAGAAGGACAGATCTGCAGTTTCCAAAGCCCACGGGCTCATTTCACCCATTTCACTCATGACTCCATCCTCAACCTGCTGTGGCGCTCATATCCTCCAGTCATGCCCTAGAGACTTCGAATTTCCATCAGGTATGTAAGTAGCTTAAAAATTTTCACTCAGTTCTAACAACAAGTAAAAAGCTGAACAAACTGAAAAATCAACAACTCGTTTAGATTTCTCAGGAAGCAAGTTCTCAGTGCTAACTGGACCACATATTGGAGAGACCCACAGGCAAATACAGAGCAGTGCACCGTACCTGAGCAGAAACATAGGCACAGAAACCCCAGTGGGAACCAGTGCTGGGGTCAGAAAACCTGAACTCTAATTGAGGAAATTCTGGAGGCTCAGTGTGGACACAGCGCAGAGATAAACACAACAGTGGATGGATTAGTCTTGGGAGTAGGGGGACAGTTTTATGACTTTTAGCTCCTGGAGCTCTACCAGGTTCTCACAGTCAATATCAAACAAGAATCCCTGCATCCTTCTTGTAGGAAGAAGGGAAAAAAACACTTGGAAAGTTGTCAGTGAATTATATTCTTCTTGGTAAGACCTAAATTTAAGAGAAACTATTTTACTGCAGCCTAATTAGCTGGGGTTTGATGGGAGCTTAACTGGCCAGGGGGAGGGGAAATATCCAACTCCAGCCTCCTCAAGTCATCATATCCCACCTAATGGAAAGAAAAACCTGAGAGGCACTTGTGACATTCACAGCCCAGGACACAGACCTCATCCAGAACCACAGAACCCTTCCCTCGCCACACTCACCACCATGTCACTGAATGCCTGCTCACTCAAGTCCCTTTTACCCAGTACATCATGTGTAGTTTTCAAAAAAATACAAGACAGACTATGGCAAAAAAAAAAAAAAATAATAATGCAGTTTGAAAGACAGAGCAAGGATTGGAACCAGACACAGATGTTGTAGGGATGTTGAAATTATCAGACTGGAAATTTAAAACAACTCTGGTTAAGGATTATGATGGAAAAAGGAGACACCTTTCAGGAATAGATGGGTGACTTAAACAGAGATGGCTATTCTAAGAAAGAAGGAAAAGAAATAATAGAGATTAAAAACACTTTAAGAGAAATAAAGAATGCCCTCCATGGGCTTACTCGTAGGCTGCACACAGCTGAGGAAAGAATCTCTAGCTTAAGTGTGTGTCAATAGGAACTTCCAAAACTGAAACAGCAAAGTTTAACAAGAGTGAGAAAAAGTGGAACAACATATTCAGCTTCATATTCAATATTTTGTATCAACAATAGCATATTTTATATTCTGAAGTTGTATTTTATATTTTGCAGCCTAAAAAGCTGTAACATACACATAATGGGAATACTGGTGGTTCCTAGGACCAGGTGGAGCTGGCCAGGTGGGTGCTGTCTGATTTACTGCCTGTTTCATACACACCTGTGTATTCATAATAACAACATTGTCATAAGGTGTGGTCCTTCGTTTGGGGAGATGCATGAGCCACTGCTGCCTCACTTGTACTCTGCCCAATTTAAACAAAGTTAATTAAACTCTAATTGTTTGACCCTGCTCAATTCACACTTCACCAACATTGCTGCTCGATTCACACTTCAGAAGTCTATGCATCTCCCACACAGAGCAGGTGGCCCCATGGCCTCTGAGCCCTCAGATCATCATGCATCCATCTGTCTTTTGGTACACAGACCTGCTGTGGGCTTTTAAGGACATGGATTGGCTGAGAGGTGGGAGATGTCAACTGTGATTGGAAAATGCTCATGGAGAAATCAGTGGTGCTGAGAGGTCACAGCATGCTGGTAGTCCTCACAGCCCTCGCTCGCTCTCGGTGCCTCCTCTGCCTGGGCTCCCACTTTGGCAGCACTTGAGGAGCTCTTCAGCCCACCGCTGCACTGTGGGAGCCCCTTTCTGGGCTGGCCAAGGCCAGAGCCAGCTCCCTCAGCTTGCAGGGAGGTGTGGAGGGAGAGGCGCCAGCGGAACCGGGGCTGCGCGTGGCGCTTGCGGGCCAGCTGGAGTTCCGGGTGGGCGTGGGCTTGGCAGGCCTCGCACTCGGAGCAGCCGGCTGGCCCTGCTGGCCCCAGGCAATGAGGGGCTTAGCACCCGAGCCAGCGGCTGCAGAGGGTGTACTGGGTCCCCCAGCAGTGCCAGCCCACCGGCGCTGTGCTCGATTTCTCACCGGGCCTTAGCTGCCTTCTGGCAGGGCAGGGCTCGGGACCAGCAGTCCGCCATGCCTGAGCCTCCCACCCCCTCCATGTGCGGCCCGAGCCTCCAGTGCGGGGGGAGCCTCCCTGAGGAGTGCCACCTCCTGCTCCACAGCACCCAGTCCCATCAACCACCCAAGGGCTGAGGAGCACGGGCACATGGCGTGGGACTGGCAGGCAACTCCATCTGCAGCCCCAGTGTGGGATCCACTGGGTGAAGCCAGCTGGGCTCCTGAGTCTGGTGGGGATGTGGAGAACCTTTATGTCTACCTCAAGGTTTGTAAACGCACCAATCAGCACCCTGAGTCTAGCTCAGGGTTTGTGAATGCACCAATCGACACTCTGTATCTAGCTACTCTGCTAGGGCCTTGGAGAACTTTTATGTCTGGCTCAGGGATTGTAAATACACCAATGGGCACTCTATCTAGCTCAAGGTTTGTAAACACACCAATCAGCACCCTGTGTCTAGCTCAGGGTTGGTGAATGCACCAATGGACACTCTGTATCTAGCTACTCTGGTGGGGACTTGGAGAACCTTTGTGTGGATACTCTGTATCTAATCCGGTGGGGAGGTGGAGAACTTTTATGTCTAGCTCCAGGGATTGTAAATGCACCAATCAGCACCCTGTCAAAACAGACCACTCGGCTCTACCAATCAGCAGGATGTGGGTGGGGCCAGATAAGAGAATAAAAGCAGGCTGCCTGAGCCAGCAGTGGCAACCTGCTGGGGTCCCCTTCCACATAGTGGAAGCTTTGTTCTTTTGCTCTTCGCAATAAATCTTGCTACTGCTCACTCTGGGTCTACACTGCTTTTATGAGCTGTAACACTCACTGTGAAGGTCTGCAGCTTCACTCCTGAAGCCAGCGAGACCATGAGACCACAAGCCCACTGGGAGGAATGAACAACTCCAGACACGCCGCCTTAAGAGCTGTAACACTCACCACGAAGGTCTGCAGCTTCACTCCTGAACCAGCAAGACCACGAACCGACCAGAAGGAAGAAACTCCAAACACATCCAAACATCAGAAGGAACAAACTCCAGAAGCGTCAACTTAAGAGCTGTAACACTCACTGTGAGGGTCCACGGCTTCATTCTTGAAGTCAGTGAGACCAAGAACCCACCAATTCCGGACACAGCGCCACACAGAGGAATCTTATCTGTTATCTGCACAGTGAATCTGCCCAAGCCCTATGTCACCAGCAACCCCGCGGAGGATGAGGAGGCTGTGGTCTTAACCTGTGAACCTGAGACTCATGGCACAATCTACATGTGGTGGGTAAATAGTCATAGACTCACACTCAGTCCCAGGCTAAAGATGTCCAATGATAACAGGATCCTTGCTCTACTCAGTGTCACAAGGAGTGACACAGGACTCTTTGAATGTCAAAGGAAGAATGTAGTGAGTACCAGCCACAGTGACCCAGTCACCTGGATGTTCTCTGTGAGTATCCTCTTTTCCTTCATGGACAAGGCTGCCAGCCCAAATCCACATAACACGAGGCCAGGCCTCTCAGTCCCTCTCAGGTCCAAGTATGAATACACTTACCCCTAGACCCCCAAGCTGGCCATGACTTGCTGCCCCAGGCAAACCTGGGTAGGCCCAGGAAGGGAGGGGCTTCTCTGGTCTTAGGAGACTCTGGTTCCACAGCTTGTGATGGGAGAAACAGGTGAATGTCGTTGACTCCTCCAGTTCAGTGAACACAGAGGAAGTTTGGCTGGGACTTTGGGGTTGTGACTTGGCAAAAAGGAACACTGTGCCCCTTTCACAGACCAGGAGCTTCCCATTCCCTCTGATAACATTACCTGTGACTTTATTCTCTTTGCTCCAGATGGCCCAGATGAACCCACAACTTATTCTTCAGACACCTTTTACTATCCAGGGTCAAACCTCAATGTCTCCTGCCTTGCGGGCTCTAACCCATCAGTAGAGCATTCTTGGCTGCTGAATGGGAATAACCAGCAAACAGGACAAGAGGTCTTTATCTCCCAAGTCACTACAGAGAATAGTGGGGACTATCTGTGTTATGTCCATAACCCAGTCACTAATGGCAAAAACTTCGCAACCAAGAAAATCACAGTCCCTGGTAAGTGGATCGCTGGAGCATTGGCAATATGCTTTCAGGTGAAGCCTATCTGGCTTTCCAAGAAAGAGCCAGGAAAACATTTTTATTCTCAGCCTGTGTCCCATGCACAAAAGTAAATCCAAATTTTTCTCCTGAACCCTCCCAATTCATATCTACAGATTCTCTTCCCTTTGTTTTCCGGATTTCTGGTGGATGACCTTGGGTCCAGCCTGAGAAATGTAGGGAAATGGCTTTATCAGCCCCAAGCACTATGCAGTATAAGGGCCTTCATGGAGGGAGAAAGAGGAGGGTCCTCATGGTCAAGCTGTTTCTGTCACCAAAATATCCCTTCTGTCTCCTTTGTGTGTGTGTACTCCATGAGCTGTGATGAACATCAGAGGCTTCAAAACAAGCCCACACTTTTCCCCAAATGAGAGGAGGAAGCCCCTTGGGTGAGGGAGAAGCAGCTCAGACTCTGCTCCCTGCATTGCTGTGGGCTCACCCAGTGACTGACCCTACCCTGACTCCACCCGGGCTGGGGCCAGGGCATGTGGATAAGGTGCCTGGGTGGCCGGTTCTGAATCTGGCTAAATCGAGCTGCCAGTAGAAGCCAAGCCTCCCATGAGTAAGGCTTTAAAAAATGGGAATAGGGCTGTGTCCTGGCTCTGAAGTCACTGCCTCTCTGAGTCTGTGGACGCAGCACATGGAATACACCACAGAGGACAGTGAGTGACACACACTTGGAGAAATAGGGAGATTAACTCACAGAAGCTCTCTATGGCAGGGAAGGAACAGTGACAAAAAGTGTGTATTTATAGAGAGGGTAAGAGTACTAGACACTATATATCTAAGACTCACCATTAACTGTTTCTAAGCGTGAAATTTAGTGTTGTGTAACTATCAACACTATCCATTTCCAGTGCTTTTTTTTATCCTACTATACTAAACCTCTGAACCCAATAAATGATAACTCTCATTCCTTCTCCCCTTAACCCCTGGTAATCACCATTCTAATTTCTGTCTCTATGTAATTGACTATTCTAACTATCTTACATAAATGGAAGTATATAATAATTATCCTTTTGTGTCTGGCTTATTTCACTTCGCATAATGTCTTCAAGATTCATCCATTTTGCACCATGTGTCAAAATTTTATCCCTTGAAGATTGAAGAACATTCCAAAGCATGGATATACCTTTTTGTTCACCCACTTATCTTTCAATAGACTTTTCGGTTGTTTCCACCCATTGGCTATTGTGAGTGATGCTGCTGTGAACATCAGTGTACAAATATCTGTTCAAATTTTTTTCAATACTTTTGGCTGTATGTCCGGAAGTAGAATTGCTGGTTCAAGTGGTAATTCTTTAATTTTTTTAAGAATCTGACATACCATTTTCTTTCCTGTTGTTGTTGATATTGAGACAGGGTCTTGCTCTGTCACCCAGACTGGAGTGCAATGGCACAATCTTGGCTGACTGCAACCTCCACCTCCCAGGTCCAAGTGATTCTCATGCCTCAGCCTCCCGAGTAGCTGGGATTACAGGTGCATGCCACCATTCCCAGCTAATTTTTGTATTTTTAGTAGAGATGCGGTTTTGCCACGCTTGCCAGACTGGTCTGAAACTCCTGACCTCAAGAGATCCACCCATCTTGGCCTCCCAAAGTGCTGGGATTACAGGCGTGAGCTGGCCGTGCCATGCCATTTTTCCACAGTGGCTATAACATTTCCCATTGCCATCAGTAATACGCTAAGAGCTTCAATTTTCCCACGTACTCGAAAACATTTGTTTTCTGATGTTGTTGTTCATGTTGTTTTTATCAAAGCCACCCTAATGTGTGTGAGGTCATGTATCACTGTGGTTTTGATTTGCATATCTCTAAGTATTAATATTGAGAATCCTTGCATGTCCTCATTGGCCATTTGTATATCTTCTTTAATAAAATCTCTATTTTAGTCTTTTCTCCATTTTTTTATTGGGTTCTTGGATTTTTGCTGTTTTTGGTTTGTAGTGTTCTTCATGTATTCTGGAAATTAATCCCTTATGAGATATATGATTTTCAGATATTTTCCCTATGTGATAGTTTGCCTTTTTACATTCTTGATAATGGCCTTTGATATATAAAAGTTTTAAATTTTCATGAAGTCCAATTTATCCCTTTTTTGTTGCCTATGCTTTTGTAGTTATAACTAATAAATCATTCTGAAATTCAATATCATGAAGCTTTTTCCTCATGTTTTCTTCTAAGAGTCTGGTAGTCTTCACTCTTCCATTTAGGTCTTTGATCCATTGTGGGTTCATTTTTTTGGATATGGTGTGAGGTAAAGGTTCAACTCATACTTGTCCATGGATAGCCAGCTTTCCCGGTATCACATGTTAAAAAGACTGTCCTTTCCCCATGGAATGGTCTTGGCACTCTTGA
This sequence comes from Homo sapiens, assembly GCF_000001405.40. Classification (NCBI taxonomy): domain Eukaryota; kingdom Metazoa; phylum Chordata; class Mammalia; order Primates; family Hominidae; genus Homo; species Homo sapiens. The sequence continues at coordinate 43,217,587 of NC_000019.10, read as the reverse complement.
CAAAAATCATTTGGCCATATATGCAAGCTTTCTTTCTGGGTTCTCTATTCTATGCCATTAGTTACTATGTCCTCCTTTATGCCAGTACCACACTGTATTGATTACTGTAGCTTTGCAGTAGATGCTGAAATCTGAAAGTGTGAGTCCTCCAGCTTCCTTTTTCCTTTTCAAGATTGAAGTTTTTCATTCCATCCTGGACATGTTGCACTCAGATATTTTTGAAGGATTTGGAATGTGAGAAAGGCTGATTGCTATTTTCTATGACTTTAGAACTTTTCACCATTTCATAGTTGCATCTTTCTCTTGGTGTCTCAGTTGTGGCAGCAATGAGTGGCCTCCATGGCAGGGACTTGATTGACAGAGGGCCCAGGTCAGAGCATTCCAAATTCACCTTATATATGATAAGTCTATCGTGTATATACTTATCATTTATATATGATAAAATTGGCATTTATATTACATATGTGAATTTTACATATAAATGGCCTAGTGTTTTATGTGTAACCTTTTTTATATATATGGAAATATGTATATATTTTAAATGGTTGTATATATATACTTTTAGATTATATATTTTATATAAATAAATATATAGAGATAAATATGTATATGCTTTTTCCATATGTATATATAGAAAAAGAGGTAACACATAAAACACTAGGAGGCTGTGGACACAGCACATGGGACACAGCACAGAGGACAGTGAGGGACACACACTTGGAGAAATAGGAGATTTGGCCATGGGAGCTCTGCATGGGAGGGAAGGGGCAGTGACAAAAAGTGTGTATTTATAGAGAGGTTAAGACTACCAGACACTATATATATATATATATATATATATATATATATATATATACACACACATATATATATATACACACACACATATATATACACACATATATATATACACACACATATATATACATATATATACACATATATATATACACACATATATATATACACACATATATATATATATACACATATATATATATATATATACTATATATATATATACACATATAAAATATGTCAGTTTTATTATATATAAATGTCCTGGTGTTTTATGTGTTACCTCTTTTTCCATATACATATATGGAAATGTGTATATGTTTTACATTATTATACATTTTATATTATTATATATTTTGTTATTATATATTATATATAAATAAGTATATGGAAATATATATATTTTTCCTATACACAAGAAAAAACAGGTAACACATAAAACACTAGGACACAGTTACTGGCTACATGTGGGAGAGAGAGAAAAAAGCTAAGTGCAAAAAAATCAAGCCTGGTATGTTAGTTTATACCCACTGAGATGCATCCAAGATGAGATTAGACATGCAGGATAATGTATTAGGAAAAATGCCTGTGAGGGAAAGTGGGGCAGGCATGAAAAAAGTCTGGGAGAGCCTTGAGAGCACTATGCAAATCTGACTCCTGTGAGGGAGAAAGAGAAAGAAGATTTAGCTTCAGTTCAAAGAGAGCATGGCAAGGCTGACAGGGAGTCCTCCCACCAGTCACCCAAGAGAGTAAAACAGAATCTCGCAGAACGGGGCTTGCTTTCATATCCCTGCTGGGAGCTTCAGGAAAGTGAGGACTCTATGCAAAGTAGGTTGTCAATTTGGAATGCACTGATCTGGGCCTTCTGTCAATCAAGTCAATTGATTATTAATTAATCAACTATTAGCTGGGAGTATTGGGATTACCTAGGGAAATTTTTCAACATACATAAGCCTATACTTTCTGGGCCCTATTCATTAATGGGCTCCACCAAGAACTCAGTAATCCTTTTGAGAAACACAAGCTGCCATGGAGAACTGACAGTCTTATTCATGCCTACCACAACTGACACACTGAGAAAAAGATGCAACCACGAAAGGGTAGAAAGTTCTAATGACACAGAAAATAGCAGTCAGCCTTTCTCACATCTTTATGATACCTTCAAAAATGTCTGAGTGCAGCATGGTCAGGATGAAATTGACAGAAGACTGATCACTAACCTAGAAACACATTGAGAGATAAAAAAACTGCAAGAATATAGTTGGCTAATCATCTACCAGCAACCCTCCCACAAAATTAATCCCTGAAGGAACAAGTAGAAACTACCTCATACTTAGTGATGGTTCCTAAGGTAGCACACTGTAAAATAACATCACCTTTATTCCTTCTCTTCTTTTCTTTCCATGACAGATACTTCAGTACAAGAAGTACTCCTGGCCTTTCAGGTAGAGCCACTGTCGGCATCCTGATTGGAGTACTGGCCAGTGTGGCTCTGATCTACCAGCCCTGGTGTAGTTTATTTCAGGAAGACTGGAAGGTATGATGGCCTTTCCTTTTGTCCTGTTTCCTGCAGGGCTGACTGCCTTGCTTGGGAGAGGGAAAGGACTTCTTTGCCAGTATTTGGGACTGGATCTCCTCCTCCTCCCACTAAACTCCTGCTTCTCAGCATTTATTCCTGCAGGTCTCTTCTCCCCTGTTCTTCATGCTCCCTGTACCCCACTGTCTCCTACAAATGATTATCCTCAACCTCTGCTAATTTGTTTCCCAGATTCAATATCTTATAAAACCTTCTTGATCCTTTTTTTTAACATCTCTCACTTGTGTCATTCTCTCCATTCCCACAACCTCAATAACTGCTAGAGGTACTGTTTGACTTACCTCCAGTCTTTGAAATCTTCCTTGTGTGTGACTGCCTTGTTACCTTCCTAAATTCTAGTTAACTCCCCTATTCAAAAATCTTCAGAGATCGACTCTTGCCTATTTGATAAGTTCACATTTCTTCTCTTTACTAATTTTTACTGTTTCCATTACCTCTATTCCCTAGTGTAATTCCTCCATTCTAATTAAATCTGTCTGTCTACACATCCCTTCCCTTCCACCTGATATACACATAGAATGCTTAGTTCCAATGCCGTGGCTAAAAACAGTGTGATCTCCCATCTACCATCTGCATTATGGGCTTACCCATACCCTTCATCAAAAGCAACCTCTGACCTCCCAGAGGAAAATGACTCCAGCATTAATGTGTAAACCTGAGACTCAGAACACAACCTACATGTGATTGAGAACCTTTTCCTGATGACCAACTCATATGTTCATGAACGATACAGAAATGAAGAAGGCAAGGTTTCTACCCCAAGGAACATAAAGCCTAAGATAGATGATAAGACCAGAAAAATAATTATAATACCAAAATAGAAAAAAAGTGAATGCCACAAGAAATCAGAGAAATCTGATGGGAAATATAGCTTCACATTGGAATCACCAGAAAACATTTTTTTAAATGGATGCCCAAGCCCCACCCAGAGGATCCAATTTAATGGTCTAAAGTGAGACTCAGGCATTGGTAACTTTTTTTTTTTTTTTGAGACAGAGTCTCACTCTGTTGCCCAGGCTGGAGTGCAGTGGCACCATCTCGGCTCACAGCAAACTCCACCTCCTGTGTTCACGCCATTCTCCTGCCTCAGCCTCCCAAGTAGCTGGGACTACAGGCAACCACCACCACACCCGGCTAATTTTTTTGTATTTTTAGTAGAGACAGTGTTTCACCGTGTTAGCCAGGATGGTCTCGATCTCCTGAGCTCATGATCCACCTGCCTCAGCCTCCCAAAGTGCTGGGATTACAGGCATGAGCCACTGCATCTGGCAGGCATTGTTAGTTTTTAAGTCTTCCCAGATGCTACTAATGTGTAACCAGGATAAAGAACAGCTGTTCTAATAGGTAAAACTTAGACCTAAATTAATGCTTATTAGCTGGGAGTATTGGAATTATCTAGGGAAATTTTTCAGCATACATGAGCCTATACTTTCCTGGCCCTATTCATTAATGGCCTCCACAAAGACCTCAGTAATCCTGCTGAGAAACACAAGCTACATGGAAAAGCCACTTTATTTGATATGTAAAATTATATGAAAAGCATTTTCAAATCATAAGTGGTAAAGGATGCTAAACTTTCTCTATGTTATATTAATGGATATGTTACTGATATGATTGTTCCAGAAATTGTATGAGATTCCTAGAAATTAAATATGTTATCAGCCATAATGTCATATACCACAGAAGTAACTTTTTTTGTGAGCTGTGTTATCATAATGAATTATCATCAGAGTTTAAACCATAGTCATTTAAAATCTTTGTCATTCACAGATGTTGTTTTTATTCTTCCTCAAAGCATTTCCAATCAGCTACAGTCCAAAACTGCTTCCTTTTCAAGGAGATTTATGGAAAAGATGCTGACAAGAACTCTTTAATACAAGTTTCTGATAACTTTCAGATTATACCACTGGACTGTCTAAGAACTTCCAAAACTTTAAGAAACAGGCTGATATCTTCTTAAAATTCCCAGCCTATACCAAGCAGGAAAAACACTGATTTCATTGAAACAATTGATAATAATGAGGATAATGTTTTTATGATTTTTGTTTGAAAATTTGCTGATTCTTTAAATGGTTTGTTTTCTAGATTTATGGAATTTTTTTCTTTTAATCTATCTATAGCTTATAGCAGTTCAATAAACTATACTTCTGGGAACTGTAATTGAAACATTTACTTTTGCTCTCTACCTGACTGCCCCAGAATTGGGCAACTATTCATGAGTATTGATATGTTTATGGTAATACAGATATTTGCACAAGTACAGCAACAATCTGCTCTCTTTGTAACAGGACACATTTCAAATCATTGGTTATATTACCAAGGCTTTGACTGGGATGTTATATTTAAGAATATAGACAGAATGAACCAGTATGAACTGCAGGCAAAGTCTAAACTCAGCCTTGGTTTGGCTTCCTATTCTCAAGAGGTTTGTAAAAGTTTAATCTGAGATTCCTTATAAAAACTTAGAGCAAAGAAAAATTTTAAAAGAGATCCTACATGGTCCATTGCTACTCTTGCTGCACTTATGTAAAGAATCAGACCACGTTTGAAGAAACTCAACCTATTTTGCAAACAAATTTATTCTACTGAAATTATCATTGGTAAAACTAGAGATGCCCATAGAGAGAAAAATAATGTGGAAAATAAAAACCGTAGTACACCGGTTATGAGATTGCAACTTTGTTCATTGTTTCTGTGTTTTTATTATCTACCTGTAGACTGGATATTACCCTGAATTCTACTAGTTCCTCCAATTCCATTTTCTCCCATGGAATCACGAAGAGCAAGACCCACTCTGTTCCAGAAGTCCTATAAGCGGGAGGTGGACAACTCAATGTAAATTTCATGGGAAAACCCTTGTACCTGAAGCGTGAGCCACTCAGAACTCACCAAAATGTTCGACACCATAACAACAGCTGCTCAAACTGTAAACCAGGACAACAAGTGGATGACTTCACACTGTGGACAGTTTTTCCCAAGATGTCAGAACAAGACTCCCCATCATGATGAGGCTCTCACCCCTCTTAACTGTCCTTGCTCATGCCTGCCTCTTTCACTTGGCAGGATAATGCAGTCATTAGAATTTCACATGTAGTAGCTTCTGAGGATAACAACAGAGTGTCAGATATGTCGTCTCAACCTCAAACTTTTACGTAAAATCTCAGGGGAAATGTGGCTCTCTCCACCTTGCATACAGGGCTCCCAATAGAAATGAATACAGAGATATTGCCTGTGTGTTTGCAGAGAAGATGGTTTCTATAAAGAGTAGGAAAGCTGAAATTATAGTAGAGTCCCCTTTAAATGCACATTGTGTGGATGACTCTTGCCATTTCCTAAGAGATACATTGTAAAACGTGACAGTAAGACTGATTCTAGCAGAATAAAACATGTACCACATTTGCTAATACTGTTCTCTTAAAATAATTTTAAAAGAATGGGGTGGGCCCTCCCATGTGTTTAGGCCAGGTCTCTGAACACAATCCTCCATCTGCAGTAACAATGCCTAAGAAGATGACATGGACTTTGTCCCGATATGCAGCCATTCCTGTATACCCTTCCCCTGCTGCAGGGCCGTACCAGCCCAGGGCCCAAATCTTCAGCTGCAGAGCTGAGACAGAACATGGGATACCCAGCATCCCTTACCTTCTTCCAGTTCACTGCAGTGGCTACTGGCATGGCCCATTTATCCCTGAGGACACCCATCTGCTGACCCACAGTTTCTAAGAGTCAGACTTTCCTGGCTTCTCTGAGCCCCAGCTACTTTCACTCTGCTGAATCCTTCTTCTCCCCACAGGTGTCATTGACTTAGCAGACACCTCTTTCAGCTGCAGCTAACAGGTAAGCCAAGACCCAGACCCCAGAGGATAAACAAGGATTTCAAAACCTACTGTGTCCAATGGAGATGCCCACTTGTGGGCGGCAAGCCACCCAGGTGCCGAGGCAAGAGACCGAGGACACCAGCTGTTCCAGTATAATAAAATATAAAAGAAGAATAGTTATACCAGATATAGATCTTAGATATGATTATATATGAATATTATTAATCATTAGTTGGTAGCATTGCTCTTTATTCCAATATTATAATAATCTTTGGTCTATAATCATAACCTAGGAAAAGCCAGGCCATACAGCGATAGGAGCTGGGGAGACATAGTGAGAAGTGACCAGAAGACAATAGTGCGAGCCTTCTGTTACGCCCAGACAGGGCCACTAGAGGGCTCCTTGGTCTAGTGGTAACGCCAGCGTCTGGGAAGATGCCGGTTTCCAGGCGAACCATGATGTCGTGGTAGCCTCAGTGTCGAGGAAAAACACCCACTACTTAGCAGACCGGGAAAGGGAGTCTCCCTTTCCCCGGGGGAGTTTAGAGAAGACTCTGCTCCTCCACCTCTTGTGGAGGGCTTGACATTAGTCAGGTCAACCCGCAGTTATTCAGAGGCCTGTCTCCCTGTGATGCTGTGCTTCAGTGGTCACACTCCTAGTCCACCTTCATGTTCCATCCTGTACAACTGGCTCTGCTGTTTAGTTAGCAGTAGCAAATTAGTGAAAGTACTAAAAGTCTCTAATAAGCAGAAATAATGCTGTAAGCTCTCTCTCTTTCTCCTCTCTCTCTCTGCCTTGGCTGCCAGGCAGGGAAGGGCCCCCTGTCCAGTGGACATATGACCCATGTGACCTTACCTATCATTGGAGATGGCTCACATTCCTTATCCTGCCCCTTTGTCTTGTATCCAATAAATATCAGCACAGCTTGGCATTCGAGGCCACTAACGATCTCCGCATCTTGGTGGTAGTGGTTCCCCAGGCCCAGCTGTCTTTTATCTCTTTGTCTTGTGTCTTTATTTCTACAATCTCTTGTCTCCACACATGGGGAGAAAAACCCGCCGACCCTGTGGGGCTGGTCCCTACACCCACTGTACAGAGACAAAGAAATAGAGATGTATACAACTCCCCAACAACATTGTATCACAAAACAACATCCTCTCTGCCCCTCATCATGGAATTCACTGTCTCTCACCACGTGGGCAGGTGCTTCCAGGGTCTCACAATTCTTCCACAAGAGGCAATGCACACTTTAACATAGCACTTCAGCAAATAAAGTGGTGAGAGTTTACCTACTTAGATAAAGTTTCTTAAAAGGTTCTCCCAAATTTCCCCCTGAAGAAGACAGAAAAGGCTTTCCCAATGGTGAAACATTGGCCTCCCCACCTTTCAGAAAAGGAACACTGAATAGCCACAATAATCTTGCCAAAATAAATTGTAGGCTTGAACTTTACTTGAAACCTCGCAAAGGAGTACAATTATTAAAACAGAAGCTGCTGGCAAAAGAATGGACATAAAGACAAATGGGATAGAATTGAGAGTCTAGAAATAAACCCTCACACTTATGATCAATTACTCTTTGAAGAGGGTGTCAAGACAATTTAATGGATTAACAATTCTTCTTTCAAATGATAGTGCAGAAACTAGATAACCACATGCAAAACAGTTAATTTAAATAACTCTACCTCCCACCATATGAAACAATTCTCTAAAAAATTGATCAGTGAGTTAAATATAAGACCTATAACCATAAAAACATCTTAAAATAGACACAGAGGTACATACTGATGACCTCAAATGTGCCATGGATTCTTAGATATGATACAAAAGCATGAGTAACAAGAAAAAAAGATAAATTGGGCTTTATCAAGATGTGAGCCTTTTGTGCATCAAAGGAAATTATCAAGAAAATATTTAATAGACACCGAATGAGAGAAAATACTTGCAAACCACATATAGGCAGTTTTCATGTCCAGATAATATCAAGAACTAGCTACAACTCAATAAAGAAAGGACAAATCATCCAATTTATAAATGGGCAAAAGACTCAAATAGACATTTCTTCAAAGAAGATATACAAATAGTCAAGAAGGACATGAAAAGATACTCAACATCAATAGTCATTAGGAAAATACAAAGTCAAAGCTGCAAGGAGACACCACATCACACCTACAAAACTGGCTAACATTCTTTTAAAATGTTAAATAACAAGTAGCAGTATTATGTAGAATTTGAAATCTTCATACATTGCTGGTGAGAATATAAAAGGTACAGCCACTAGGAGAAACAGTTTTGCTGTTTCTCAAAAAGCTAATCACAGAATTCTCATTTGAAACAACACCCATTCCTAGGTATATACCCAAAAAATTAAATCCAGGGACTCAAACAGGTACTTGCATGGGAATGTTGATTGCAGCATTATTCACAAAAGATAAAATATGAAAACAATCCAAGTGTTCATCAACACATGAATAAATAAATATGGTGACACATACAACAGAATGTTAATCTGCCATAAAGAGGAATGAAGCTCTGACACCCGCTGGAACATGCATGGACTTTGGAAACATTATGCTAAGTGAAATATGTCAGAAACAAAATAACATCATTGTATAATTCCATTTATATGAAACATCAAGAATAGGCAAATTCATAGAGACAGAGTAGAGATGATCAAGGTCTAGAGTAGAACATACAAAGAGTTATTGTTTAAAAGATACAAAGTTTCAGTTTAAAATGATAAAAATTTTCTAGGGAAAATAGTGGTGATGGTAATTTAACATGGTGTATGTGGTTAATTTCACTTGATCGTGGATTTTAAAGTGGTTAAAATAGCACATTATTCACAGAACTGTGAAAAATAGATTTCTATTATTTAATTCACCCAGGCTAAGGTGTTTGTTATGGCAGCTGAAGCCCATGAATCCATCATCTGAGCCAGTGTTTCAATGAAAGGCATCAGTTTTCAATCAAGTTAGCTGGAAGCTCCTGTATCCAGGAGAACCAGAGGCCCCAAAACAAGAGCTCCAGCAGGGGCTCAACCAGCACAGGTCCCATAGGACAGCCTCAATGTCAGGCTCTGGATGGCATGTGAGGCTACAATGATACAACCACAACGTGAAAATGTATGTTCTTGTACTACTTACAGACACTAGGGAGCCCTCGGCACATTTGGAGACCACAGACACAGAGGTCAGTGAGCCCAGGCTTTATTAAGTCCAGGGTGTTATCTGACAGGTTTCCAGCAGGGAGCTTTAATGGATGTGTTCAAAGCAAGCAACAAACACTGGGACCAGGAGCTCACGCTGTGACTGAGAGGAGGTCACTTTAAATGTGAAGGCGAATGTCAGAATTATCAGTTTAAAGAAGCAGCTGCAGAGAGGGGAGTCCAGCACACCAAGCAGGAGAGATGCCTCTAAGATTTTATCTCTGCACACCAACTGGAGTCACTTGAACCAGATACAGTATTGAAAACTGCCATGGTGACCAAGCCCTGCCTCTGATTTGAGGCAAATAAACTTACATCTTAAAAAATGAATGCCAAGGCAACATGACACTATGAGCCTCATGACATCCAGGGACACCAGCAGGGTGTGGTACTGTGCCCTGGAGTCAGAATCCTGGGTTCTGGTCCCTGGGAGTGAGAAAAAGAAAATGACTTGTCCCTGCCCCCCGATATTGATCTTCCCACCCTGCTGCTCCCTCTTCTGCTCCCAAGCCCACGTGCACTGCTCAGCCCCAGACATCACTGCCCCCAGGGTATACACAGTGCTGCCTACTGCACACAAACACAAACTCACAGAAGGTGACAAAAATCTGCATTTGGGACATCTGATTGTGAAAGAGGGAGAACAGTGAACGTAGAGTCACACAGACTGGGACTCAAGGGGCTGGAAGGTGATGGAGCTGTAACATAACATATGTGTGACCTCATGTAAAGTGTGCAGATCCACATGGAATAAAACATGCAGCCTGGCCTGGGATTGCTGCCGTTCACACTTCCCTCCCTGTCCACCAGAGGGCGACAGAGTCCTTCCCAGCCTGGAGCCTTCCTAGGGGATGCCAACCTCCCTCAGCGGAACCCACAGCCCAGCAGGGTCCACCCTCACCAGGGTCACTTCGGCCCAAGTCTTCAGAGCCCTCCATGCTCCCAACACGGACTCTGTCAGCTCCTTCCTGACCCGCAGCCGCCAACCTAACACCACTCCCTCTGCAGGTAGCTCCTGCCCCACACACCTGCTCCTTCCCTGGGCCCAGCTAAAGGCATCTCCCGGGCAGCGATGGTGCACGCGACGCCACACTGGACGCTTTCCCCTCGTGACCTCCCTCCATCCTCATCAACTCTTTCTGTCACTGCTCCCTAAATGCCCGCCCCTGCTCCATCTGTCCTGTTCTCTGGGGCATCCCAGGCCAAGCCTAGCGCTGACACAGAACAGCGGCTGCCTGAGGGCCCACAGCCTCCCCGGGAATCAGCCAGGCACCCTGTGTCCTGCCTGCCCACTGCAGCCCAGGGGGCGCAGAGAGCGTGTGATGGTCACACACAGGCACCATCCGGGATGTGGCCACCTGCCACCAGCTGTCCCTTGGGAAGACAGACCTCTCCTGTGTGCTTGTGGGGAGAAGGGGGGTGTTATTTTTCTTTGCTCCCAGAACACAACTCACCCCCACCCGCCCTCTCAGGTGTGAGCAAGGTCCCTCCAGACAGGCTCTCTGGCCACTGCCTGTTCCTCCTCTACAGAGAGCAGCTTGGCCAGGTCAAAACCCTCAGGACAGACCCCTGGGTATGTCAGCACAGGGAGGGCTGAGCCCATCATGGCCACGGAGTAAGTCGGGATGAATCTCTCCAGCTCTGAACCCCTGCTCTGTCCCAGGCTCCCCCTCCTGCGTCTCAACAAGCCATGTCCCGCGGGGTTCCTGGGTAACTCCCCACTTCCTCCTGCACCACCACGGGGAAGGTGTGGTGACCACAGGACAATCAGCTGGGCAGAGAAGAGAGGACATCAAAGGTGGTCAGGGAGAACATGAGAAACCCTGAGCTCCAGCTCAGCCGCCAGACCCCAGGGAGACACAGAGTGACCGAGAACTGTCCCTTTGACTCTGGGATTCACAGCCCCCACTGAGCAATCAGCACAGGCCTCTCCTCCCAAGAGGCCTGAGAGATTCACCCTGCACACCTCCAGGATGGATAGTTTCCTCTGGGAAACCCAGGTACTGAATGTTCATCCTTGGAAGCTGCAGCCAAGCTAGACACGATTAGAGAAAGGAAGGGTCCCTCTTACCAGACAACACAGAGCTCACCCACAGCACAATGGGACGTCACTGTGACGGGAACCTTGTGCAGCTCCTGCACTGAAGGGGAGAGCCAGATGAGGAAGGAAGAGGGTAAAGGGCGTGAATGTGCACCCTACCCCAGAGCCATGGGGACAGCAGGAGGCTGAGGCCCAGGACTCTGCTTGCCTAACCTGCAGGGTATGTGTGTGACCATGTGGGTCGTGTGTGTCTCTTCTGTGTGTGTGTGTGTGTGTGTGCATCTGCACAAAGTGTGTGTTGAGGTTTGGTGAAAGAATCACTGCTGAAAAATGCAGAGGCCTCCACAATTCCCAGGGACCTGAAACACAGACAAAAGGAAAAACAGGAGGGACAAGGAGGCAGAACTGAGAGAGGAGGGGACAGAGAGGTGTCCTGGGCCTGACCCCGCCCACGAGCTTGAGAAATGCTCCTGCCCCGGGAGGAGGCTCAGCACAGAAGGAGGAAGGACAGCACAGCTGACAGCCGTACTCAGGAAGCTTCTGGATCCTAGGCTTATCTCCACAGAGGAGAACACACAAGCAGCAGAGACCATGGGGCCCCTCTCAGCCCCTCCCTGCACACAGCGCATCACCTGGAAGGGGGTCCTGCTCACAGGTGAGGAGAGAACTTCCTGGGAGAGGACAGGAGGAGGAAGCAGAGTGACTGGATGGGGTCTCCTGGAGAGGATGGGGTTCTGAAAAATGAAAGAAGCCAGCACTTTGGGAGGCTGAGTTGGGTGGATCAGGAGATCAGGAGTTCAAGATCAGTCTGGCCAACACTGTGAAGCCCTGTCTCTACTAAAAACACAAAAAATTAACCAGGTATAGTGGTGTGCTCCTGTAATCATAGCTACTCAGGAGGCTGTGGCAGGAGAATCACGTGCACCCACGAGGCAGAAGTTGCAGCTAGCCAAGATAGCACTACTGCACACCAGCCTGGGTGACAGGACGAGACTCCGTCTCAAAAAAAAAAAAAAGAAAAAAGGAAAAAAAGAAAAAAGAAGAAAAGGGAAAGAAGGCTCTGTTGGAGCCTGGATAGGGGAAAATACACCAGAGGGTCAAAATAGGAAAGTCACATTGAAGCGGAATTGGTAAGTGGTAGGAAAATCTTAAGTGTTCTGTTTTCCTGATTAATCATCAGGGGCCACCATATTTTGAAAAATGATAACAATAACTATATCAGATGACACTTCAAATGAAAATATAAGCAGGACATGAAACACTGTCCTCAGCAAGAAACCTCAACAATTGGGGGGAAAAAGAAACATCCAGAGGGTGGAGACCCTGAGAACTCTCACATCTACAGGAGTCTGCCGCCTGTTCCAGGTACTGGGGTGCAACCAAGATCACAAAAGTCCCTGTCCTCACGGAGCTCACACAGTCATCGTGGGGGGAAGACAGACATGCTAAGTGATCTAGAATGTGAGATCAGGTGTTGACAAGAACCCTGGAGGGAGGAGAGCAGGGAAAGGTCAGAAAGGGAAGACCCAGGGTCTCTGAAGGAGGTATCAGGAAAGAAGTCTAAGGATGCCCTGATGTGAGCAGGACCTGAGGGCAGTGTGGAGGGGGCCGTGCGGACCCCTGGGGAAGAGGAATCCAAAAAGAAAAATGCCAAGGTCAGAAGTGTTGAAGGAATGGGGGTCATGCTGCTGATCTTGACCTAGTGGGACAGTAGGACACACACACATACACTCACGCCCCTTTAGTGTGTGTATGTGTTTGTATGTGTGTGTTTGTGTGTCTTCAAGGCTGAGGATTGAAGAGACCTTCTCAGGACCCATCTTTTCACCCCAATACATAGGTCTCAATATTAACTGATGCTCTCTGTACCTCCTAGCATCACTTTTAAACTTCTGGAATCCGCCCACAACTGCCCAAGTCACGATTGAAGCCCAGCCACCCAAAGTTTCTGAGGGGAAGGATGTTCTTCTACTTGTCCACAATTTGCCCCAGAATCTTGCTGGCTACATTTGGTACAAAGGGCAAATGACATACCTCTACCATTACATTACATCATATGTAGTAGACGGTCAAAGAATTATATATGGGCCTGCATACAGTGGAAGAGAAAGAGTATATTCCAATGCATCCCTGCTGATCCAGAATGTCACGCAGGAGGATGCAGGATCCTACACCTTACACATCATAAAGCGACGCGATGGGACTGGAGGAGTAACTGGACATTTCACCTTCACCTTACACCGTGAGTGATTCCACATGATCCCTGGGTGTTGGGGGACAGGGGTCACTTCTACTTCACACACACAGGATTCTCAGGCCTGGACTCTGCCTGTGTCCCTCTCTGCATTAAGTCCCATGCTGGGGTTTGGGCATTTAGTGCAGGACACACAGAGGAGACAAATTTCAACAGATCAGAATTCCTTTCCCGCATTCAGACCCTGCAGACACTCGCTGCAGAGGAAGGACAGTCTGATGGGGGGACTCAGCAGGAGGAGATCAGTCTCAGACAAGCACCTCATGCCCTCTTCATAAATTTGACGCTGACAAAGACCCTGGAGAACTGAGTAGGGCTGGCCTGAGGGGCCCCCTGAGATACTCTCAGAGCAGCTCAGCCCTAGAAGCCTCAACCCCAGACCTCTGTCCCTAAATCCTTGCTCCAGATAAAGCTGAGGAGCCTGTGCCAGTGCTGGGTTGTTCCTTCTTGGGCAGGCCTTACTGGGACCAAGAATTTACCAGCTGTCAGAGGACTGTGTCTCCTGGAGCTGTTCACCAGCCAGGGCTCAGCCCTCAGAGCCTCATCTGGGCAAGGACAGAGCTTTCTTCACCTGACACTCAGAGTGGAGAGGATAGAAAGACAAGCTTTGTAGGACATCGGCTTAGGAGAGTCCATAGAAAGTCTAATGTCCCCAGAAGCAGAAACAGAAGGAGAAGATGTACCTGGTAGCAGATTGTCCACAGGGATCTGATGTAAAGGTGTTTTCTCATGGAAGCAAATTAATAATAAATGCTGTTTGTGTGAAACCTCCACTGTGCCAAGCATTAGGTCAGGTGACTGTGAATCATTTAACATTTATTCACAGATAGCATGAAAAGCCACAGTCCATTTGCCATTTAGCTTATTTGATTGAGAGAAAACTGAGGCACAGGAAGGCACAGTCACTGAACCAGAGTCACACCAACACAAAGGGGAGATCGGGGTCACATGAGGTCTGTCTGCAGCCACAGGCCCTTCCTCTCCTCCACCAGAAGTGAGGGCTTACTGGGTTCCAAGCACCCCATAGTCATTTATTGGCTCAAATCCTCTCTTTTTAGGCATCCAAACCTCAGAGGAGTGAGAGCAAATGGTCAGCTGATTAGTCTGCACTCCAGAACTAAATCACCTGCCTCAACCATCAGAGTCAGTGCAAAAAATATGTCCAGGCCTCCCCCTCAGATCTTAACCCCCATCACTGAACTTGAAATCCTGTGTTTCCCAAAGTGCCCATGTCACTGTCATGAGAAGATCAAGGAGAGGACCTTGTTTTCTTTCCCCACTCACACCCTGCACCAGCACAGGCCCAGCGAGAGACACACACTCAGGAGCTCTCACATAACAAATGAAGGAATGGAATGAAGAAATGAATGATCCAAAACCTCTTTAGAGACTGGATGTTGGATGCAGAATCATAGGAGGTTCTAGCCACACCTGTCCCTTGTCCTTCAGAGGCTGACACCCACGTTTCATCCCCCCACTACCTCTTGCCCCTAAAGCCACCCCACCTCATGTAACTCTGAAGCTCTTTGGCCACCAGAGGGTTCTCTGGGCTCCTTGGTCCTGGACTGTGGAACTGGGGCACCTGGTCCCTGGGGTCTCTGAAGTCAGTGTAACCCTCACTGCTCACTGCCATGGTGTCTCTGCCTCTCTCTTCTTCTCTGTGTCCCTCATCTTCCTCCCACTTCATTCTGACTGGCAAGCCCTGTCCTGCACAGCTTCTTCCCCCACCCCTAGGCCTTCCCCAGACACTCCCTCTGACTAGTCTGGCTGTTCAGTTCCTTTCCCGCTAACACTGTGGCCTGGCCCACCTCCCAGGAAATAGGAAAGGTGCAGAAATCACCTGGAGTTGCCACTCCTGCCAGGCTTCATCTCGAGCCAATGTCCCCAGGTCACTAAGAGAATGAGCTTCTACTGTATTCCCTTCAAGGGCTCTTTCCCTTTGTGAGGCTGACCTGTGGACAAGACAATGGGACAGGGATAGGCAGTTCCTCCATCCACTCATAATTGCCAGACAAGTTCTTCTGGCCTTCTGCACACACACACACACACACACAAAATTATTGAAATGTTGGTTTCTAGTCAAGAAAGATTTTAACGACTCCAAGTCTGCCAAACAGGAGGCTGGAGGTTGATTAGTACTCAAATCAGCCTCCCCAGTGGAGCAGGGGTTAGAGATTTTCAAGGACAGTTTCAGGGTCACAGGACTAAAAATTGAGTACTGCTCATTTTTTGGTGATTGTTTGGTGATGGAATCATGCGGGCGGAGGGAAATGATCTGTTTGTGCTTGAATCTGCCTCTAGGTAGGGACCACATGACTGGCTGAGCCATTAGTCATAGGTATGAATGAGGTCAGCCGGTTGCCAGAATGCAAAAGAATGAGAAACATCTCAAAAGACCAGTCTCGCGTTCTACAATAGTGATGTTATCTATAGGAGCAATTAGTTACAAATTTTGTAAACTCTTGCCAAATGACACTGGAGCAGTCAGGGATTACATAAACTGTGCCTACATTTTAGCAGAATTCGGTTCCCTCCTATAATCTTAATCTCATGGTCTTTCACTAGTTTGACAAAGGCCGTCCCTGGGCAAAGTAAGGGTGTTAGTTTTATGGAGGAACTATTATCATTCCTGCTTCAAAGTCAAACCATAAACTAAATTCCTCCCAAGGTTAGCCTGGCCTATGCCCAGGAACGAGTGAGGACAGCCAGCCTGAGACTAGATGCCAGATGGACTCAGACATGCTAGTTTGCTGTCACTGCTGTAATCTTTGCACTGACTCACCAGGGTGTCAGAGGCTGGACAGGCCTGCAGTCCCCAAAGCACATGGACTCATTTCTCCTGTATCACTTGGGACTCCATCCTCAACCTGCTATGCAGCTCACATTCTCCTGTCACTTCCTAGAGACTTCTGGCTTCCTGTCAGGCATATAACAAGCTTAAAATTTGTGACTCCGTTCTAACACTAAGTAAAAAGTCAACAACTCATTAAAATCCCTCAGAGAAGGCTGTGCTCAGTGGCTCACGCCTATAATCCCAGGACTTTGGGAGGCCGAGGCAGGCACAAGGTCAGGAGATGGAGACCATCCTGGCTAACATGGTGAAACCCCGTCTCTACTAAAAATACAAAAAATTAGCCGGGCTTGGTGGCGGATGCCTGTAGTCCCAGCTACTTGGGAGGCTGAGGCAGGAGAATGGCATGAACCCAGGAGGTGGAGCTTGCAGTGAGCTGAGATCATGCCACTGCACTCCAGCCTGGGCAACAGAGCGAGACTCTGTCTCAGAAAAAAAATGCTGTTAGAGAAATGAAGAATGCTTTTGATGCTTACTGGTAGACTGCACACAGCTGAGGAAGGAACCCCCAGCTTGAGGATGTGTCAATAGAAACTTCCAAAACTGAAACAGGAAAGTTCAAAAAGGGTGGGGAAAAAAAAGTGGAACAACATATTCGCCTTCATATTTAATATTTTTTTTGACAATAGCAATTTTTAAATTTTGTAGTTGTGGGACAACTACAAAGGCTGTAACATACACATAATGGGAATACTGGTGGTGTTGCGGACCAGTTGGAGGTGACCAGGTGGGTGCTATCTGATGGTTTTACTGCCTGTGCCACATACAACTGTTTCCTCATGATGATGCCATTTTCATAAGTTGGATTTCTTCACGTGGGCAGACACACGAGCCATTGGCATCTCACTTAGACTCTTCCTATTTCACACAAACTTAAACTTTAGTGGTATTTCCTGAGCTTAACAGAAAATGAAGAAAGCATTCCACATACCTGTTTTGGGGTCCTCCCCATTTTTCCTAACTCTGCACAGAAATTAGAAGCAGGGAGTTCTTTCTATATTTACTAACATAACACACATCACTTCTTTTAATTTGGCATCCTTCCTCCCTTTATGTAATTGACGCACTGACCAGTTCTGTCCTTTTAATGGGACTCTCTCTACTTAAGGAGCTGCTAATTTCCAATCACCTTTGGCATCTTTCTTTGAGCATAATGTGATCCTGCTGGAATTCACGGCACACCTAAACCTTATTTTGGTCTCAAGAGAAATACTACTACCAGCAATTGATCTTCGATGTCTGGATCATCAGTAAAAGTTTCCACTTATGAAAACATTTTAATGTTTCCTCCAAATTTTTTTTTGTTACTAGAGTCAGAACACAACATGAGGTCTAAATTCCTGACAACTTTTTACGGGAAAATTACAGTATTACAAATTGAGCATCCCAAATCCAGAAATCCACAATCTGAAATGCTCAAAACTCAACCCTTCTGACCACTGATGTGATGCTAAAAAGAAGTGCTCACTGGCGCATTGTGGATTTTAAATTTTTCAGATTTGGGATGCTAAACCAGTACATGTACTGCAAATATTCCAAAATAAAAAAATTAGAAATCGAAAACACTTTGTTTTAACCTTTCTGCATAAGGAGCACTTTATCTGTATGAACTATAGGCATGAAGCTGTACAGGAGATCTCTAGAACCTCCTCATCCTGCATAACTGAAAATGCACAACCATGGAACAACACCCTATTCCCCTGATCCCAACTCCTGCAAACTACTATTCTACTCTCTGATTCACTCTGGAATCCACTTATATGAGGTACATAGAGTAGTCAAACTCAGAATCAGAGAGTAGAATGTCTAATGAGAGAAAGTATCTGCAAGACTTCTTCCCAAATATTGGTCTAATATCCACCAAACGCATATGGTCCATGAGGGCCAGACTTCCATCATCTGTTCATGTTCGCCCTTTCCACCAGTCAGTTCTGCATTTGCAAACATCCACATGTATTTCTAGAAAGATCCACATGGTCCTCACCTGCCCTCTACAGGGGGAAGCGAGCATCATGGACCCAGAACACGGAACATGGTCTTGGTCCAAAGCTATCAGCTCTTGCCTGTCCCCTTCACTCTTTGTAGGTCATTCCTTGGACTCTGCTCTATCTTTAGAGGTCACTGGCTCAAGTCAGTCACCATGAGACACCTGGGAAAACTGCGCCACCTTGTGGCTCCACTGCCTGATGACTGAACTGACCTCCAGGCTTGACTCTGGTCTCCCCTGTGTTATTTATGCTGAAGTACCCAGTCCCAGGTCAGGCTTTCCAGTACCCAAAGGGTTTAAGGACAATGGGAAGTTCCATCATCCATCTCTAGGATGTCCTTGGAAAGGGAAGCTGCAGAGAAAACATACCTCGGGGGGCAAAGTAAGACTGAAACTAAGAAGATTCCAGCACTGCATGCTCCAAGTGAGGACCACAAGGTGGGTCAGGCAGGCAGTTGGAGACGGAGGAACTCAGAGAGGCATCGGGTCTGTGACTGCTGGTCCTGTGTCTTTCCATGACCCAATGCTGCTGCTCAATTCACACCTAAGAAAGTCTGTGCTTCTCCCACATAAAGCAGGCAGCCTCACAATCTCTGAGCTCTCAGATTGCCATGCATCTGTCTTTAACACACACATCTTCCATGGGCTTTTAAGGACTTGGGTGGGCTGAGAGGTGGGAAATGCCAACTCTGATTGAAAAATGCCTTTGGAAGAATCAAAGATGCCACACAGGGCAAACCTCTCTCTGTTTTCTGCACAGTGGAGACTCCCAAGCCCTCCATCTCCAGCAGCAACTTAAATCCCAGGGAGGCCATGGAGGCTGTGATCTTAACCTGTGATCCTGCGACTCCAGCCGCAAGCTACCAGTGGTGGATGAATGGTCAGAGCCTCCCTATGACTCACAGGTTGCAGCTGTCCAAAACCAACAGGACCCTCTTTATATTTGGTGTCACAAAGTATATTGCAGGACCCTATGAATGTGAAATACGGAACCCAGTGAGTGCCAGCCGCAGTGACCCAGTCACCCTGAATCTCCTCCGTGAGTATCCTCTGTTCCTCTGTGAGCCAGGCTGCCATCCCAAATACACATGGCCAGAGGCCAGGCCTCTCAGTCCCTCTCAGGTCCAAGTACAGAGACCTTTACCCCTAGACATCAAAGCTGGCCATGACTTTCTGCCCCAGGCAAACCAGAGTAGGCCTAGGCTTGATCCACAATAGGAGAAAAGAGGCTGCTCCTGTCATGGGAGACTCAGGTTCCACAGCTTGTGATGGGAGAAACAGGTGAAGGTCTCAGGCTCCAGATCAGTGAACACAGCGGGGATTTGGCTGGGACTTCAGTGTTGCGACTTGGCTCACAGGGTCACTGTGGCCCTTCCACAGACCAGGATTTTCCCTTCCCTCTGACAATGTCACCTGTGACTTTATTCTCTTTGCTCCAGATGGCCTGGATGCCCCCACCATTTCTTCCTCATACACCTATTACCATACAGGGGAATTCCCCAATCTCTCCTGCCTCACAGACTCTCACCCACTGGCAGAGCATTCTTGGCTGATTGATGGGAAGTTCCAGCAATCAGCACAAGTGTGCTTTATCCCCCAAATCACTAAAACATATAGAGGGGTTTAGGTCTGTTTCATCCATAACTCAGCCACTGATGGAACAAATCTCATAATCAAGAGGATCATAGTGCCTGGTAAGTGGATCCCTGGAGCATTGGCAATATGTTTTCCAGTGAAGTCTATCTAGCTATCAGGGAAAAGCCACCTGCCCTCTGCAAAGGGAGAGGGAAAATCAAAAACCCAGCACAGGGAATATGTTTCTGCTCCAAAACCACCAGCTTTTGCCTGTCCCCTTCACTCTTTCTAGGTCATTCTTTAGACTATACACTAACAATGAACAATCTGAAAGGAAATTAAGGAAATAATTTCAATTCACATTAACATCAAAAGGAATAAAATATTTTGGAGTAAGTTTAATCAAAAAGGTCAAATGATTATATCCTGAAAACTACAAAACATTGCTGAAAGAAATTAAAGACGATATCAATATATGGAAAGACATTTCATTTTCATGGATTGGAAGAATCAATATTGTTAGAAAGACAATACTACCCAAAGTTAGTTGCAGATTCAATGCAACCCCTACCAGAATCCCAGTAACATTTTTTTGCAGAATTATAAAACTCTGTCCTAAATCTGACCTGACAGGCTCTTATTAATGACTGCCACAACAGAAACACTGAGAAAAAGAGGCAACCATGAAAACGTGGAAAGTTCTGACGACAGAAAATAGCAATCAGCCTTTCTCACATCCCAAAGCTTTAAAAAATATATGAGTGCAGCATGGCCAGTATGGAATTGACCAAAAACTAATCATCAAGCTAGAAACGTGGTGAGAGAAAAAAAAAGGGCAAGAATATCTTTGGCTTATCACCTCCCACTTTTGCCTACTAATCTGATGCTGAAAAGAAATGCTCACTGAAGCATTTTAGATTTTGAATCTTTCAGATTTGGGATGCTAAACCAGTAAGCATATGACAAATATTTCAGAATAAAAAAATGTCAGAAATCCAAAACACTTTTTGTTCTAAGTCTTATGCATAATACTCAATCTGTGTGAATTATAGGCATCAAGCTCTACAGCAGATCTCCAGAACCTCCCCACCTTGCATAACTGAAACTGCACACCCATGAACAACTTCTGATTCTCCCCACTCCCAGCTCCTGGCAAACAGCAGTCTCTTCTCATATTCACTCTGGAATCCACTTACATGAGGTCCCTAGAGTAGTCGAACCCAGGGAATCAGAGAGTAGAATGTCCAATGAAAGAAAATATTTGCAAAACTTCTCTCCAAATTTGTCTCATATCCATCAAACACACATGGTCCATGAGGACCAGATTTCCAGCAGTTCATTCCCACACTTTCCACCAGTCAGTTCTGCTTTTGCAAATGTCCATATGTATTTCTGGAAAGATCCACATGGTCCTCACCTGCCCTCTGCAGAAGGAGAGGAAACTTAAAGAACCCAGGACAGGGAACATGGTTCTGCTCCAAAGCCACCAGCTCTTGCCTGTCCCCTTGACTCCTTCTAGATCATTCCTTGCACTCTGCTCTATCTTTAGAGGTCACTGGTTCAAGTAAGTCATCATGAAACACCTGCAAAACACTGCCCCACTTTCTGCCTCCACTGGCTGATGACTGAACTGACCTCCAGGCTTGACTCTGGTCTCTCCTGTGTTATTTCTGCTGAAACATCCAGTCCCAGGCCAGACTGCTCAGTATCTTCAGGGTTTCAGGACAATGGGAAGTCCCATTATTACTCATCTCTAGAATGTCCTTGAAATGGAAGCTGCAGAGAAATCTCATCTAGGGGGGCAAAGGAGGATGGAATTTGGAAGGGGCCCAGTAGTTGCACATTCCAGGTAAGGAACCCAAGGTGAGCCAGCAAGTTAACTGATTAGGGAGGGACTGGGAGGGGTACAAGGGGCTGTGACTCCCACTGATATGTCTGTCCATGACCCAACACTGCTGCTCAATTGACACTTGAGAAAGTCTGTGCCTCCCTAAAACAGAGCAGGTGGCCTCACAGTCTTTGAGCCCTTAGATCATCATGCATCTATCTTGTGACAGAAGCACCAGCTATTGGCTTTCAAGGACTCGGGTGGGCTGAGAGGTGGGAGATGCCAACTCTGATTGAAGTATGCCTGTGGAGGAATCAAAGGTGCCACACAGGACAATCTTCTCTCTGTTATCCACACAGCAAAGCTGTCCAAGCCCTACATCACAATCAACAACTTAAACCCCAGAGAGAATAAGGATGTCTTAACCTTCACCTGTGAACCTAAGAGTAAGAACTACACCTACATTTGGTGGCTAAATGGTCAGAGCCTCCCTGTCAGTCCCAGGGTAAAGCGACCCATTGAAAACAGGATCCTCATTCTACCCAATGTCACGAGAAATGAAACAGGACCTTATCAATGTGAAATACGGGACCGATATGGTGGCATCCGCAGTGACCCAGTCACCCTGAATGTCCTCTGTGAGTATCTTTTGTTCCTCTGTGGGCCAGGACACCAGCTTAAATCCAAACCACCAGAGGCCAGGTCTCTCAGTCTCTCTCCAGTCCAAGTATAGACACCTTTACTTCTGGACATCCGAGGTGGCCATGACTCCCTGCCCTGGGAAAACCTAGGTAGGCACAGCCTTAACCAAGAATATAAGGGGAGGGGACGCTCTTGTCATGGGAGACTTGGGGCCTAAAACTTGTGATGGGAGAAACAGGTGAATACCTCAGGCTTCGGCTCAGTGAACATAGAGGGAGTTTGGCTGGGACTTGAAGGTGTGTCTTGGCTTAGAGGGTAACTGTGTCCCTTTAAGAGACCAGGAACATCCCCTTCCCTCGGATGACATCACCTATGGCTTTATTCTCTTTGCGCCAGATGGTCCAGACCTCCCCAGCATTTACCCTTCATTCACCTATTACCGTTCAGGAGAAAACCTCTACTTGTCCTGCTTCGCCGAGTCTAACCCACGGGCACAATATTCTTGGACAATTAATGGGAAGTTTCAGCTATCAGGACAAAAGCTCTCTATCCCCCAAATAACTACAAAGCATAGTGGGCTCTATGCTTGCTCTGTTCGTAACTCAGCCACTGGCAAGGAAAGCTCCAAATCCATCACAGTCAAAGTCTCTGGTAAGTGGATCCCAGCATCCTTGGCAATAGGGATTTAGGTGGAGTCTATCTGGCATTCAGGGAAGAGTGAGGAAAACATTTTTATTCCCAGCCTGTGTCCCATGGGCACAAGCAAATCCCAAATTCTACTCCTGAACACTCCCAATTTGTCTAAGAACTTCCAAAACTTTAACAAACAGGCTGATATCTTCTTAAAATTCCCAGCCTAGACCAAGCAGGAGAAACATTGATTTCATTGAAATAATTGACAATATTGAGGATAATATTTTTATGATTTTTATTTGAAAATTTGCTGATTCTTTAAATGGTTTGTTTTCTAGATTTATGGAATTTTTTTCTTTTAATCTATCTATAGCTTGTAGCAGTTCAATAAACTATACTTCTGGGAACCGTAATTGAAACATTTACTTTTGCTCTCTACCTGACTGCCCCAGAATTGGGCAACTATTCATGAGTATTGATATGTTTATGGTAATACACATATTTGCACAAGTACAGTAACAATCTGCTCTCTTTGTAACAGGACACATTTCAAATCATTGGTTATATTACCAAGGCTTTGACTGGGATGTTATATTCAAGAATATAGATAGAATGAACCAATATGAACTGCAGGCAAAGTCTGAAGTCAGCCTTGGTTTGGCTTCCTATTCTCAAGGGTTTTGTAAAAGTTTAATCTGAGAGTCCTTATAAAAACTTAGAGCAAATAAAATTCTAAAAGAGCGCCTACATGGTCTATTGCTACTCTTGCTGCACTTATGTAAAGAATCAGACCACGTTTGAAGAAACTCAACCTATTTTGCAAACAAACTTATTCTACTGAAATTATCATTGGTAAAACTAGAGATGCCCATAGAGAGAAAAATTATGTGGAAAATAAAAACTGTAGTACACCGGTTATGAGATTGCAGCTCTGTTCATTGTTTCTGTGTTTTTATTATCCACCTGTAGACTGGATATTACCCTGAATTCTACTAGTTCCTCCAATTCCATTTTCTCCCATGGAATCACGAAGAGCAAGACCCACTCTGTTCCAGAAGCCCTATAAGCTGGAGGTGGACAACTCGATGTAAATTTCATGGGAAAACCCTTGTACCTGACATGTGAGCCACTCAGAACTCACCAAAATGTTCGACACCATAACAACAGCTACTCAAACTGTAAACCAGGATAACAAGTTGATGACTTCACACTGTGGACAGTTTTTCCAAAGATGTCAGAACAAGACTCCCCATCATGATAAGGCTCCCACCCCTCTTAACCGTCCTTGCTCATGCCTGCCTCTTTCACTTGGCAGGATAATGCAGTCATTAGAATTTCACATGTAGTAGCTTCTGAGGGTAACAACAGAGTGTCAGATATGTCATCTCAACCTCAAACTTTTACGTAACATCTCAGGGGAAATGTGGCTCTCTCCATCTTGCATACAGGGCTCCCAATAGAAATGAACACAGAGATATTGCCTGTGTGTTTGCAGAGAAGATGGTTTCTATAAAGAGTAGGAAAGCTGAAATTATAGTAGAGTCTCCTTTAAATGCACATTGTGTGGATGGCTCTCACCATTTCCTAAGAGATACAGTGTAAAACGTGACAGTAATACTGATTCTAGCAGAATAAAACATGTACCACATTTGCTAATACTGTTCTCTTAAAATAATTTTAAAAGAATGGGGTGGGCCCTCCCATGTGTCCAGGCCAGGTCTCTGAACAGAATCCTCCATCTGCAGTAACAATGCCTAAGAAGATGACATGGACTTGGTCCTGATATGCAGCCATTCCTGTATACCCTTCCCCTGCTGCAGGGCTGTACTAGCCCAGGGCCCAAATCTTCAGCTGCAGAGCTGAGAGAGAACATGGGATACCCAGCATCCCTTACCTTCTTCCAGTTCACTGCAGTGGCTACCGGCATGGCCCATTTATCCCTGAGGACACCCATCTGCTGACCCACAGTTTCTAAGAGTCAGACTTTCCTGGCTTCTCTGAGTCCCAGCTACTTTCACTCTGCTGAATCCTTCTTCTCCCCACAGGTGTCATTGACTTAGCAGACACCTCTTTCAGCTGCAGCTAACAGGTAAGCCAAGACCCAGACCCCAGAGAATAAACAAGGATTTCAAAACCTACTGTGTCCAACGGAGATGCCCACTTGTGGGCGGCAAGCCACCCAGGTGCCGAGGCAAGAGACCGAGGGCACGAGCTTTTCCAGTATAATAAAATATAAAAGGAGAATAGTTATACCAGATATAGATCTTAGATATGATTATATAGGAATATCATTAATCATTAGTTGGTAGCAATTACTCTTTATTCCAATATTATAATAATCCTCGCTCTATGATTATAACCTAGGAAAAGCCAGGTCATAAATAGATAGGAGCTGGGGAGACATAGTGAGAAGTGACCAGAAGACAAGATTGCGAGCCTTCTGTTATGCCCAGACAGGGCCACTAGAGGGCTCCTGGTCTAGTGGTAATACCAGCGTCTGGGAAGACACCTGTTGCCAAGTGGACCATGGACTAGAGGTACCCTCAGTGTCAAGGAAAAACACCCACTACTTAGCAGACCGGGAAAGGGAGTCTCCCTTTCCCCGGGGGAGTTTAGAGAAGACTCTACTTCTCCATCTCTTGTGGAGGGCCTGATGTTAGTGAGGTCCAACCACAGTTATCCGGAGGCCTAACCGTCTCCCTGTGATGCTGTGCTTCAGTGGTCACACTCCTAGTCTGCCTTCATGTTCCATCCTGTACAGCTGGCTCTGCTGTTTAGTTAGCAGTAGCAAATTAGTGAAAGTACTAAAAGTCTCTAATAAGCAGAAATAATGCTGTAAGCTCTTTCTCCTCTCTCTCTCTGCCTCAGCTGCCAAACAGAGAAGGGCCCCCTGTCCAGTGGACACGTGACCCATGTGGTCTCACCTATCATTGGAGATGGCTCACACTCCTTATCCTGCCCCTTTGTCTTGTATACAATAAATATCAGCGCAGCCTGGCATTCGTGGCCACTACCGTTCTCCACGTCTTGGTGGTAGTGGTTCCCTGGGCCCAATTGTCTTTTCTTTTATCTCTTTGTCTTGTGTCTTCATTTCTACAATCTCTCATCTCTGTACATGTGGAGAAAAACCCACCGACCCTGTGGGGCTGGTCCCTACACCCACTGTACAGAGACATAAATAAGTAGAGATGTATACAACTCCCCAACAACACGGTGTCCTAAAACAATGTTCCCTTCCCCCCTCATCGTGGAATTTACTGTCTCTCACCACATGGGCAAGTGCTTCCAGGGTCTCACAATTCTTCCACAAGAGGCAATGCACACTTTAACATAGCACTTCAGCAAATAAAGTGGTGACAGTTTACCTACTTAGAATAAGTTTCTTGAAGGTTCTCCCAAATTTCCCCCTGAAGAAGACAGAAAAGGCTTTCCCAATTGTGAAACACTGGCCTTCCCACCTTTCAAAAAGGACCACTGAATAGCCAAAACAATCTTGCCGAAATAAATTGTAGGACTTGAACTTTCTTATTTGAAAACTGACAAAGTAGTACAATTATTAAAACAGAAGCTGCTGGCAAAAGATAGACATAAAGACAAATGGGATAGAATTGAGAGTCTAGAAATAAACCCTGACACTTATGGTCAATTACTCTTTGAAGGAGGTATCAAGACAATTTAATGGAGGAACAATTCTCCTTTCAAATGATAGTGCAGAAACAACTAGATAACCACATGCAAAACAGTTAATTTAGATAATTCTACCTCCCACGATATCAAACCATTCTCTAAAAAATTGATCACTGAGTTAAATATAAGACCTATAACCATAAAAACATCTTAAAATAAACATAGACGTAAGTATTGATGATCTCAAATGTGCAGTGGATTCTTAGATATGATACAAAAGCATGAGAAACAAGAAAAAAAGATAAATTGGGCTTTATCAAGATGTAAGCCTTTTGTACATCAAAGGAAATTATCAAGAAAATAATTAATAGGCACAGAATGAGAGAAAATATCTGCAAACCACATATAGGCAGTTTTCATGTCCAGATAATATCAAGAACTAGCTACAACTCAATAACAAAAGGACAAACCATCCAATTTATAAATGGGCAAAAGACTCAAATAGACATTTCTTCAAAGAAGATATACAAATAGTCAAGAAGGACATGAAAAGATACTCAACATCATTAGTCATTAGGAAAATACAACGTCAAAGCTACAATGAGACACCAATCACACCTACAAAACTGGCTACCATTCTTTTACAATGTTAAATAACAAGTAGCAGCATTATGTAGAATTTCGAATCCTCATATATTGCTGGTGAGAATATAAAAATGTACAGCCACTAGGAGAAACAGTTTTCCTGTTCCTCAAAAAGCTAATCATAGAATTCTCATTTGAAACAACATCCATTCCTAGGTATATACCCAAAAAATTAAATCCAGGGACTCAAACAGGTACTTGCATAGGAATGTTGATTGCAGCATTATTCACAAAAGATAAAATATGAAAACAATCCAAGTGTTCATCAACACATGAATAAATAAATATGGTGACACATACAACAGAATGTTAATCTGCCATAAAGAGGAATGAAGCTCTGACACCCGCTGGAACATGCATGGACTTTGGAAACATTATGCTAAGTGAAATATGTCAGAAACAAAATAACACCATTGTATAATTCCATTTATATGAACCATTAAGAATAGGCAAATTCATAGAGACAGAGTAGAGATGATCAAAGTCTAGGGTGGAACATACAGGGAGTTATTGTTTAAAAGATACAAAGTTTCAGTTTAAAATGATAAAAATTTTCTAGGAAAAATACTGGTGATGGTAATTTAACACTGTGTATGTGGTTAATTTCACTTGATTGTTTATTTTAAAGTGGTTAAAATAGCACATTATTCACAGAACTGTGAAAAATAGATTTCTATTATTTAATTCACCCAGGCTAAGGTGTTTGTTATGGCAGCTGAAGCCCATGAATACATCATCTGACCCAGTGTTTTCAATGAAAGGCATCAGTTTTCAATCAAGTTAGCTGGAAGCTCCTGTCCCCAGCAGAACCAGAGGCCCCAAAACAAGAGCTCCAGCAGGGGCTCAGCCAGCACAGGTCCCATAAGGCAGCCTCAATGTCAGGCCCTGGATGGCATGTGAGGCAACAGCAATACAACCACAATGTGAAATTGTAAGATTTTTACTACTTACAGACACTGGGGAGCACTTGGCACACCTGGAGACCACAGACACAGAGGTCAGTGAGCCCAGGCAGGGAGGAGAGAAGAGACCTGTAAGCGAATGGCTTTATTAAGTCCAGGGTGTTATCTGACAGGTTTCCAGCAGGGAGCTTTAATGGATGTGTTCAAAGCAAGCAGCAAACACTGGGACCAGGAGCTCACGCTGTGACTGAGAGGTGGTCACTTTAAATGTGAGGGCGAATGTCAGAATTATCAGTTTAAGGAAAGCAGCTGGAGAGACGGGAGCCCAGCACACCAAGCAGCAGAGATGCCTCTAAGATTTTATCTCTGGACACCAACTGGAGCCACCTGAACCAGATACAGTATTGAAAACTGCCATGGTGACCAAGCCCTGCCTCTGATTTGAGGCAAATAAACTTACACCTTATAAAAATGAATGCCAAGGCAACATGACACTATGAGCATCATGACATCCAGGGACACCAGCAGGGTGTGGTACTGTGCCCTGGAGTCAGAATCCTGGGTTCTGGTCCCTGGGAGTGAGAAAATGAAAATGACTTGTCCCTGCCCCCCTGATATTGGTCTTCCCATCCTGCTGCTCCCTCTTCTGCTCCCAAGCCCAACTGCAGTGCTCAGCCCCAGACATCACTGCCCCCAGGGTATACACAGTGCTGCCTACTGCACACAAACACAAACTCACAGAAGGTGACAAAAATCTGCATTTGGGACATCTGATTGTGAAAGAGGGAGAACAGTGAACGTAGAGCCACACAGACTGGGACTCACGGGGCTGGAAGGTGAAGGAGCTGTAACATAACGTAAGTGTGACCTCGTGTGAAGTGTGCAGATCCATGTGGAATAAAACATGCAGCCTGGCCTGGGATTGCTGCCGTTCACACTTCCCTCCCTGTCCACCAGAGGACGACAGAGTCCCTCCCAGCCTGGAGCCTTCCCAGGGGATGCCAACGTCCCTCATTAGAACCCACAGCCCAGAAGGGTCCACCCTCACCAGGGTCAATTCGGCCCAAGTCCTCAGCGCCCTCCATGCTCCCCACATGGACTCTGTCAGCTCCTCTCTGACCTGGCGGCCGCCAACCTAACACCACTCCCTCTGTAGGTAGCTCCAGCCCCACACACCTGCTCCTTCCCTGGGCCCAGCTAAAGGCATCTCCCAGGGCAGCGCTGGTGCACGCGACGCCACGCTGAGCTCTTTCCCCTCGTGACCTCCCTCCATCCTCATCAACTCTTTCTGTCACTGCTCCCTAAATGCCCGCCCCTGCTCCATCTGTCCTGTTCTCTGGGGCATCCCAGGCCAAGCCTAGTGTTGACACAGAACAGTGGCTGCCTGAGGGCCCACAGCCTCCCCGGGAATAAGCCAGGCACCCTGTGTCCTGCCTGCCTGCTGCAGCCCAGGGGGCGCAGAGAGCGTGTGATGGTCACACACAGGCACCATCCGGGATGTGGCCACCTGCCACCAGCTGTCCCTTGGGAAGACAGACCTCTCTTGTGTGCTTGCGGGGAGATGAGGGGTGTTATTGCTCTTTGCTCTCAGAACACAACTCACCCCCACCCGCCCTCTCAGGTGTGAGCAACGTCCCTCCAGACAGGATCTCTGGCCAATGCCTGTTCCTCCTCTACAGAGAGCAGCTTGGCCAGGTCAAAACCCTCAGGACAGACCCCTGGGTATGTCAGCACATGGAGGGCTGAGCCCATCATGGCCACGGAGTAAGTCGGGATGAATCTCTCCAGCTCTGAACCCCTGCTCTGTCCCAGGCTCCCCCTCCTGCGTCTCAACGAGCCATGTCCCGCGGGGTTCCTGGGTAACTCCCCACTTCCTCCTGCACCACAACGGGGAAGGTGTGGTGACCCCAGGACAGTCAGCTGGGCAGAGAAGAGAGGACATCAAAGATGGTCAGGGAGAACATGAGAAACCCTGAGCTCCAGCTCAGCTGCCAGACCCCAGGGAGCCATAGAGTGATGAAGAACTGTCCTCTTGACTCTGGGACTCACAGCCCCCACTGAGCAACCAGCACAGGCCTCTCCTCCCAAGAGGCATGAGAGATTCACCCTGCACACCTCCAGGAAGGACAGTTTCCTCTGGGACACCCAGGTCCTGAAGGTCCATCCTTGGAAGCTGCAGCCAAGCTAGACACGATTAGAGAAAGGAAGGGTCCCTCTCACCAGGCAACACACAGCTCACCCACAGCACAATGGGGTGTCACTGTGACAGGGACCCGTTGCAGCTTCAGCCTCCTGCACTGAAGGGGAGAGCCAGATGGGGATGAAAGAGGGCAAAGGGCGTGAATGTGCATCCCGACCCAGAGCCATGGGGACAGCAGGAGGCTGAGGCCCAGGACTCTGCTTGCCCAACCTGCGGGGTATGTGTGTGACTGTGTGGGTCTGTGTGTGTCTCTTCTGTGTGTGTGTGTCTGCACAAAGTGTGGTTGAGGTTTGGTGAAAGAATCACTGCTGAAAAATGCAGAGGCCTCCACAATTCCCAGGGACCTGAAACACAGACAAAAGGAAAAACAGAAGGAGGGACAAGGAGGCAGGACTGAGAGAGGAGGGGACAGAGAGGTGTCCTGGGCCTGACCCCACCCATGAGCCTGAGAAGTGCTCCTGCCCTGGAGAGAGGCTCAGCACAGAAGGAGGAAGGACAGCACAGCCTACAGCCGTGCTCAGGAAGTTTCTGGATCCTAGGCTCAGCTCCACAGAGGAGAACACGCAGGCGCAGAGACCATGGGGCCCCTCTCAGCCCCTCCCTGCACACAGCACATCACCTGGAAGGGGCTCCTGCTCACAGGTGAGGAGAGAACTTCCTGGGAGAGGACAGGAGGAGGAAGAAGAGTGACTGGATTGGGTCTCCTGGAGAGGATGGGGTTCTAAAAAATAAAAGAAGCCAGCACTTTGGGAGGATGAGGTGGGTGGATTATGAGATCAGGAGTTCAAGGTCAGTCCTGCCAACACAGTGAAGCCCTGTCTCTACTAAAAATACAAAAAATTAACCAGGTATGGTGGTGTGCTCTTGGAATCCTAGCTACTCTGGAGGCTGAGGCAGGAAAATCACATGAACCCGGGAGGCAGAAGTTGCAGCGAGCCGAGATAGCACCACTGCACGCCAGCCTGGGTGACAGTACGAGACTCTGTCTCAAAAAAATAAAAAGAAAAAAAAGAAAAAAGAAAAAAAAGGAAAGAAGTCTCTGTTGGAGCCTGGATAGGGTAAAATACACCAGAGAGGGACAGAGGTCAAAACTGGAAAGTCATATTGAACCGGAATTGGTAAGAGGGCCACGACATTTTGAAAAATGATAATAATAACTATATCAGATGACACTTCTAATAAAAGTATAAGCAGGACATGAAACACTGTCCTCAGCAAAATCCTCAACAATTGGGGGAAAATAAAACACCAAGGGTGTGGAGGGCCCTGAGAACTCTCACATCTGCAGGAGTCTGCAGCCTGTTCCAGGCACTGGGGTGCAACCAAGATCACAAAAGTCCCTGTCCTCACAGAGCTCACGCTGTCATGGGGAGGAAGACAGACATGCAAAGAGATCTAGAATGTGAGGTCAGGTGTTGACAAGAACCCTGGAGGGAGCAGAGCAGGGAAAGGTCAGAAAGGGAAGACCCAGGGTCTCTGAAGGACGTGTCAGGAAAGAAGTCTAAGGATGCCCTGATGTGAGCAGGACCTGAGGGCAGTGTGGGGGGGGGGGGGTGCCGTGTGGACCCCTGGGGAAGAGGATTCCATACAAAAATGCCAAGGTCAGAAGTGTTGAAGGAATAGGGGTCACGCTGCTGACCTTGACCTAGTAGGACAGTAGGACACACACACATACACACACACAAACTAACATGCACCTTTTGTGTGTGTGTGTGTTTGTGTGTGTGTGTGTCTTCAAGGCTGAGGATTGAAGAGACCTTCTCAGGACCCAGGGCTCCATCTTTTCACCCCAATACACAGGTCTCAATATTGACTGGTGCTTTCTCCACCTCCTAGCATCACTTTTAAACTTCTGGAACCTGCCTATCACTGCTCAAGTCACGATTGAAGCCCTGCCACCCAAAGTTTCCGAGGGGAAGGATGTTCTTCTACTTGTCCACAATTTGCCTCAGAATCTTGCTGGCTACATCTGGTACAAAGGACAACTGATGGACCTCTACCATTACATTACATCATATGTAGTAGACGGTCAAATAAATATATATGGGCCTGCATACACTGGACGAGAAACAGTATATTCCAATGCATCCCTGCTGATCCAGAATGTCACCCGGGAAGACGCAGGATCCTACACCTTACACATCATAAAGCGAGGTGATAGGACTAGAGGAGTAACTGGATATTTCACCTTCAACTTATACCGTGAGTGATTCCACATGATCCCTGGGTGTTGGGGGACAGGGGTCATTTCTACTTCACACACACAGGATTGTCAGGCCTGCACTGTGCCTGTGTCCCTCTCTGCATTATGTCCCATGCTGCGGTTTGGGCATTTAGTGCAGGACACACACAGAGGAGACAAATTTCAACAGATCAGAATTCCTTTCCCGCATCCAGACCCTGCAGACACTCGCTGCAGAGGAAGGACAGTCTGATGGGGGGACTCAGCAGGAGGAGATCAGTCTCAGCCAAGCACCTCATGCCCTCTTCATAAATTTGACCCTGAGAAAGACCCTGGAGAACTGAGTAGGGCTTTGGCCTGAGGGGCCCCCTGAGACCCTCAGAGAAGCTCAGCCCTAGAAGCCTCAACCCCAGACCTCTGTCCCTAAATCCTTGCTCCAGTTAAGCTGAGGAGCCTGTGCCAGTGCTGGGTTGTGGCTTATTGGGCAGGCCTTACTGGGACCAAGAATTTACCAGCTGTCTGAGGACTGTGTCTCCTGGAGCTGCTCACCAGCCAGGGCTCAGCCCTCAGAGCCTCATCTGGGCAAAGACAGAGCTTTCTTCACCTGACACTCAGAGTGGAGAGGACAGAAAGACAAGCTTTGTAGGACATCAGCCAACTGCTTTAGGAGGCTTAGGACAGTCCATAGAAAGTCTAATGTCCCCAGAAGCATAAACAGAAGGGAGAAGATGTACCTGGTAGCAGCTTGTCCACAGGGATCTGACGTAAAGGTGCTTTCTCATGGAAGCAAATTAATAATAAATGCTGTTTGTGTGAAACCTCCACTGTGCCAAGCATTAGGTCAGGTGACTGAATCATTTAACATTTATTCACAGTAGCATGAAAATCCACAGTCCATTTGCCACTTAGCTTATTTGATTGAGAGAAAACTGAGGCACAGGAAGGCACAGTCACTGAACCAGAGTCACACAAACCCAAAGGGGGAGATCAGGGTCACATGAGGTCTGTCTGCAGCCACAGGCCCATCTTCTCCACCAGAAGTGAGGGCTTACTGGGTTCCAAGGACCCCATAGTCATTTATTGGCTCAAATCCTCTCTTCTTAGGCTTCTAAACCTCAGAGGAGTGAGAGCAAATGGTCAGCTGATTAGTCTGCACTCCAGAACTAAATCAACTGCCTCAACCGTCAGAGTCAGTGCAAAAAATATGTCCAGGCCTCCCCCTCAGATCTTAACCCCCATCACTGAACCTGAAATCCTGTGTTTCCCAAAGTGCCCATGTCACTGTCATGAAAGGATCAAGGAGAGGACTTTGTTTTCTTTCCCCACTCAGACCCTGCTCCAGCACAGGCCCAGCGAGAGACACACACTCAGGAGCTCTCACATAACAAATGAAGGAATGGAATGAAGAAATGAATGATCCAAAACCTCTTTAGAGACTGGATGTTGGATGCAGAATCCTAGGAGGTTCTAGCCACACCTGTCCCTTGTCCTTCAGAGGCTGACATCCATGTTTCATCCCCCCACTACCTCTTGCCCCTAAAGCCACCCCACCTCATGCAACTCTGAAGCTCTTTGGCCACCAGAGGATTCTCAGGGCTCCTTTGTCCTGGACTGTGGAACTGGGGGCAGCTGGTCCCTGGGGTCTCTGAAGTCAGTGTCTCCCTCACTGCTCACTGCCATGGTGTCTCTGCCTCTGCTTCTCTGTGTCCCTCATCTTCCTCCCACTTCATTCTGACTGGCAAGCCCTGTCCTGCACAGCTTCTTCCCCCACCCCTAGGCCTTCCCCAGACACTCCCTCTAACTAGGCTGGCTGTTCTGTTCCCTTCCCGCTAACACTGTGGCCTGGCCCACCTCCCAGGAAATAGGAAAGGTGCAGAAATCACCTGGAGTTGCCACTCCTGCCAGGCTTCATCTCGAGCCAATGTTCCCAGGTCACTAAGAGAATGAGCTTCCACTGTATTCCCATCCAGGGCTCTTTCCCTTTGTGAGGCTGACCTGTGGACAAGACAATGGGACAGGGATAGGCAGTTCCTCCATCCATTCATAATTGCCAGGCAAGATCTTCTGGCCTCCTGCACAAAAAAAAAAAAAAAAAATTATTGAAATGTTGGTTTCTAGTCAAGAAAGATTTTAACGACTCCAAGTCTGCCAAACAGGAGGACAGAGGTTTATTATTACTCAAATCAGCCTCCCCAGTGGATCAGGGGTTAGAGATTTTCAAGGATAGTTTCAGGGGCACAGGACTAAAAAATGAGTACTGCTGATTATTTGGTGATGGAATCATGTGGGCAGAGGGAAATGATCTGTTTGTGCTCGAATCTGCCTCCAGGTAGGGACCACATGACTGGCTGAGCCATTAGTCATAGGTATGAATGAGGTCAGCCGGTTGCCAGAATGCAAAAGAATGAGAAACATCTCAAAAGACCAATCTCATGTTCTACAATAGTGATGTTATCTATAGGAGCAATTAGTTACAAATTTTGTAAACTCTGGCCAAACAACATTGCAGCAGTCAGGAATTATAGAAACTGTGCCAACATTTTAGCAGAATTCAGTTCCCTCCTATAATCTTAATCTCATGGTCTTTCACTAGTTTGACAAAGGCCATCCCTGGGCAAAGTAAGGTTGTTAGTTTCATGGAGGAAGTTTTGTGATTCTTGCTTCAAAGTCAAACCATAAATTAAATTCCTCCCAAGGTTAGCCTGGCCTATGCCCAGGAATGAGTGAGGATAGCCAGCCAGAGACTAGATGCCAGATGGAGTCAGACATGCTACTTTGCTGTCACTGTTGTAATGTATGGACTGACTCACCAGGGTGTCAGAGGCTGGACAGGCCTGCAGTCCCCAATGCCCATGGACTCATTTCAACTGTTTCACTCGTGACTCCATCCTCAAACTACTATGGAGCTCACATTCTCCTGTCACTTCTTAGAGACTTCTGGCTTCCTGTCAGGCATATAACAAGCTTGAAATTTGTCACTCGGTTCTAACAGTAAGTAAAAAGTTGAACAAACTCAAAAGTCAACAACTCATTAAAATCCCTCAGAGATGGCTGGGCACAGTGGCTCATGCCTATAATCCCAGGACTTTGGGAGGCCGAGGCGGGCACAAGGTCAGAAGATGGAGACCATCCTGGCTAACATGTTGAAACTCCGTCTCTACTAAAAATACAAAAAATTAGCTGGGCGTGGTGGCGGATGCCTGTAGTCCCAGCTACTTGGTAGGCTGAGCCAGGAGAATGCCGTGAGCCCAGGAGGTGGAGCTTGCAGTGAGCTGAGATCATGCCACTGCACTCCAGCCTGGGTGAAAGAGAGAGACTCTGTCTCAGAAAAAAAAATGCTGTTAGAGAAATGAAGAATGCTTTTGATGCTTACTGGTAGACTGCACACAGCTGGGGAAAGAATCTCTGGCTTGAGGATGTGTCAATAGAAACTTCCAAAACTGAAAAAGGAAAGTTCAATAAGAGTGGGGGAAAAAAAGTGGAACAACACATTCAACTTCACATTTAATATTTTGTTTTGGCAATAGCAATTTTTAAATTTTGTAGTTGTGGACAACTGCAAAGGCTGTCAGATACACGTAATGTGAATATTGGTGGTTTTGGGGACCAGTTGGAGGTGGCCAGGTGTGTGCTATCTAATGGTTTTACTGCCTGTGCCACATAAAACTGTTTCCTCATGATGATGCCATTTTCATAAGTTGGAGTTCTACGTGTGGGGAGACACACGAGCCATTGGCATCTCACTTAGATTCTTCCTAATTCACACAAACTTAAACTTTAGTGGTGTTTCGTGAGCTTAAGAGAAAATGAAGAAAGCATTTCACATACCTGTTTTGGGGTCCTCCCCATTTTTCCTAACTCTGCACAGAAATTAGAAGCAGGGAGTTCTTTCTATATTTACTAACATAACACACATCACTTCTTTTAATTTGGCATCCTTCCTCCCTTTATGTAATTGACGCACTGACCAGTTCTGTCCTTTTAACGGGACTCTCTACTTAAGGAGCTGCTAATTTCAAATCACCTTTGGCGTCTTTCTTTGAGCATAATGTGATCCTGCTGGAATTCACGGCACACCTAAACCTTATTTTGGTCTCAAGAGAAATACTACTACCAGCAATTGATCTTAGATGTTTGGATCATCAGTAAAAATTTCCACTTATGAAAACATTTTAATGTTTCCTCCAAATTTTTTTTGTTACTAGAGTCAGAACATAACATGAGGTCTAAACTCCTGACAACTTTTTATGGGAAAATTACAGTATTACGAATTGAGCATCGGAAATCCAGAAATCCACAATCTGAAATGCTCCAAAACTCAACCCTTCTGACCACTGATGTGATGTTAAAAAGAAGTGCTCACTGGCGCATTGTGGATTTTAAATTTTTCAGATTTGGGATGCTAAACCAGTACATGTACTGCAAATATTCCAAAATTAAAAAAATTAGAAATCCAAAACACTTTGTTTTAAGCTTTCTGCATAAGGAGCACTGTATCTGCATGAAGTATAGGCACGAGGCTGCACAGGAGATCTCTAGAACCTCCTCATCCTGCATAACTGAAACCGCACACCCATGGAACAACACCCTATTCCCCTGATCCCAGCTCCTGCAAACTACTATTCTACTCTCTGATTCACTCTGGAATCCACTGATATGAGGTACATAGAGTAGTCAAACTCAGAATCAGAGAGTAGAATGTCTAATGAGAGAAAGTATCTGCAAGACTTCTTCCCAAATATTGGTCTAATATCCACCAAACACATATGGTCCATGAGGGCCAGACTTCCATCATCAGTTCATGATTACCCTTTCCAACAGTCAGTGCTGCATTTGCAAACATCCACATGTATTTCTAGAAGATCCACATGGTCCTCACCTGCCCTCTACAAGGGGAAGGAAGCATCATGGACCCAGAACAGGGAACAATGGTCTTGGTCCAAAGCTATCAGCTCTTGCCTGTCCCCTTCACTCTTTGTAGGTCATTCCTTGGACTCTGCTCTATCTTTAGAAGTCACTGGCTCAAGTCAGTCACTATGAGACACCTGGGAAAACTGCGCCACCTTGTGGCTCCACTGCCTGATGACTGAACTGACCTCCAGGCTTGACTCTGGTCTCCCCTGTGTTATTTATGCTGAAGTACCCAGTCCCAGGCCAGGCTTTCCAGTACCCAAAGGGTTTAAGGACAATGGGAAGTTCCATCATCCATCTCTAGGATGTCCTTGGCAAGGGAAGCTGCAGAGAAAACATACCTCGGGGGACAAAGTAAGACTGAAACTAAGAAGATTCCAGCACTGCATACTCCAAGTGAGGACCACAAGGTGGGTCAGGCAGGCAGTTTTAGTCGGAGGAACTCAGAGAGGCATCGGGTCTGTGACTGCTGGTCCTGTGTCTTTCCATGACCCAATGCTGCTGCTCAATTCACACTTGAGAAAGCCTGTACTTCTCCCACATAAAGCAGGCAGCCTCACAATCTCTGAGCTCTCAGATTGCCATGCATCTGTCTTGTAACACACACACCTGCCATGGGCTTTTAAGGACTTGGGTGGGCTGACAGGTGGGAAATGCCAACTCTGATTGAAAAGTGCCTTTGGAGGAATCAAAGGTGCCACACAGGGCAATCTTCTCTCTGTTTTCTGCAAAGTGGAAACTCCCAAGCCCTCCATCTCCAGTAGCAACTTAAACCCCAGGGAGGCCATGGAGGCTGTGATCTTAACCTGTGATCCTGCGGCTTCAGACACAAGCTACCTGTGGTGGATGAATGGTCAGAGCCTCCCTATGACTCACAGGTTGCAGCTGTCCAAAACCAACAGGACCCTCTTTATATTTGGTGTCACAAAGTATATTGCAGGACCCTATGAATGTGAAATACGGAACCCAGTGAGTGCCAGCCACAGTGACCCAGTCACCCTGAATCTCCTCCGTGAGTATCCTCTGTTCCTCTGTGAGCCAGGCTGCCATCCCAAATACACATGGCCAGAGGCCAGGCCTCTCAGTCCCTCTCAGGTCCAAGTACAGAGACCTTTACCCCTGGACATCAAAGCTGGCCATGACTTTCTGCCCCAGGCAAAACAGAGTAGGCCTAGGCTTGATCCACAATAGGAGAAAAGAGGCTGCTCCTGTCATGGGAGACTCAGGTTCCACAGCTTGTGATGGGAGAAACAGGTGAATGTCTCAGGCTCCAGATCAGTGAACACAGCGGGGATTTGGCTGGGACTTCAGTGTTGCGACTTGGCTCACAGGGTCACTGTGGCCCTTCCACAGACCAGGATTTTCCCTTCCCTCTGACAATGTCACCTGTGACTTTATTCTCTTTGCTCCAGATGGCCTGGATGCCCCCACCATTTCTTCCTCATACACCTATTACCATACAGGGGAAGTCCCCAATCTCTCCTGCCTCACAGACTCTCACCCACTGGCAGAGCATTCTTGGCTGATTGATGGGAAGTTCCAGCAATCAGCACAAGTGTGCTTTATTCCCCAAATCACCAAAACATAGAGGGATCTATGTCTGTTTCATCCATAACTCAGCCACTGATGGAACAAATCTCATAATCAAGAGGATCATAGTCCCTGGTAAGTGGATCCCTGGAGCATTGGCAATATGTTTTCCAGTGAAGTCTATCTAGCTATCAGGGAAGAGCCACCTGCCCTCTGCAAAGGGAGAGGGAAAATCAAAAACCCAGCACAGGGAGTATGTTTCTGCTCCAAAACCACCAGCTTTTGCCTTTCCCCTTCACTCTTTCTAGATCATTCTTTAGGCTATACACTAACAATGAACAATCTGAAAGGAAATTGAGAAAAGAATTTCAATTCACGTTAACATCAGAAGGAATAAAATATTTTGGAATAAGTTTAACCAAAAAGGTCAAATGATTATACCCTGAAAACTACAAAACATTGCTGAAAGAAATTAAAGATGATATCAATATATGGAAAGACATTTCATTTTCAAGGATTGGAAGAATCAATACTGTTAGAAAGACAATACTACCCAAAGCAAGTTGCAGATACAGTGCAACTCCTACCAGAATCCCAGTAACATTTTTTGCAGAATTAGAAAACTCTGTCTTAAATCTGACCTGACAGGCTCTTATTAATGACTGCCACAACACAAACACTGAGAAAAAGATGCAACCATGAAAATGTTTAAAGTTCTCATGACATAGAAGACAGCAATCAGCCTTTCTCACATCCAAAAGCCTTCAAAAATATATGAGTGCAGAATGGCCAGTGTGGAATTGACCAAAAACTAATCACCATGGTAGAAACGTGGTGAGATAAAAAAAAAAAAGGGCAGGAATATATTTGGCTTATCACCTCCCACTTTTGCCCACTAATCTGATGCTGAAAAGAAATGCTCACTGGAGCATTTTAGATTTTGAATCTTTCAGATTTGGGATGCTAAACCAGTAAGTATATGACAAATATTTCAGAATCAAAAAATGTCAGAAATCCAAAACACTTTTTGTCCTAAGTCTTATGCATAAGAAATACTCAATCTGTGTGAACTATAGGTATCAAGCTCGACAGCCAATCTCTATAACCTCCCCACCTTGCATAACTGAAACTGCACACCCATGAACAACTTCTGATTCTCCCCACTCCCAGCTCCTGGCAAACAGCAGTCTCTTCTCATATTCACTCTGGAATCCACTTACATGAGGTCCCTAGAGTAGTCGAATCCATGGAATCAGAGAGTAGAATGTCCAGTGAAAGAAAATATTCCCAAAACTTCTCTTCAAATTTGTCTCATATCCATCAAACACACATGGTCCATGAGGACCAGATTTCCAGCAGTTCATTCCCACCCTTTCTACCAATCAGTTCTGCATTTGCAAACATCCACATGTATTTCTGGAAAGATCCACATGGTCCTCACCTGCCCTCTGCAGAAGGAGAGGAAACTTAAAGAACCCAGGACAGGGAACATGGTTCTGCTCCAAAGCCACCAGCTCTTGCCTGTCCCCTTGACTCCTTCTAGATCATTCCTTGCACTCTGCTCTATCTTTAGAGGTCACTGGTTCAAGTAAGTCATCATGAAACACCTGCAAAACACTGCCCCACTTTCTGCCTCCACTGGCTGATGACTGAACTGACCTCCAGGCTTGACTCTGGTCTCTCCTGTGTTATTTCTGCTGAAACATCCAGTCCCAGGCCAGACTGCTCAGTATCTTCAGGGTTTCAGGACAATGGGAAGTCCCATTATTACTCATCTCTAGAATGTCCTTGGAAATGGGAGCTGCAGAGAAATCACATATAGGGGGACAAAGTAGGATGGAATTTGGAAGGGGCCCAGCAGTTGCACATTCCAGGTAAGGAACCCAGGGTGAGCCAGCCAGTCAACTGATTATGGAGGGACTGGGAGGGGTACCAGGGGCTGTGACTCCCACTGATGTGTCTGTTCATGACCCAACACTGCTGCTCAATTGACACTTGAGAAAGTCTGTGCTTCCCTAAAACAGAGCAGGTGGCCTCACAGTCTTTGAGCCCTTAGATCATCATGCATCTATCTTGTGACACATGCATCAGCTACTGGCTTTCAAGGACTCTGGTGGGTTGACAGGTGGGAGATGCCAACTCTGATTGAAGGATGCCTGTGGAGGAATCAAAGGTGCCACACAGGACAATCTTCTCTCTGTTATCCACACAGTGAAGCTGCCCAAGCCCTACATCACCATCAACAACTCAAAACCCAGGGAGAATAAGGATGTCTTAGCCTTCACCTGTGAACCTAAGAGTGAGAACTACACCTACATTTGGTGGCTAAATGGTCAGAGCCTCCCGGTCAGTCCCAGGGTAAAGCGACCCATTGAAAACAGGATCCTCATTCTACCCAGTGTCACGAGAAATGAAACAGGACCCTATGAATGTGAAATACGGGACCGAGATGGTGGCATGCGCAGTGACCCAGTCACCCTGAATGTCCTCTGTGAGTATCTTTTGTTCCTCTGTGGGCCAGGACACCAGCTTAAATCTAAATGACCACAAGCCAGTCCTCTCAGTCTTTCTCCGGTCCAAGTATAGACACCTTTATTTCTGGACATCTGAGCTGGCCATGACTCCCTGCCCTTGGAAAACCTAGGTAGGCACAGCCTTAACCAGGAATATAAGGGGAGGGGGCGCTCTTGTCATGGGAGACTTTGTGTCAATAGCTTGTGATGGGAGAAACAGGTGAATACCTCAGGCTTTGGCTCAGTGAATATAGTGGGGGTTCGGCTGGGACTTGAGGGTGTGTCTTGGCTCAGAGGGTCACTGTGTCCCTTTAAGAGACCAGGAGCATCCCCTTCCCTTGGATGACATCACCTGTGGCTTCATTCTCTTTGCTCCAGATGGTCCAGACCTCCCCAGCATTTACCCTTCATTCACCTATTACCGTTCAGGAGAAAACCTCTACTTGTCCTGCTTCGCGGAATCTAACCCACCGGCAGAGTATTTTTGGACAATTAATGGGAAGTTTCAGCAATCAGGACAAAAGCTCTCTATCCCCCAAATTACTACAAAGCATAGAGGGCTCTATACTTGCTCTGTTCGTAACTCAGCTACTGGCAAGGAAAGCTCCAAATCCATGACAGTCGAAGTCTCTGGTAAGTGGATCCCAGCATCCTTGGCAATAGGGTTTTAGGTGGAGTCTACCTGGCTTTCAGAGAAGAGTTAGGAAAACATTTTTATTCCCAGCCTGTGTCCCATGGGCACAAGCAAATCCCAAATTCTCCTCCTGAACCCTTCCAATTTGTCTCTACAAACTCTCTTCTCCTTGTTTTTCTGTTTTCTCATGGCTGACCTTGTGTCTGGCCTAAGAAAGTTAGGGAGGGGGCTTTATCAGCCCTGAGCCCTATGTGGTAGAGGAGGCTTCACAGAGGGATGAGAAGGAGAGTCCTCAAGATCAAGTTGCTTCTCGATGTCACCAACACATCCCCTTCTGCCATGTCTTTGTTTCCTTGTACCTATTCCATGAGCTACAAGGAACATCTGAGGCTCTGAAACAAGCTCACACTTTTCCCCCAAATGAGACGAGGAAGCCCCTTGGGTGAGGGAGGAGCAGCTCAGACTCTGCTTCCTGCTCTGCTCCATGCTTCTCTGGTGACTGGGCCTGCCTCACTCAACCTGGGGTGGGACCAGCATGTGTGGAGAAAGAGTCCTGGTGGCCTGTCCTGAATTTGGCTAAATCGAGCTGCCAGTTGAAGCCAAGCCTCCCCCGGGCCAGGCTGCAGGGAAATAAGAAGAGAGGGAGCCTCAGGGAAGACTCCTGCGTTGCGTCCTGGCTCTGAAGTCACCGGTTGTATGAGGTTGTGGGCACAGCATGTGGGACACAGCACGGAGGATAGTGACTGATGCAGAGCTGGAGAAATAGAGAGATTCACCCCTGGGGCTCTGCATGGCAGGAAAGGGGCAGTGCCAAAAAGTGTGTAATTATAGAGAGGGTAAGACTACCAGACACTTTATATATATCTAATATAAGACTTACCATTAACTATTTCTATGTGTGCAATTTAGTGTTGTGTAACCATCACACTATCCATTTCCAGAACTTTTTCCTCTTACCATATTAAACCTCTGTACCCAATAAACAGTAACTCACTCCTTCTCCCCATAACCCTTAGCACACACCATTCTACATTCTGTCTCTATGTAACTGGCTATTCTAACTATCTTTTATAAATGGAATTATATGATAATTATCCTTTTGTGTCTGGTTTATTTCAGTTAGCATAATATCTTTAAGGTTCATCCATTTTGCACGATGTATTGGAATTTTATTCCTTGTTAAGGTTGAATAACATTTTAATTGTAGATACACCTCATTTGCCTACCCACTTATCTTTCAATGGACTTTTCAGTTGTTTCCATTTTTTCGCTAGTGTGAGTAATGCTTCTCTG
This sequence comes from Homo sapiens, assembly GCF_000001405.40. Taxonomy (NCBI): domain Eukaryota; kingdom Metazoa; phylum Chordata; class Mammalia; order Primates; family Hominidae; genus Homo; species Homo sapiens. Next base: position 43,173,920 of record NC_000019.10, on the reverse strand, counting down.
AACATCAGTGTACAAATATTTGTTCAATTTTTTTTCATTTCTATGGGGAGTTTGTCCAGAAGTGGAATTGCTGGATCAAATGGTAAGTTATTGTTTAATTTTTTGAGAAACAGCCACACCACTTTTTACAGTGGCTATAACATTTCCCATTCCCATCAGCAATGCACTAGAGCTCCAATTTTTCCATCTACTTGAAAACACCTGTTGTTTTGTGTTGCTGTCATTTTTGTTGTTTATCAAAGCCATCCTAAAGTGTGTGAGGTGGTGTAACATTGTGGTTTTGATTTGCATATCTCTAAGTATTCGTGATGCTGAGGAACTTTGCATGGGCTTATTGGATATTTGTATATCTTCCTTGGAGAAAACTCCATTTTAATCCTTTGTTCATTTTTTAATTGGGTTTTTGGATGTTTGCTGTTGTTGACTTGTAGCTTTTCATGTATTCTGGAAATTAATTTCTTATCACACATATAATTTGCAAATATTTTTATCATTTCATAGGTTGCCTTTTTACTTTCTTGATAATGTTCTTTGATATATAAAAGGTTTTGATTTTTGTGAAGTCCAATTAATCCATTTTATTTGTTGCCTATGCTTTTGTTGTTACAACCAAGAAATCATTGTGAAATCCAGTATCATGAAGCTTTTCTTCTAAGAGTTCTGTAGTTTTTACTCTTACATTTAGATCTTTGATCTATTGTGGGTTAATTTTTATGCATGGTGTTAGGTAAAGGTTCCACTCTCTTGCCCTTGGATATCCAGCTTTCCCAATATCATTTGGTGAGAACACTGTCCGTTCCCCATTGAATGATCTTGGAACACTCCATGAAAATCATTTGGCCATATATGCAAGCATTTCTTTCTGGGCTATGATATTTCATTAATTTCTATGTCCTCCTTTATGCCAGTACCACACTGTATTGATTACTAGGGCTTTGTAGTAAATGCTGAAATCAGGAAGTGTGAGTCCTCCAGCTTCATTCTTCCTCTTCAAAGCTATGTGTCTATTTAGAGTCATGAGATGCAATATAAATTTTAGGACAGATTTGTCTTTTTCTGCAAAAATGTCACTGAGATTCTGACAGGAATTTTATTGAATCTGCAGCTCACTTTGGGCAGCACTGTCCTCCTAACAATATTGAGTCTTCCAATTCATGAACACAAAATGTCTTTCAATTTATTGATGTCTTCTTTCATTTCTTTCAGCAATATTTTGTAGATTTCAGGTATAATTATTTCACCTCTTTGGTTAAACTTATTCCTAAATATTTTATTCTTTTTGATGTTAATATAAATTGAAATTATTTTTCTTAATTTCCCTTCAGATTGTTCATGTTTAGTGTATTGAAATACAACTGATGTTTGAATGTTGATTTTGTATTGTGCAACATTACTGAATTTATTAATTTTAATTGGTTTGTTCCACCTTTAGGATTTTCTACATATAAGTTCAAGTTATCTGTAAACAGAAAGAATTTTACTCCTTCCTTCCAATTTGAATGTCTTTTTTTCAATTCTTGCCTAATTTTTCTGACTAGACCTTTCAATACTATGTTGAATAAAAGTGTCAAAAGCAGGCATCCTTGTCTTGTTCCTGCTCATACAGGGAAAGCTTTCAGTCTTTCTCCGTTGAGTATGATGCTAGCATTGGGTTTTTCACATATTGCCTTTATGTTGAGGTGGTTTCCTTCTATTCTTAGGATGTTTTCATTATGAAAAAATATTGAATTTCATCAAATGCTTTTATTGATTCAATCTTATTACTGATTATAGTTCTATTCATATTTTTGTGTGTTTCTAGGAGTTTGTCTATTTCATCTAGGTTATCCAATTTATTTGCATAAAATTATTTATAGTACTTTCATAATCATTATTTTATTAGAATTGGTAGTAATCGCTTCATTTTTCTTTCTTTCTTTTTCTTTTTTTTTTTTTTTGAAGAGAGGGACGGGCTCTCACTATGTAGACCAGTCCAGGATGGAATACAGTGGTGTGATTATGGCTCACTGCAGCCTTAACCTCCTGGGCTCAAGCAATTCTCCTTCTTCAGCCTCCCAAGATGCTATGACTACAGGTTCATGTCAACATGCCCAGTTAATTGGTTTTTTATATTTTTGTAGAGACAGCATCTCCCCAGGTTACCCATGCTGGTCCAAACACCTGGTCTCAAGAAATCCTTCTGCTGTGACCTCCCAAAGTGCTAGGATTAAAACATGACCCACCATGCTCAGAGTCCATTTTCATTTCTGATTTGAGTAATTTTAAACTTTTCTCTTTTTTTCTTAGTCAATCTAGTTAATGGTTGTCAATTTTGTTGATTTTATTTTGAAGAATCAACTTTTGGTTTCATTAATTTCCTCTATTCTTTTTCCATTCTCCATTTTATTTATGTCCACTCTAATCCTTATTATTTCCCTCATTCACTGTGCTTGGGTTTAGTTTGTTCTTCTTTCATATCCTGAAGTATTAAAGTAGGTTGTTGACCTGAGATCTTTCTTCTTTTTTAATGTAAGAGTTTACAGTTATAAATTTCTTGCACAAGACTCAACTTCTCTGAACCTCTGATTCCTCACCTGAAAATTGCAATGAGAGTGCTTTCTTCATACCATTCTTTTAAATGTTTAATGCAATCAATGAAACAAGATGCCACACAGAGGAGCCAATGTCAGCTGCTATATTACTACCATCATCATTAGCCTTGAGGTCAAATAGTCCTAGAATCAAATTTCAGATCCACCTGTCACTAGCCATATGACACCAGGAAAGTTTTTACACCATGATAAGCTTCTGTCTTTTCATCAGCAAAGTGGAAATAATTTCTACCTGACAGGGTTATTGTGTGGATTAAATGAGATACAGGTAAAGTATTTAGCACAGGGCCTGGCACATAGGAAATGCCCCTCAACAGTACCTACCTTTTTCCATATATATGGAAAAAGAGGTAACACATAAAACACTAGGACATGGTTACTGACTACTTGTGGGAGAGAAGGAAAAAAAGCTAAGTGCAAAGAATCAAGCCTGATATGTTAGTTTTTACCAACTGAGATGCACCCAAGATGGGATTAGACATACAAGATAATTTATCAGGGAGGACACCTGTGAGGGAATGTGGGGCAGACATGAAGGCAGTATGGGAGAACCCACAGACCACTATGCAGAGCTGATTCCTGTGAAAAAGAAAGAGAAAGAAGTTTTAGGTACCAATGCAGTTCTAAGAGTTTTTGCAAGGCTGAGGGGGAGTCCTCCAACCAGTCACCCTTTAGAGTTAAAGAGAGCCTCAGAGAACTAGGCTTGCTTTCACGCCCTTCCTGGGAGCCTGTGGGAAAGAAGCTTTCTGTGCAAAGGAGGTGATGAATGTGAAATGCACGGACGTGGGCCTTCTGTCAATCAGCTCCCTGCCATGGAGACCTGACAGAGTCTCATTCATGGCTGCCACAACAGAGAGACTGAGAAAAAGATGCAACCATGAAAAGGTGAAAAGGTGGTAAGTTCTAATGACATAGAAAATAGCAATCAGCCTTTCTTATGTCTGAAAGCCTTCCAAAATATCTGAGTGCAGTAGAGATTTGACAGAGGACTGATCACCATCCTAGAAACATGGTGAGAGGGAAAAAAAAAACTGCAAGAATATAATCATCTCCCATCAATTTCCCAAGAGGAATAATGTAGTACTTGAAGAAACAATTATAGAGTACCTCATGCTACATGCCTCTTCCTGAGGCTCCCCCATGTAAAATAACATCACCTTCATTCCTTCTTTACTTTTCTTTCCATGACAGCTCCTTCAGGAATAGGACGTCTTCCTCTCCTTAATCCAATATAGCAGCCGTGAAGTCATTTCTGTATTTCAGGAAGACTGGCAGGTATGATGGCCTTTTCTCTTATCCTGGTTCCTGCAGGGCTGACTGCCATGCTTGGGAGAGGGAAAAGACTTATTTGCTTGTATCTGGGACTGCATCTCCTCCTTCCTCCACTAAACTCCTGCTTCTCAGAACTAATTCCTGCAGTTCCCTTTCTCCCTGGCCTTTATGCTCCCTGTACCCCACTGTCTTTTAGACATAATTATCTCCAGCCTCTGCTCATTTGTTTCTCAGATTCAAATGAGAAACACAATTTCACATGGTGAAACCCTCTTCATTATTTTTAACATCTCTCAATAGTGTAATTCTCTACACTCCCATAAAGCTCAACCACTTCTCAAAGTATTGCTTGACTTCTTGTGGCCAGACTTTGAAACCTTCCTTGCATATGACTGCCTCATTACCTTTCTAAAATCTAGTTAATTCACTTAATCAAGAATCTGCAGGGGTCTACTCTAGCCTATTTGATAAGTTCACATTTCTTCTATTTAGTAAGCCTTCTCACTTCCTTTACCTCTACTTCCTAGTATAATTCCTTCATCCTAATTAGAACTGTCTTCCTACACATCCCTGCCCCTTCACCCATATAGACATAAAATTCTTAGTTCCAATGCTATGTCTAAAAACAGAGTGAAATCCCCTCCACCATCTGCACTGCAGACTTAACGACACCCTTCATCACAGGCAACATCTGACCTCATGGAGAACGGAGACTTTAGGATTAACATGTGAACCTGAGACTCAGAACACAACCTATGTGTGGTTGAGATCTTTTCCTGATGACCAGTTCATGTGTTCAAAAAACATACAGAAATGAAGAAGGCAAGGTCCCTACCCCAGGAGACATAAAGCCTAAGACAGGAAATGAGACCTGAAAATAATCATGATACCAAAATAGAAAAAATTGAATGCCACAAGAAATCAGAGAAATCTGATGGGAAATAGAGCTACACATTGGAATCACTGGAAAGCATTTTTAAAAGTGGATGCTCAAGCCCCACCCATTAGTTCCAGTTTAAAGGTCTGGAGAGGGACCAAGGCATTGGTAATTTTTAAGTCTTCCCTGACACTACTAACATGTAACAAGGATGGAGAACTCTTGTTGTAATAGGTAGAACTTAAAACTAAATGAATGATTTTCAGCTAGAAGTACTGGAATTACCTAAGGACCTTTTTCAACATACATAAGACTATACATTTTTGGCCCTATTTATGAATGGGCTACACCAAGAACTCAGTAATCCTCTTGAGAAACAGAAGCTGAATGGAAAAGCCACCTTATTTGATATATTAAATTGTGTAGAAAACATTTTCAAATAAAGGATAAGTGAGGCTAAACCTTCTCTAAATAATATTTATGGGAATGTTAATAATATGAGTATTCTACGCTGGGCGCGATGGCTCACGCCTGCAATCCCAGCAGTTTGGGAGGCCGAGGTGGGCACATCACGATGTCAGGAGATCGAGACCATCCTGGCTAACACGGTGAAACCCCGTCTCTACTAAAAATGCAAAAACAAAATTTGCCGGGCGTGGTGGCAGGCACCTGTAGTCCCAGTTACTCAGGAGGCTGAGGCAGGAGAATGGCATGAACCCGGGAGGCAGAGCTTGCAGTGAACTGAGATCGCATCACTGCACTCCAGCCTGGGTGACAGAGTGAGACTCCATTTCAAAAAAAAAAATTTTTTTAAATGAGTATTCTAAAAATTATATGAAATTTCTGGAAATCAAATATGTTACCATAGTGTCATATGCCACAGAAGTAACTGGATTTCTATGTGAGCTGTGTCTTTACCATAATAAATTCTCATTAGATTTTTAACCATAGTCAGTTTAAATCTTTGTCTTTCCCAGACAGTTGCTTTGATTCTTCCTCAAACTACTTACAATCACCTACAGTCCAAAATTGCTTTTTCTTCAAGGAGATTTATGGAAAAGACTCTGACAAGGACTCTTGAATACAAGTTCCTGATAACTTCAAGATCATACCACTGGACTAAGAACTTTCAAAATTTTAATGAACAGGCTGATACCTTCATGAAATTCTAGACAAAGAAGAAAAAAACTCCATGTTATTGGACTAAATAATCAAAAGCATAATGTTTTCATAATTTTCTATTTGAAAATGTGCTGATTCTTTGAATGTTTTATTCTCCAGATTTATGAACTTTTTTTCTTGAGCAATTGGTAAAGTATACTTTTGTAAACAAAAATTGAAACATTTGCTTTTGCTCTCTATCTGAGTGCCCCAGAATTGGGAAACTATTCATGAGTATTCATATGTTTATGGTAATAAAGTTATCTGCACAAGTTCAGTAAGGATCTGCTCTCTTTATAACAGGACACATTTGAAAACATTGGTTATATTACCAAGGCTTTGACTGCGATGTTATATTTGAGAATATATATAGAATAAACCCATAGGGAATGCAGGCAAAGTCTGAAGTGGGCCTTGGTTTGGCTTCCTAGTTTCAAGAGGTTTTTGGAAGTTTAATCTGAGATTCTTATTAAAAACTTCTAGCAAAGAGAAGTTTAAAAAGAGCCTCTATTGTCCATTGCTACTCTTTCCGCACTTAGCTAAAAAATCTGGGCAAGTTCGGTGAGACTCAACCTATTTTGCAAACAAATTCATCCTACTGGAATTATCTTTGGTAAAAATAGAGACTCCTATAGACAGAAAAACTATGTTGAAAAGAAAAACTGTAGTACACCTGTTACCAGATTGAACCACTGTTCATTATCTCTGAGTATTTATAATCCACTGGTAGACTGGACTGGACCCTGAATTCTTTTAGTTCTTCCAATTCAATTTTCTCCAATGAAATCATTAAGAACAAGAGCGGCTCTGTTCCTGAAGCCATATAAGTTGGAGGTGGACAATTCAATGTAAACTTCATGGGAAAACCCTCATGTCTGAGGTGTGGGCCACTAAGAGCTCACGAAATGTTCAACACCATAACTTAGAGACACTCAAACTGCAAACCATGACAACAAGTTGATGACTTTATACTGCGGACAGCTTTTCTCAAGATGTCAGAACAAGATTATCACTCATGATGAGACTCTTACCTCTCTGAATTTGTCCTTGCTAATGCTTGTCTCCTTTGCTTCCCAGAATAATGCTGTACTTAGGATTTCACAAGAAGTAGCCTCTGAGAGTAAGTTAACAGTGTCAGATATATCATGTCAACCACACTTTTTTTTTTTTTTATAAGATGGAGTTTCGCTCTTGTTGCCCATGCTGGAGTGCAATGGCACAATCTTGGCTCACCGCAACCTCCGCCTCCTGTGTTCAAGTGATTCTCCTGCTTCAGCCTCCCGAGTACTGGGATTACAGGCATGCACCAACACGCCCAGCTAATTTTGTATTTTCAGTAGAGACAGGGTGTCTTCATGTTGGTCAGGCTGGTCTCAAACTCCCGACCTCAGGTGATCCGTACGCCTCAGCCTCTCAAAGTACTGGGATTACAGGCCTGAGCCACCGCACCTGGCCCACACATTTTTACATACCAAGAGATCCTTTAATCCACCCAAAGGCTGACGTTAGCTGCATCTGTAACACAACTTTTTCCTCAAATATATGGAGTTTTTTTTAGGCTTCCACTTCTATACTTCCCTATTCTCACTCCCTGTTTTAATTTAACATAGACATGCAATGCTAGATAATAGAATTGCTCTCTACCAGCTGAACATTTGGGAGCCTGTGCAGTTTCTGGCCCTTCTTGTTGCACATAGATAAATACATCCGGTGTTATAGAGACTCAGTTGTAAAAATCAATAAATGTGCTGCCTGGTTAAAATGACTAGACTCTTCTGGCTTCTTCTTTGATCTATCCTATTGTAGTTGGTTTGCATCTTGCCTAAGGTGCATATTTCAAACTCTTGATATTTTCCTCCTGATAGTCATACTGGTATTCTCCCTCGTGTGGTGCAATCTACAGATGTTTTTATTTGTGTGCAAATGTTTGTGTGCAGCCATTCTTCAAATATCAAATGGTTTCTCTTGGGCTGGAATTACAAAAACTCAAAGAAATGTTTGATTTATGGGCTGGGCGCAGTGGCTTACATCTGTAATCCCAGCACTTTGGGAGGCCAAGGCAGGCAGATCACAAGGTCAGGAGTTCGAGACCAGCCTGGTCAATATAGTGAAACCCTGTCTCTACTAAAAATACAAAAATTAGCCGGGCATGGTGGCGTGCACCTGTAGTCCTGTAGGGAGACCCCCTGAAACTATCACTATGGAATAAAAGATGAAATGCTCCTGATTATTGTAAACACAAAATTGCATGCAGGATTGTGTAAAGACAATGCCAGGTTGGGCTGCCAGAATGTGCCTACAGCATGGGATGTGCTTCTGTTATATGGATGGGAGACAGAATTATGAGTTTAGAACATAGATTACAAATGCAACGTGATTGGAATACTTCTGATTTTTGTATAACTCTGTTCCAATATAATGAGTCTTTTCACAATTGGGAATCAGTAAAATCCCATTTACAAGGAAGTGAATATAAATTAAGTTTAGACATAAGCAAGCTGAAAGAACAGATTTTTGAAGCCTCTCAAGCACACTTAACTGCTTTACCCAGTGCTGAAGTTTTAGACAGTATCTCTGAGGGGTTATCTAATCTCAACCCCATTCAATAGGTAAAATCTTTGGGAGGATCCACTATCATTAATTTTGTTCTGTGTATAATTTGTGCTATTGGTTTACTGTTCATGTGTAAAATTGGAAAAAATATTCTTCAATCCAATCGTGATCAGTGCCAAGCTATGATTGCTATGGTTCATTGAAATCAGAGAAAAGGGGGAGATGTAGGGAGACCCCCTGAAACTATTGCTATGGAATAAAAGATGAAATGCACCTGATTATTGTAAACACAAAATTGCATGCAGGATTGTGAAAAGACAAATGCAAGGTTGGACTGCCAGAATGAGCCAACAGCACGTGATGTGCTTCCCCCTGCAGAGAGCCTATGAACGGACATGCAGTCAGGGAGGTTTCACATAACCAAGATTCCTATCCCAGAAAAGCAGATGTCCATAGCTCTGGGAATGGAATGTGACCCTTATAGAGAGCATATAAATGACCCTAAATCCCTCACTAACCTACCAACACTCTCACTAAACTTAATAATAAATGCTGGTATATCCAGTGCATTGGCAGCATCGCAGGATCAGAAGGCGGTGACCCCCCTGGACCCAGCTTTCACTATCTTGTTTGTGTCTTTTATTTCTCAACCTGCCGATCTGCCTGGGAACAAAGAAAGAGCCCTGTTGCATTGCAGGCTGCTGGCCAGATCCAGCAATATAGTCCCAGCTACTTGGGATGCTGAGGCATCTGTAGAGGGAGAGCTGCCTCAAATCATAAATCACAAATAAAAGCCAATTACATCTATTACTAAATTCGTTGTAATTTTGTCTTATCACACATGTTCACAGCAAGCAATGGCCAGTGGAGTCTCTCAGGCTGCATCATTCTCACCCTGACCCTCCTGCCTTTCTCTTTCACTAAGAGGACCCTTATGATGACACTGGGAGCCACACAGATAAGCCAGAATAAGGTTTCCATCTCAAGATACTCAACTTCATCACCTTTGAACAGTGTTTTTGCCAAGAAAAGTAAAGGCATGTGTTCCAACAGTTAGGATGTGGATTTTTTTTTTTTTTGAGACAGAGTTTCACTCATGTTGCCCCAGCTGGAGTGCAGTGGCACAATCTTGGCTCGCTACAATCTCAGCCTCGCAGGTTCAATGATTCTCCTGCCTCAGCCTCCCAAGTAGCTGGCATTACAGGCACCCGACACCACGCCCAGCTAGTTTTTGCATTTTAGTAGAAACGGGGTTTCACCATGTTGGTCAGGCTGATCTCGAACTGGTGACCTCGTGATCTGCCCTTCTCAGCCTCCCAAAGTGCTGGGATTACAGGCGTGAGCCACCGCGCCTGGCCCGGATGTGGACATTTTTAAGAGGCCATTATTCTGCCTCATACAGGTCACTTTCATAAACATCACCCACAGCAAAAATGTTTTGCCTTCCTTCCATGTCTCACTTTTCTGTCTGCACAAACCACAGTGAAACACACTAGCTCTGCTATGAAGTGGCTGGATGACCCTGGGCCACTCATTTGACCTCCCTCAGCCTCTTTCCTCTTCTGCAGTGTAAGGCTGACTCTTACTGCATCAGAAAATGACAGTGGAAGAGTAAATTAACATGTGTGAGACATTAGTCACAGAGCCTGGTACCTGATGAGCCCTTGGTAAACATTCCTTTCAGTCCTTTCCTTTCACCTTCCCATTTTTCTTGCCCTCACCCATCTTCTCCTTCAACTCCTTTCTCTTCAGTAACTTACTCAGTCTAACCTGCCAATTAAAGAAGCCACACTACCCATTCTCTCATGACTCTGCTGGAATATTCTTGTGATGCCGTCTGCTATCCACTCAAGGCAATGGGTATTATTTATATGGAGAGGTCTGTTTGCAACAAGAAATCCTTTTTCTGTTCACACAAAATTTATACACAATTTCTCTTAACTTACACGTACCAGTCTCAATTCTACCCTGTTATTTCATACATGTACCTCATTATTTTATTCTTCGGTCTTTCTCCTTACATCTTAAAAATTAGGATAGTACAAAAACAAAAATAATGGCCTGGGCCAGAAGAGGGGATTCCTTTAGCAAGATGAATGCTTTCCTTTTTCAAGATGAATGAATGCTATGTGCCAGGCAGCCCTGAAGTCCATTTCTGGGTTTGGCTTACATCAAAGCCATTTGACTCTAGGACACATTCTTAGATTCCCAGGAGATAATGATTGCCACGGAAGACACACCCACTCTGAGTATTCCTACTGTTGGGTAAAGGCATGTTTACAGAATGTTGTGCATTCTGTTTACTCCTCCTAAATTCTTCCACTCCTGGAAGTTAAGCTTCCCCACTAATCAGCTTCATCTCCAGCTGGCCTGCCTGGACCCTGACTGGAAAATACCTCCCCACTCTGGATGGCCAGGGTGGCACCTTTGTCTATTCCCATAATTATAATAGCTCACACTAATGCAGCACTCACTATGCACGAGGCACTATCGTAAGAGCTTTCCAGGTAACTACACTCCTCACAAAAAATCCCAAGTGCCTCCATCCCCATTTTTACAGATTAAAAAAAAAAACTGAGGCAGAGAAGTATGTACCCACTGTCACCTAACTCCATAATTCAACCTCATCCTCCACTTCATCTGGTAAGAGGACACTCTAAGATTTACAAGGTCTCCTGAATGACATCCACCTTCAAAAATTATTTTCAGGATTTGACAAACAGCCAGCATTTTGTTTTCTGTCTCACCCTTCACTTATGCACCTGTTCCCTAAAACTACACTCACAACTGCACAGCCCTGCATAAAAGCTAGCTTTTAGAAACCTCAATCTCTTTTGGAAAAAAGAAAGGCCAGGTTCCAAATCTCACAAAAAGTCATTTTTTATTCTATTGTCAACTATTTGCATGGCCATTCTCTGGACATAAACGATTGCACCAGAAACAGAAAGTGTAATGAGAGGAAAGTAGGAGGAGGGTGATTTTCTAGATAGACACACAGGGAAAAGATTCTGAATCCAGAAAAATTCACAAAATGCACCCAGGGTATGTGGTTTTGAGGAATGACAGCCCCACGTGCCACTTTCCATGGCTGTTGGCCTCTTACTTCCTTCTCAACCTGCCCCTCCTGGTCTTGCTTTCTTAGACCAATACAAACAACCTGGGAGCTGGGGTCAGATCAGAGCACACAGCACTGAGTGGTAGGGTTGGGAAAGACAGAAAAGGAAGACGAGTGTTTGACTCATGAAGACCTGACTCACCTGGGTACACATCACCTAGGCAGGCAATAGATTACTGAAGGGCTTTGCAGGACTCATGGTGGATATCCAGAAAGACTGACTGAGGCAAGGGTCTTGACCAATTGAGTTTTATTGAGCCAGAGCTTGAGAGTGAACCCTGGGAAAACATGAGTTGCAAAAAATCTCTGTGGCTTGTGTTTTCTCTGAAGAGATTTCAGGAGGCTTAGTATTTATACATTTGATTAAAGGGGAGAAGGCAGGTCGGAAGAGATGGAGTGGGCAGAAAAACAATTAATCTAATCTTGTCTTTCTTCTGTGCCTCAGAAAATAAATATTATCAGAATGAGAGTTAAAATACTTCAGTTTTAGGAGCTAGATTTTGATTGCTCACTTAAAGTTACAATTGGCATGTCTTTCTTTTACAAAGATATATACATCTTGAAAGGTTTTGAAGCCAAGAAAAAACAATTCGTTCAGGCAATCATCTGGAGATGCCCAAGATTTTTGGCTTTCCTGTTTACCCCGTTCTTTTTCTTTTTCTTTTCTTTTTTTTTTTTTCTTTTAGAGACACAACCTTGCTCTGTCACCCAGACTGGAGTGTACTCACTACAGCCTTGAACTCCTGGGCTGAAGCGGTCCTCCCGCCTTAGCCTCCCAAGTATCTGAGACTAGAAGCATGCACAACTGCACCTGGCTAATTTGATTTATTTTATGTTTTGCAGAGACATGGTCTCCCTTTGTTGCTCAGGCTGGTCTTAAACTCCTGGTTTCAAGTGATCCTCCTGCCTTGGACTCTCAACGTGCTGGGATTACAGGCCTGTGCCAGCACAGCTGGCCCCCCAATTCTTCAAAAGCTTTCAGACAAAACATTGTAGAAGACATGACTTTGTGACTGTAAGTTTCATCTGATCCTGCATCACTAGGAAGGCTCATTCTTAAGAAGTCATGTCCCATGGAAAAGGGATAAAGACAAATCAGAAAAGGGCAAAGGGAAGTCACAGCAACAAAGGGACAGTATAATCCTGGAACCTTATTAAAGTCACACAACTGCTGCTTCAATTAGAGCAATTCGTTTAGCAAACACCACTCTAACCCTTTCAGTTGTATCTTGGCTCACCTGTAATGTCTGGAGCAGTCTATAGACTAGGTTTTCTAGAGTTTCTGAAGCATCTTCCAATTGCAGTGGTAATCTGACACATTTCTCTAAATTGCAGTCTGAATACAGTGTTCATGTGTACCTTTTCTGTAGTCCACACATCAGCAGGCACAAGGGTTGTTTATATGTAAGTTGCTGTGATTTCTCCAGAAGTTTACATAAGTTGTTGAGTTTCAGCTTGCAAGCTTTAATCTATCCATCTGACAGAAGGCTAATATCCAGAATCTACAAGAAACTTAAACAAATTTACAAGGAAAAAAACCAAACAAGCCCATCAAAAAGTGGGCAAAGCACATGAACAGACACTTCTCAAAATAAGAAATTTATGTGACCAAAAAACATACGAAAAAAAGCTCATCATCACTGGTCATTAGAGAAATGCAAATCAAAACCACAATGAGATACCATCTCATGCCAGTTAGAATGGTGATCATTAAAAGGTCAGGAAATAACAGATGCTGGAGAGGATGTGGAGAAATAGGAACGCTTTTACACTGTTGATGGGAGTGTAAATTAGTTCAACCATTGTGAAAGACAGTGTGGTGATTCCTCAAGGAACTAGAACAAGAAATACCATTTGACCCAGTAATCCCATTACTGGGTATATACCCAAAGGATTATAGGTCACTCTACTATAAAGACACATGCACACATATGTTTATTGCTGCACTATTCACAATAGCAAAGACTTGGAACCAACCCAAATGCCTATCAATGATAGACTGGATAAAGAAAATGTGGTACATATACACCATGGAATTCAATGCAGCCATAAAAAAGGATGAGTTCATATCCTTTGCAGGGACATGGATGAAGCTGGAAACCACCATTCTCAGCAAACTAACACAGGAACAGAAAACCAAACACTGCATGTACTCACTCATAAGTGGGAGTTGAACAATGAGAACACATGGACACAGGGAGGGGAATATCACACACTGGGACCTGTTGAGGGGTGGGGGACCAGGGGAGTTATAGCATTAGGAGAAATACCTAATGTAGATGATGGGTTAATGGGTGCAGCAAAACACCATGGCACGTGTATACCTATGTAACAAACCTGCAGGTTCTGCACATGTATCCCAGAACTTAAAAGTGTAATAAAAAAAAGATAAAAATTTAAAAAGCACAGTTTTAATTTATAATATACCAAAATGGAAGAAAAATGGGAGAAAATTCTGAAACCATTAGTTTTGAAATTTGTAGCCAGGAAAAAATTTAGGATTCAGTCCAAATTGTAGGTAAATAACAAAATTAAAAAAAAAATGAACAAATTTAATAGCCGTTGTTTTGTTGTTTTCTTCTGAAAAATAATTTTCCCCCTCCTGTCTCCCATTTTTATGAAACAGAAATCATATGGGACCAATGTATTTCCAAAATAAGTTTTAGTCTTATACCTGGATTGTTTACATAAACTGCAGCAAGAATGTAGATTCAAGGCCTCTATGAATACATATTTTACATATATATATGTATAAATATAAGAGTATATATATTCTATCATGTAGAATGGCACTAAAGTATATTAATGGCAGCAAATCTATACAAGTCTGCAGCAGCCTCAATTCTTGCTTCTTCAGAAGAAAGAATTCAACTAAGCATCATAAGGCAGAAGAAGAGACATAGGCAAATTTTAGAGCAAGAGTGAAAGTTTATTTAAAAGCTTTAGAGCAGAAATTAAAGAAAGTAAAGTACACTGAAAACAGGGTGAAACAGGCGATGAGATTTCAAGTGTGGGTTTGACCTTTGACTTAGGTTTTTTATGTTGGCGTAATTCTGGGGTCTGCATCTCTTCTCCCCTGATTCTTCCCTTAAAGTGGGCTGTCTGCATGTGCATTGGCCCACCAGCACTTAAAAAGGGAGCCTGTGTAGTGTGTTTCCTGGAGTACAGTTGGAAAACAGAGACCAAAATAAAAGCTATGTATGTAAATAAAACTGGTCTCCTTATAAAATGCTGTTATAAATTTCTATCATTTTTGTGTTACCTTGGCATCTACTTTTAATCTTCCTTGAACACACCCAAATTCCTTCTCTCTCTCTCTCTCTCTGTGTGTGTGGGGGTGTGTGTGTGCTTTGAGATGTAAATTTACTACCTACTTTCTCTAAAACTCAGCAAGGACTTCCTCAGATAAATGTTATCTTTTTCTATTTACAAAAGCACAATTTAAATCCAGCTGTCTTTTTTTTAACAGTGAGTTTTTTGGGTTCATGCATAAAGTTTTAAAATAAAAAATCTGAAGTGTTTCTGTCTCCCTCTATCTTTATGTGCACATGTATATGTTCTATGTTGTATCACATATCACATATGTATATGCCCCTACCTATGTTAATATATTGTTTATATGTGGTATCAAATTAACATAAAAATAAATGAGTACTCATCAATTAAGTAAATAATCCCAAATGCTTTTCAACACATGTGATGTTACTAATCTTCAATAAGGGAAGAACACCTGAATGAGCATGCATACCCATCTGCTGCCTCCTTAAAAAAATAATTATCAGGCCAGGCGCGGTGGCTCACTTCTGTAGTCCCAGCACTTTGGGAGGCTGAGGTGGGCGGATCACAAGGTCAGGAGATCGAGACCATCCTGGCTAACATGGTGAAACCCCGTCTTTACTAAAAATACAAAAACAATTAGCCGGGCCTGGTGGCAGGCTCCTGTAGTCCCAGCTACTCAGGAGGCTGAGGCAGGAGAATGGTGTGAATCCAGGAGGCAGAGGTTGCAGTGAGCTGAGATCCCACCACTGCACTCCAGCCTGGGTGACAGAGCAAGACTCCGTCTCAGAAAAAAAAAAAAAAAAAAAAAAAAATTAACAGTCAAGAATTTTGTATCCAGCAAAACTAAAGTCCATAAATAAAGGAAAGATAACAGTCTTTTTCAGACAAACAAATGCTCAGAGAATTTGCCACTACCAAGCCAGCACTACAATAACTGCTAAAAGGAGCTCCAAATCTTGAAACAAATCCTGGAAACACATCAAAACAGAACCTCTTTGAGCATGAATCTCACAGGACCTATAAAACAAAAATACAATAAATAAATGAATAAAACCAAGGTATTCAGGCAACAAATAGCAGGATGAATGGGACAGTACCTCACATCTCAATACTAACATTGAATGTAAGTGGCCTAAATGCTCCACTTAAAAGATACAGAATTGCAGAATTGATAATAATTCACCAAGCAAGTATCTGCTGCCCTCAAGAGACTCCCCTAACCATAAAGTGTCACATGAACTTAAGGTAAAAGGGTAGAAAAAGACACCCCATGCAAATGGCCACAAAAGTGAGCAGGAGTAACTATTCTTATATCAAAAAAACTAACTTTAAAGCAACAGCACTTAAAAAAGACAAAGAGGGACATTATATAATAATAAAAGGACTTGTCCAACAGGAAAATATCACAATCCTAAATATATGTGCACCTAACACTGGAGCTCCCAAATTTATATAGCTATTACTACTAGACCTAAGAAATGAGATAGACAGTAACACAATAATTGTGAGGGACTTCAGTACTCCACTGACAGCACTAGACAGGTCATCAAGACAGAAAGTCAAGGAAGAAACAATGGATTTAAACTATGCCCTAGAGCAAATAGACTTAAGAGATATTTACAGAATATTCTACCCAACAACCACAAAATATACATTCTATTCATCAGCACATGGAACTTTCTTCAAGATAGGCCACATGATAGGCCACAAAACAAGTCTCAATACATTTAAGAAAATTAAAATTATATGAAGTACTCTCTCAAACAACAGTAGAATAAAACTGGAAATCAACTCCAAAAGGAACCTTCAAAACCATGCAAACACATGGAAATTAAATAACTTGCTCCTGAATGATCATTGGGTCAAATATGAAATCAAGATGGAAATTTAAAAATTCTTCTAACTGAACAATAGTGATGCACCCTATCAAAATCTCTGGAATACAGCAAAGAGCATGCTAAAAGTTTATAGCCTTAAATGCCTACATCAAAAAGCCTGAAAGAGCAGAAATAGACAATCTAAGGTTACATTTCTAGAAACTCAAGAAACAAGAACACACCAAACCCAAACCCAGCAGAAGAAAGAAAATAACCAACATCAGAGTAGAACTAAATGAAATTGAAACAAAATAATACAAAATATAAATAAAATGTAAAGCTGATTTTTGGGAAAAATAAATAAAATTGATAGACCATTGGCAAGATTAACCAAGAAAAGAGGAGAGAAGAGCCAAATAAGATCAATTAGAAATGAAATGGGAGCCATTACAACCAACATTGCATCACTGCACTTCAGCCTGGGTGACAGAGAAAGACCCCCTCTCAAAAATGACAAAGAAAGAAATAGACAAAGCCCAATGCTGGCAGTGCTGTGGAACTAACATCTTAGGATTGATGGAGAGAGTGGACTCAGCACTTGTGGAAACAGCCATATTTCCTGGGGGCCATGAGGCCACATATGCCCTGTATAGACTGACCAGGGAGTGTTGGGCTACTACCCACATTTCATCTATTTGTCAGGCAAAAATGCTTTAAAGATCATTACACTTGATTTTCCTTTAACTAAAAAAAATGTGGGAATGCAATGGAATTGCCGAGTTGCATGGTGGGTGTATGCTGAAATTTTTAGAGGCTGCCAGACTGCTTTCCATAGCAGTTGTACCATCTTACATTCCCACCAGCAGCATGAACATTCCAGTGCCTCCACATCCTTGCCAACACTTGGCGTGGTCACTCTTTTTAATCTTAGCCATTCTAATAGTTCTGTAGTGGTATCTTTTTGTGGTTTTATTCTGCATGTTTTTCTTGAGACAGAGCCTCATTACGTTGCCCAGGCTGGAGTACAGTGGGCCCATCATAGCTCACTTTCTCTTCAGGAAACTCTTCCCTGATCTTTTAGTCTAGGTCAGAAGCCCAGTAATATACAGTCATGAAGCCACATATTTATTCTTTTTGTGTTGTTTTTTGAGATGGATTTTTTTTTTTTTTGCACTCCAGACTGGAGTGCAATGGCACAATCTTGGCTCACTGCAAGCTCCACCTATTGGGTTCATGCCATCCTTGTGCCTCAGCCTCCCAAATAGCTGGGATTACAGGCATGAGCCACCATACCCAGCTAATTTTTAAATTTTTGGTAGAGACAGGGTATTAGCATGTTGCCCAGCTGGTCTCAAACTCCTGACTTCATCGGCATCCCAAAGTGCTGAGATTACAGGCATGAGCCACCGTGCCTGGCTCAAGGTTGATTCTCTTTTTTTTTTTTTTTTTTTTTTTTGAGATGAAGTCTCGCTCTTGTCCCCCAGGCTGGAGTGCAATGGCACAATCTCAGCTCACTGCAACTTCTGCCTCCTGGGTTCAAGTGATTCTCCTGCCTCAGCCTCCCAAGTAGCTGGGATTACAGGCACACACCACCACACCCGGCTAAATTTTGTATTTTTAGTAGAGACAGGGTTTCACCATGTTGGCCAGGCTGGTCTCGAACTCCTGACCTCAGGTGATCCACCCGCCTCGGCCTACCAAATTGCTGGGATTACAGGCTTGAACCATCATGCCCAGCCAAGTTTGACTCTTAAGACTAGAAGCTTGCTACTTCAGAGTTGGTCTGAGGACTGAAATATATCACCTCTTATCCATCAGGAAATAGCACTACTTCTCTGGGCTTCAGTGTCCTCATTTGAAAATGGTAAAAATTCCTGCCCTGCAGGTAGGCGAGAAAGTTCAGAAGTGGTGTGACTAAAGTACTTCTTACCTAGCCAGGTGGTCTTGATTTTGAAGGCCTGTCTTGTCATTCAGAGGCTGTGGAATGGTCTCAGTGTTGGAACAGGGAGTGGCATTTGATGTTTGGTGTCATCTTAACCCTCACAGTCCCTGTAGTAGTTTGCTAGGGCTGCCATGACAAAATACTGTAGAGGAGTAGATAAGCAACAGGAGTTTATTGTATCACAGTTCTAGAAACTGGAAGTCCATGCACTTTCCTCCTCTGTAAGAGGTCACACAGTGTTTCCCATGAGCTCATATATATGGTGGAGGGAGAAACAGAAGGAGCAGGTGCCATGGGAGTCTGAGTCACCCATTGGGTCACTGGTGCCCTGGGACCTGCTTGAGCCTGACCCCATACACAGCTCTCCCTGGGATGCTGGAGGCTGGCTGTGCATGCCCCAGGTAACTCAGATGTCACCAGGACATGATGTGCCTTTCAGGTCCCAAAGCCCTTGGTGTCCTATGGTCAGGTATTTGAATTCCACTAAGCCCAGGGATAAGCCAAGAGCTGCTTCCTGAATCAAGAGTTACCTGTAGGAGGAGGCGTGGTCTTTCTCTAGAACCTCCAGTTCTGCACAGTGAATCTTTTAGAGCTTGTGAAAGGCTGCATAAAATAATACACCGGATTTGGAACATAGACACTCTTACATTTGTTAGTTTCTTTTCTTTTTCTTTTTTTTTTTTTGGTTGAGATGGAGTTTAACTCTGTCATCCAGGATGGAGTGCAGTGCTGCCATCTTGGCTCACTGCAACCTCCACTTCCTGGGTTCAAGCAATTCTCTTGCCTCAGCCTCCCGAGTAGTTGGGATTACAAGTGCCTGCCACCATGCCTGGGTAATTTTTGTATTTTTAGTTGAGACGGGGTTTCACCATATTGGCCAGGCTGGTCTCAAACTCCTAACCTCAAGTGATCCACCCGTCTCAGCCTCCAAAAGTGCTGGAATTAGAGGTGTGAGCCACCATGCCCAGCCTCATTAATTTCTTAATAGGCTCTTTCAGGAGTTATTGAGAAGAATATTTTACAATTCTAAGTGGAATATTTTAGCAGGAAGGACCATGGTTTATTTCTACGATAATTCTATTGTGGCTTAAACAGTTTCTTTTTTTATAATTTGGGGTATTCCCTCTACCACCTATTGTTGACTTTCGATCTTTGATATTTACCCTATGCAAATTCATCAACCCCTGATTTTACTTCTTCAAAGCCAGCATGAGGCTAGTCAAGCCTGGTTTCCTCTTACAGGAAGTAAGTCTTTGGCCCCATGGTATTTGTGTAACCAGGTTACAAGATTTAAAAATCTATTGCAAGTGACAGTAATTAAAAAAAAAAAAATCAAATGTGGGCTACTCTGGAAAAAGAAAGCATTGGAATGTAGACTTTATTTGTTCATTTGCAGAGACGTGAATCAGCTTATACTCGTTTGATTTCCACATTATTCATGGAGAGTCTAAAGTCAATTTCTGGGAACAAAAAACCAACTTGAAAAGCTGTTTAAATTCTATTAGTGGGACTTCCAAAGGTATAAGGGTTAAGAAAAAGAGAGGAGAAAAGAGAAAAGAGGGGTAGGGAGAAATGAAAAAGTGACACGAATGTGAGCCAGACAATGGAGATGGAGAAAAAGCAGTCAAGAGGGACAGAGGGCGCGGTGGAGGTCTGCAGGATCTGAAGATCCGCCTGTCTTCTCCGGACGCTCACCTCTTACCTGATCCCAGAAACAGACTGAGCTTTAACTCTGACCACATATTCCTCAGGGTGACGGAGAGTGGGGCCACCTGCACCCTGCCAGCCTTCCACAGCCCCTCTGCATGGGCTCTGCCCCGCACCCTACACGTGCTCTGAGGCATCCTATTGCAACAAATGACTTCCTCGGGCTTCCATTCCCTCCACCGCCTCTTTCTTCTCGCTCAAGCATCTTCAATGGTCTGGATGGGTTTCTTTGCTTCCATTTGTCACCTTCCACTCACTGGTCCTCGTCCACTTCCATCTTCCCCTTTCTCTAACATTGCTTGTACTGAGATCAGCAACATCCTCCTTTATTGCTAAACCTGCCAGGAACTCACAGGTTAGTTTTGCATCCTTTGACACTGAGGGCCATTTCTTTTCCTGGAATAATCTCTGTGAGGCAAATATACATTTTTAAAAATTTTGTTTAGCCTGTTGCAAAAAGATAAAGAGACTCTCCTCTTTTCGCTCAGAGCATTTTCTATTCATTCATTTATTCATTTATTCATTCATTCATTCATTGACAGAGTCTCCCTCTGTCACCCAGGCTGGAGTGCAGTGGTGCCATCCAAGCTTACTGCAGCCTTAACTTCCTGGGCTCAGGTGATCCTCCCTCCTTAGCCTCCTGAGTAGCTGGGACTACACGCACACCCCACTATGCCCAGCAAATTGATTATTATTATTGTGTGTGTGGAGATTGGATCTTGCTATGCAGCCTAGGCTGGACTTTGAGAGCATTTATTTTTTAGAAGAGGTAATTGAAAATTCTTTCTCTAGCCCTTGAAGATGTATGTAAAGCTTTCTAAAGCATACATAAACATCTTGCCTGCCAACCCAGAACTGTCCTCCTCAAGGCCATAGGAGACCTCTCTTTGAAAGGCAGGCATCCGGGCAGAAGGCGCCCCTGTCTCCCAGTTTCTGTGAGAAGGAAGGAACCTCAGTTCTTGGGGCATCTCACTCCCAGTTGCAAAACTACCTCCTGTCATAGATAAGAGGTTTGTTTTTCCTGTAGATAAAGCCAATTAACCACACAGAGAATCAACCCACTTACTGGGTGAATTTAGGATGAACTATGTGTGACAAATGGTGCCATTGAGTCCTTTCAACTGGAAACTAGTCACCGTCTATCTGGAGACCATGTGTGTAACGGGTTGCACCTGCTTGGCTGGATCCAAAGTGGGATTTATTTCTGACTTTGTCATCTCTCAGCAGATTGCATCACATTTTGGCTTAATGCTTAATCATAAGACAGGTTTCTTTTACGTCTACGGATGTGATGGGGGTTTCTGGGATGAGCAGAAATTTCTTTCTTAATTATATTTTTCCAGCACCC
The DNA here is from genome assembly GCF_000001405.40 of Homo sapiens. Classification (NCBI taxonomy): domain Eukaryota; kingdom Metazoa; phylum Chordata; class Mammalia; order Primates; family Hominidae; genus Homo; species Homo sapiens. The sequence goes on along the minus strand of NC_000019.10, from coordinate 43,152,258 downwards.
CCCACCCAACCTGCCCCACCTTCTCTGAAGCTACTTCCCCCAGGCTTTAAAGGCGGCTGCTCCCCGGGGTTCCTCCCGGGCCCTGCCTCTCCTGGTTCATCTGATCTCCCACCCTGGAGGCATCATAGCTTCCCTCCCTTCCATGTGCTGATGCCTCTCGGATCTCTAACTCTAGGCAGAAAACAGCTTCTCAGTTCCTCAGCTCAAATACCCACCTTGGGACGGGCATCTTCACCGGGACATCCCGCTGGAAACTCTCCTGGTGGAACACGGTGCATGTTCTCTGGCTGCCCTGCAGTTTTTAAATGCCACCAGTACACATGGGGAATGTTCTTCTTTCCCAAGGAGGAAGCCGGAAAGTTCATTTTCCCAGCACTCCTTGCAGGAGGGACACCGACACGGGTCCAGGCTTTCCCCATTAGGTGCTCCCGTGAAAGACTCAGGATCCTGAACAGCACCAGGAAGCAGAGGGTGCATGGCACCGATTTGCTTTTTGTTTTTGTTTTAATTTTTTCAGTGGGGATCGGGGACAGAAGCTTCTGGTGTAGAAGCTTCTGGACCCCAGGGCCAGCCTCAGCAGTGCAGGGTGCAGGGTGTGGTTTCTGCCTCCTGCGGTAGCCAGAAGGTCTTGACCAGAGCTGTCCTGTGCCTGTGGTTTGGTCCTTGCCCTGGGCCCTGTGGCCTCCAAGCTGGCTTCATGAGGGCCCTTGGAGCTTGGTGACCTTCCTACCCTGTCCTTTAACCAGTCCCTTTTCTGCTTCTTGCTGGAGTGAGCTGGGAGGTTTTTTCTGAATCTGCTCCTGTCCTGGGTTCTCCCTTAGGGAAGGGCACCCTGGGCACATGACCCCTCAGCCAGATGCCCAGCAGATGCTCTCATGCTTCCACTTTCCTTGCCCCTTTACGTCCGGTGATCACTCCTTTCTGTCCTTTCCATGTCCTACATCTCTCTCTGTTGTGTCCTGTCTTCTGCACCCTGTGGCCTCCACCTAGGTTTGCATCACCACCCATTCCTCCTTGAATGCATACAGTTGTCTCCCTGGGTCTACCTGTCTCCACAGTGGCCACCAGCATCCGAGCCAGCTTCTTCTCTGTGTCAGAGATGATCTTTTTCAGGCCTCCTCTGGCCATGGCCCTCTCCTGCTCCTCTTTCCAGAGTTCCCAAGTCTCCGGGATGCACTCCAGCTGCTAAGAGAGGCCTCAAAGTTTGGGTGATGTGGCCTCCACAGTCCTCCTGAGCAGCCGCCCACCTACCCTTATCCTTTAGCTCCATTACATTTCCTTTTTCTGTTTAATTTTTTGAATAGGTGTTGTATTTAGATGGCTCAGAAATTTGCATCTGTGTGTATCCGTATATGTGTGCAGGCATGAAGAGCCTGTGTCTCATACCTGTTCCCTGTGCACCCAGGTCCTAGCCCCACACCAGCCTCAGTGGCCAGCTATGCTGTTCATGACCTGCAAAGCTTTCTACAGCTGTTTTATGCAAAACAATAGGAATTATTGCAAATTATGGTAAAATATATATAACATAGAATTCAACATTTTGACCACTTTTTTTCTTTTCTTTTCTTTCTTTTTTTTTTTTTTTTTTGAGAAGGGGCCTCGTTCTGTCACCCAGCCTGGAATGCAATGGGGTGATCTCAGCTCACTGCAACCTTCACCTCCTGGGTTCAACCGATTCTCCTGTTTCAGCCTCCTGAGTAGCTGGGACTACAGGTGCATGCCACCACACCCGGCTAATTTTTTCTATTTTTAGTAGAGAGGGGATTTCATCATGTTAGCCAGGATGGTCTCGATCTCCTGACCTCGTGATCTGCCTGCCTCGACCTCCCAAAGTGCTGGGATTAGACGTGAGCCACCTCGCCTGGCCCATTTTAACCACTTTTAAGTGTACATCCAGTGGCAGGAAGTACATTTAGGTTGTTGTTCAACCACCACCACTGTCCATCCCCACCCAGAACTTTTTCATATTCCCCAACTGGAATTCTGTACCCATTAAACACCAACTCCTCTTTCTCCCTCCCTCCAGCCACTGACAACCACCTTTTCATTTTCTGTCTATGCATTTCATGACGTTAGGCACCTCTGTTAAGTGGAATCATGCAATATTTGTCTTTTTGAGTCTGGTTATTTCACTTAGCAGAAAGAGCTCAAGACTTATTCACGTTGAAGCACGCATCAGAACCACCCTTCCTGTTATGGCTGAATCCCATTCGTTTGTATGTATAGACCACGTTTTGTTTATTCATTCACAGATGGATGGACACTGGGCTTGTTTCCAACTTTTAGCTATTGTGAATAATGCTGCTATGAACAAAGACATGCAAATATCTGCTGGGGCCCCTGCTTTCCATTCTTTTTGGAATACACCAGAAGCCGAATTGCTGCATCTTGTGGTAAGTCTATGATTAATTTTTTGAGAAACGACCACAGTGGTTGCACCATATTACATACCCACAAACACTACACAAGCGTTCCAATTCCTCTTCGCCAACACTTTTCTTTTCTGTTTTTCTCTTCTTTTTTGAGAACAACCATTGTAATGGATGTAAGGTGGTATCTCACTGTAGTTGTGATTTTTATTTTCCTAATGATTAGTGATGTTGAGCATGTTTTCATGTGCTTATTGGCCATTTGTAAATTAATTTTACATTTCCTCCTTTGTAATGTAAGAGGTAGCACACCGTGCATTGTTCTGCTTCTTGTTTTTCTCACTGTGTGGTGTATCTTGGAAACCTTTCCCGGTGCACAGACAGAAGGATACCTCATTCTTTGCCACAGCTGCCCAGTATCCATGATGAGGATCATGGCTCATGACCTAGTTCCCTACGGATAAACATCAGGGTCGTTCCTGGTCTGTGGCCATCACCAACACTGCCGTGACTAGTCTAGAATGGGTGCCATTTCATGCATTTGCAATTCCCAGAAGTACACTGGTTAGTCAGCAGGTGAGTGCATTGGTGAGAGGATGTGACTCCAGTCTCAGGAAATATGGAAACCTTCTTCCCTTTCTAGCTCCAGCACCCCCAGTCTGGACAGCATATGGAAAGCACACATGATCATTTGAAAATCACAAAATAACTCTAAATTTCTGCACAAGTAGGTCATCTACCACTTGTCATTCTAATCCCACACTAGGCACTTTAAGAACATGTGCCCCTGGGATTTTGCTATACCCTTTTCTTATGTTGGTACCCACCTTGTGGTGACTGAGGGTACTCTTAATATCCCCAAGTCTGAGGAAACTGAGGCACAATTCGATTATCCACTTATGAAGTGGTGAAGCTGTGAATTAAACTTATAAGACATATCCACTTCACACTCCAGAAAACTTCATCATTCCCAACATTATTGTCTTCCACCATTGGGAAAGAAATACTTTTCTTGGTAATTAGAGGAGAAAAGGTGTTTGGTGTTACATTGTCACTTTCTTGGTGTAGACCAGATACTTGCGGGTCTTTCCTAGGGCCAGTGAGTCCTAACATGTTTGAACATCTACCCATGCTATTTAAGGCAGCACACCAAACACATTCCTGCTTCAACTGCAGTATCTGTTTCATCAAGAAGAGTATTTTCCTTAAACAAGTTTGAGGTGCCTACTACTTGGGGAAATACTAAGCCTTTGGTATGCTTCTGCTCATCTAGGCATGATAGGGCTCCCTCATTACTTTGGTCTTCAGTTTTCTGAATCTGCTTCTGGAAAACACTGCAAAATGTCATTTTTGGGAACTTCTGCTTTGCAAATACTTTTCATGCCTATGTGATGTGCTGTTATTCTCTCTCATTTCCTTGCTGACATACAGTCATGTTTATGAAGGAAGTTATGAGCCAGTTAAGACTGGAGCTGAGTCAGCTAGATTTGCATGCATTTTCAGCCCCAGTGCAGGCTCCTACAAGTCATCACATGTCTAGTCTCAAAGTACTTGTAGAATAGCATCTGATTATTATTAAGTAGATTTTTTAAGGCCTCTCGAGGATAAAGATCTGAGGTGTTATATCCATTGCTTTCCTCCCTCACACTGTTTTTGACTTTTAATTCTTCCCTTTATCCACTTTAATTTCTAGTCTCCCACTGCTAATTCTCCATATGACCCATCCCCACCACCACCACCCTCAACAGCCACCAGTGAGAATTCTTACTACCTGAACTTTACTGTGACAAAAATCAACCTTGGAACTGTGGGCTAAATAGTTCCAAGAGTCCTGATGAAGTTCTCAGATGCAGGCAAAGCTAGGTCTCCTGATACCCTGTCTTAGTCAGTTTTGCATTGCTATAAAGGAATACCTGAGTGAGGCTGGATAATTTATAAAGAAAAGGTTTATTTGGCTCACAGTTCTGCAGGCTGTACAAGAAGCATTGCACCAGCATCTGCTTCTGGTGAGGCCTCAGGGAGCTTCCACTCATGGTGGAATGGGAAGGGGAGCTGTTGTGTGCACAGATGACATGGTGAGAGAAGCAGCAAGAGAAAGAGGAGAGGAAGGTGCCAGGCTCTTTCTAACAATCAGCTCTTGCAGGATTGAATAGAGAACCCACTCATTACCATGAGGGCAGCACCAAGCCATTCATGAGGGATCTGCCCCCATGACCCAAACACTCCCCGTAAATCCCCATCTCCAACATTGGGGATCAAATATCAACGTGGGGTTTACATTTTCCTGCAAACTCATGTGCTGTGCACTCCCTCATGTCATCTATGAATGATCACCTGCCCCAGGACTTCGTTGAAGGAAAAGCTCAAATCATATTCTAAGAGTTCTGGGGGTAAAAAAGCAAAAAACTAACTCTACTGACTCCCTTGTTTGTCTCCCAGTGTTTATGGAGGGTGACCGGTGTTCACAGCCCTCTGCCAGGCATGGCAGATACAGAGGTCAAGGAGATAGACATAGCTCTGCCCCCGTGGAACTTGTAATATAGTTGGGGAGACATATGAAACCATTGCTCACGTGAAGGTCTGATTGCCAATTATTACACAGGCTAGCAAGGGAAAGAACAGAGTCAATGACAGAACGGCTCTGGGCACCTAACTTAATTCAGGTCTTGTAAGGCCAAGGAGTGGGCCTCACTACAGAAATGGCGTGGAAGGTGAAATCAGGAAGGAGTAGAAGTCCAGTTTCTGAAAAGTTAGAACACAGATTCATCATATAACTCAGCAATTCTACTCTTTCATGTCTACCCACCCCCCAAAAAATGAAAACATATGTCCACCCAGAAACTTGTACATGCATGTTCACAGCAGCTCTATTGATAATAAAAGGAGGAAATGACAAGAAACTACCAAAAGAGAACAATGTGAAGGGCTGGGTGGAAGTTGGTTCTTCAATGAAATCTCACAAATTCCAGTGTTTCTAGTACTTCTTACCAACACTTACATGTATTCACCCTAATTAGCTCATGTGAAAAGGATCTTCCTGTATTTCTAACGAGCATAATTTGGAGAGTAGATAGATCTCAGGTAAGGATTTTGGAGCATGACAAATGAATTACTGGACTCAGTCCATTTTCTAACTTAACATCACTCGCTTACTTAGCAGTACGTGATGTTGGTGAGAAGAACCAGCAGAGGACACAGGAATTAGAAGAAGAGCTCACATCTGTCCATGATTTCTATTGCATTTCAGTTTATGTGGTCATTGGAGACTCAGTTTGTGAAGGTAAGCCAATCCTTGCTTTGAGGAAAATATACATCTTTAGGGGAAGATGGGTCTTACCAGATGAAAAGATAATAAATGAAAAGAGGGAGAAGGGAATGCATGGTGGCCCTGAGAAGCCAGAGAAGACAATTACATGAACATGGACGTCAACCACCGAATGTTGTGTAGGTCAAAAAAGAAAAGCAAAGGACTGGAGACCAAGCAGAAGGGCTCACACCCCTACCAGCTACTCAGGAAGATGAGGGTGAAGGATCTTTTGAGCCCAGCAGTTTGAGACCAACCTGGGCAACAGAGTGAGACCCCTGTCTCAAAAAAAAAAAAAAAAAAAAAAAAAAAAGAGAGTGAGAGACTGGGAAGTAGAAGCTGAGATGATATGAGGGTCACCTGTGGCTTGGACAGGATTAATGCAGGGACCATTGGAGATCAGAGACAAACTGGAGAAGGCTGCACTGAAGAAGTGCAGATCATGAATGTAGAAAGCTTGAGAAGTTTTTCCAATCAGGAAAGCCAAGACGTGGGGCTGTCACTACAGGGCAAAACAGAGCCTGCAGGGAGTCATGCAAAAGTATTTGTCTCTTTTGAAGTTTGGTGTGACATGAGGGATTCAAAGAGAGTTGACAGAGGAGGGGAAGCTTTTAAACTCCAGATGATGAAAAAGCTCAGAAAGGAATCTTAACGTTCTTCCAAAGGGGATGAGATGGACAGAGTTTAAATTTCTCTTTCAAAAAATGATGCCTTCGAGGGAACAATAAGAGGAGAGCAGGCTAAGAGTTCAGCCAGGTGGATGAAAAGCATGGTTTTTTCAGTTAAATTTGTGTAGTCCTGCAAGTGTAACACAGACAGATAATTCCAGAGCTCCTGGGTCACCATTCCCTCTATCTTCTCAGACCCCACTCAGCAGAAGAGATGTTTGTTTATGGCTCCACCCAGGAAGTAACTGCAAGCTCCTATGACTTCAGCATCTGAAAAGTACTTCAGATCCAAACTCTGGCTTCCTGCCCTGAACGGAGTTCATCCCCACTCCCCTGTCACCCTGCATAAGATTTCAGGGTGACATTGTCAGATGTGGTCATTAATCTCCTTTTAAAAATGCAAATCACCTCAGAACATGACTCTGCTCATCACCTGTTTAATCAGATCGCTTCCTTCTCATTTGTAGTTGAGAAGTGCTTGGAAGACGGAAGCAGGGAAGAGGGCAAGGAAAGAAGGGGAGGATGGGAAGCAAAACACTTTTGAAGAAGAAGCACAGCAGGAGAGGAAGTAGGTTTGAGCAGGTACTTGATAGGACGTTGGAGAGGTTGAGTGTAACAGGCCAGAAAGAAAGAGGGAGCTAAGAAGAGGGTTGTCAAGAGATTTGGAGAGGGGGTCTCAGGAAGGGGATGACAGTAGACAGCATGATGTCCCGAGCACTCATGTCTGTTATTCAGTTCTTGGGTGGAGGAGGTAAATGTGCATATGGGAAGACAGGATTAGAAAACTACCATCTGAGCTGTTGGGGGCCTTTCTTGAATACCAGAGGAGCCCAGTAGCATTCTAAAAAGTAGAACACTGCACGCATGCTACAAAATTCAAGCACTTATTTTCCTTGCACAATTCAGGTCCTGCTGTCTTCTTTGAAAACTCAGTGACACCCCTACTGTGGGCAGCACAAATGTAGCAAGATCAGGTTTGGAGAGCAGCATGCCCTGTACTCTCCAGGGAAGAGTGTCCAGTGTCTGGAGGCAAATCACTGTGACCTTTTTTTGTCCCCCTGACCTTTCCTGGGACACTTCCACAGGGCAGCTTTTCCATGTGTGAAGAGCCCTGTGGTAGCAGGCACTTGGCTGACTCTTTTCTATGGTGGGCACAGATTGGATGGGAGTATCCTGTCCTGAACCAGCTTCTAGAGCTGACCGCCAGCTCCGAGGAGGCACAGGTGCCCACACATGAGGGTCTGCATATGAAGGTGATGTTGTGTGGGTCCAGCTTTCCAGGGGAAGCAGAATTGGGGCCCAAGTTCATAAAGAATCCCACCCCCACACCAGTGCCCAGGGTGGGGTTGCAGGCCAAGGGGCTGACCACGGGTGCTGGGAGAGTTCCTCCATGCTGAATTTTCAGCCTTTGTTTGGATAGAGAGTTATATGAAAATGGCAGATGTCTGTGTGATGGTCCCTTACCTGTGAAGGTCAGAGGTGATGAACTCATGAAAGAAACCCAAAATTCTCTGTTTTACGATTGGAATGGTTAGTATTCCTCCTCCTAACCCAACCATGTTATGGCCTGGAGGGCATTTTTAAACATTATTCTGTGCCATTTTCTGCACTGATTGGAGTCTGCATTTCTCCCGAAGAATGTCACTATTATGCCCCCAAATTAGACACTCACTCATAGCAGCACCCATAAAGATAAAGTTTTGAACTCAACACTGGATAGTCATTTCCAAACCAACATTGTTATACATTATTTAAAGAAAGTCTTTGCACTCCCATTAGGCTGCTCAGGCAGCCATAACAAAGTCCCACATATGGGAATGCTTAAACAGCAGAAATTGTTCTTACAGTTCTAGAAGCTAGAGGTCTGAGATCAAGGTGTCAGCAGGGATGGTGCCTCCTGAGGCCCCTCTCCTGGGCTTGTAGATGGTGTCTTCTCCCTGCATCCTCACAGGGTCATCTCTCTGTGTGTGTCTGTGTCCTCATCTCCTCTTCTTAGAAGGACACCAGTCCTATTGGATTAGGGCCCACCCATGTGACCTCATTTTACTTTAATTTCCTCCTTAATGACCCATCTCCAAATACAATCATTCCCGGTACTGGGTGTAAGGATTTCAACATAAGAGTTTTGGGGTAGGTGTGGCACAATTCAGTCTGTAACATTTCTGTTATATAATGCACTTGTAAATATCATTAATTTTCAAGTAAACCTTGTTGATGGTTGCTTCAAATCTGCCTTTCTTTTAAAAATATCTGTTGTGAGATATTCAAAGGAAAACCTTCCTTCATTAGAAATGAAGGGACACACCTGTAATCCTAGCACTTTGGGAGGCCAGGGCAGAAGATCGCTGAGCTGAAAAGTTTAAGGCCAGCCTGGGCAACATAGGGAGACCCAATCAATACAAAAAAACTTAAATATTAGTGGGGCATGGTGGCAAACACCTGTAGTCCCAGCTACTCAGGAGGCTGATGCAGGAGCATCACTTGAGCCTAGGAGTTCAAGGCTGCAGTGAGCTATGATTGTGCCACTATACTCCAGCCTGGGCAACAGAGTAACACTCCATAAATAAGTAAATAAATAAATACAGAAATAGACCCCATCTCTAAATAAATAAATGCATACATAAGTGAATGAATGAAATGAAGGAACAATCCAAGGAAAGAACAATATTCATCCCAATGGGATCTTGAGCTCTGAGTAAACCTAGGATTTTCTTCCATCCTTTAAATGTATGACTTTTTTTCCTATAATTTCCTTTTTGTTGTTTTAATATAAGTATATAGTAACATGAAGTGACTAAGTAACATGTATTCATTTCTTCCCAATCACAATGGTATGAGTTTTGAGAATAATATTGGTCTATGTATCAATTTTGAACTTTTTTCCCCTACCCATTGCACTATACTACTGGGAAGAATCCCTGTTCTTTTTAAACCTTTTCGTTTGTTTATGTTGGTCAAATGCTACAAGCAAGAGGTATCAAAACTAATGTCTTTCTGTAATCTCTCAGAAATCTACACACTTCACCTAATTTTAATTATTTTTAAAGATTATATTAAGCATCATGAAAATGAAAAGAACCCCCTATGTGTTCACTGTTGGGGGCTCTGAGGGTGATTTATACAACAAATTGGAATCCTCTTTCGTGTATTGCCAGCCTAAGTCACATAGCCCAGATGGATGCTCCCTAATATTTCATGTAAATATCTGCTAGGCTCACCTAGGCCAAATGTCTGCTGCACTCATCTGGGCCAACATTTTGGGAATTCCCAAGAGAAGGCTTTCTGCACAACAGCATGTTGAGCTCAAGTGGGAAAAATATACTCTATAGCACAGATAAAACGGGAGGGAAAGAATAAAATTTAAATTAAGGTAAAAGGATATATATATATCTGCATCCTCTGGTGCATTTCAAACAAATAGCTTAGAATTCAGTGTGGCTGTCGATATAAGCAATCTAATTGTTTTGGATTAAAGAAAAAAATGATGGCTCTATACATCCCTCTAATAGAATTACAGTTCCTCATCAGGTTTCTTCCTGTAGCTCCTCATCCTCATTAATAGCATTTTTGCATAGTCTGTCCTTATACAGCATTAAAACTGCCATCATTAGACTGGTAAAATTTTCTGTGCCTTATACCTGTGACTTTTTGGATTTGACTAGATTGGACATTCTCTTCAGTCCCCCCCTCACCCCATGAGATTCATTGGAAAGAAACAAAAAGGAATGAATTTGAAAGAAGGAATTTATCTTTTCTTTTCAAATGGTAGTGTAAGTATATTTTTGTCTGATTTCCTTTATGAAACCAATCCAAAGCAAACAAGAGAAGAAGAAACAAACAAATGTTATCTTTGATGAAGCTACAGGTCCCCTATAACCCTGGATCACAGTAGATGCAGGAAGATAGCCAAGTGTATGAGAAGTGGATGGAGGTATTTGGGAAATCCAAGAGAAGATGTCTTTCTATGTGTGACTCAGGCAGAGTGGACTCAGCTCGTAGTTATCCAAAGTGGATGAGTGGCACACATTGAAAGGAAATGTGTCTATCCCATGCTTAGAAAGTTAAGATCAAGGTTCATGGCCTGGTTTTGGAAGCCTACATCATGTTTCAATCATGGCATAGGATAGAAGGAAGAGTCAATAAGATAAAAGCTACCTGGCCGTCTTTGCCCAAAGCTGCCTGGTGAAGATAAGTCAAGGTAAAATAATCACGTTAAAATGTTCTGTAAAATGCACAGCCTCCTTGTGAGCCCAGAAGATGTCCTGCTATGCTGGACCAGATAACCCACAGGCCAAGTCCAGCTGAGAAAAATCCTAGAGATAACAGATTGAAACCCAATCTTCCCATTTGTTTGGCACATTCCTCTTCCCCTTTCACCAGAACTTTGCCCAAAATTCTAGTTTAAAAAGATGAGGAACAATGCTACTTAAAAAGGGTAGAGCCAGCTGGGGGCCTTTAAAATGATGCTGAAATGAAAAAAAAAGGACAGAACATGATTTATGACGATAACACCTGGAAAGATTATATACCACAATGGAGCCAAAAACCATGAACAAAGTTATTTCTAAGGAATCAATTAAAGACAATATTGTTTCTCTGAAATGAGAATTTAAAGACGCAATATAAGGCTTTAAGGAAGAACTGATAATACATTAGGTTAAACGGGAATGAAAAGTGAGTGGGTAAAGCCTCAGAAATAAATTAGGAATAAATGAGAATGAAAAGGGAGTAGACAGAGTCTTGGAAACAAATTAGAAACAAATGAGAATAAAAACAGAATAGGCAGAGCCTCAGAATCTCAGAGAGAGAGACACAAAAAGAGACCAAAATCAAAGGTCATGATAGAAGCAGCAAAAGGGAGATGAGACACTACTGAAGGAATTCAAAGGATGGTTTTGAGAAGAAAAAATGAGCAAGTGAGATGGAAAAGAACAAAAAGTAAAAGACGGAAGACAGAGATAGAGAAAAAGAGGGGGATGGGAGGGGTGGTAGGGAAGAGATCAAATATCTTTAACACTAAATGCCTTGCATGGGTTAAAAAATGAATGGAACATGAAAACAAATTTTCAAAGATACAATTCAAGGTGAAATTCCTGAAATACAATGAAATTTGAATCTGCAGACAGAAATAGCCCAAGAATTACAAGGCTGTGTTTATATTGAATAATTAACAAATACCCCAATAAATTCCTGGTATTTGAAGTTATGGAAAGAATTCTGTGGATATTCAGAAAAAAAAACCTAGGAGGCTAATATTTCTTTATGTGACAGATGAAATGCTAGAAGACAGTGGGGCAAGATATAAAAAGTCCTTGTCCCTTTTGTGTTGCTATAAAGAATACCCGAGGCTGCATAATTTATAAAGGAAAAGAGATGATTTGGCTTATGATTCTGGTGGCTGGAAAGTTCAAAATTGGGCATCTTCATCTGGTGATGGCCACAGCCTGCTCCCACTCATGGCAGAAGAGGAGGGGAAGCCAGCATGTGCAGAGATTACATGAGAGAGGAAGCAAGAGAGAAACCGGGAGGTGGCCCACTCTTTTAAGAAGCAGGTCTTGCAGGAACTAATAGAGGAAGAATTCATTCACCATCAGGAGAGGACATTAACCTATTCAATGGGAGGGCTCTGTCCCCATGACCCAAACACCTTCTATTAGGCCCAGCCTCCAATATTGGGGACTAAATTTCAACATGAGCTTTGAAAGGGTCAAATATCCTAACCTTAACAGTCCTCAGGGAAAGAAAATGTGCCCCAAGAATGCAACCAAACAAACTTCCATAAACTTCAAAGGCTACAAATAGCTATGTACAAACATACAACTCAGGAAATATATATTCATGAAGAAAACAAATGAGTAAAGGTTGGACTCTCAGCAACTGAGAGGAGCTGTGTCTAAAAGATTTCTTGTAATCTTTAACGATGCATTATGGTTAAATCTGTGCAAATTATGGTCACAGAGAAGAAAACAAATACCATCAACTGTGACAATGTGGAGATAATGTAAGTAACTGATTAAAAATAAAATAGCAAGTGTAGTTGAAACTGAAATTGACATCAAGGGGACACTGATTTTCTCATTTTTAGTTCCAAGATTCCAATATACGTTGTTTTAAAACTTATATCAGGCAAAACTGCACGTACAGCATGTGTATTCATTTCAGAAAAATAATTGCATAAGTGGTTAATGACACCAGGAAACCTAATTTTTGCAGACTATATATGTATTACCTCAAAATAAGAATATTATTGCATTACATTCATTTTAATAATATTTAGTAACAAACCCATATGTATCTTATAAAAAGTTATAGTCTATTTTGTTCCAATTCAATAAAAATCATTGATATTAATTAAGCAACTTCTATATACAAGGTGAGTAGTTTTCAACTGTGAGTCTGTTTTGTCTTAAGGAAGTTAATATCCCTTAATCCAAACTTTCAAAATAGTATTCAAGGAACAGGAATGTTATTCTTAAGTTGAAAATACTTTGCCCATACACATAATCTAGTTGGATCCATAAAGAGATTGTGGTATTTTGATACCTAATAATTTCTTTATTAAAAAAGAATTTATCCCCTAATAAAATTAAAAATAACTCTCTATGAAGATAGAGAACTAGACCTGCTGATGTTAAAAATGAAAAACTCAGTTGGATATTGCAGGTTTTCATGAGCAGCAGAGTGTCAGAGCTTTGGACATGAGTTGTTTCATTTTGCATTTCATAGCCCTGTGTCCAGAAACTTCATTTTGAAGTTTAGACAAAGTGGGGAGCAGAGGGCAGTATGGGCCAGTCCTGTGAATTTTGCAGTTCTGCATAGGTAGATTATTAGATAGATACACAATAGATAGATCATAGATGGATAATTATGATGATGATGAAGATAGATACATACATATATACATACATACATAGATGCATGGATGGACAGATTTGTTTTTTGTAAAAATTAAAATTATAAGAAACACCCACAAGACTCTACAATAATAATTAGAACTAAATCTCTCAGAGATGTATGTCTTGACATTCTGGGGCCAGAAATGACATTTTTCTTCTTTTTAAAATACCTTTCCTAGAAAGAGTTGCATGATGAATACTTCTTGAGGATACTGTTGAAAAAAATCTCCACATAGAAGTTTGAACTTTTCATGTAAAAAAAAGTGCATGTGTGAATCCAGAAAGCACATTTGTGTTACTCAGTATCACCACTTATATCAGTTGGGATGGTTCAATTTCAAGTTACATAATACCTGAGTCAGATTGGCTGAATCAACATGGACATGACTTTCTCAAGTTAAGGAAAGGTCCAAGGTAGGGCTGGTGCCCTGCTTTGTCTTGTCCCATCCATACCCTTTATTCCAAATCTCTCTCTTCTACCCTACCCTAACCCATAGCCAGCAAACTGTAATATGCCCTCAAATGTTTCTTAAAATATTCTTCTCAACTTCTGTCCTTAATTAAAACTAAGTTGTCCTCTGAGGACCCTGACTCTGTTTCTATCTGTCATCGCTTAGGGCTTGGTTGGGTCACAGACATGACTGCTGCTTCAGGACCATCTCCCTTCCTTTCACCTTGAAAAGTCCTGTCTCTTGACAAGTCATGCTATTCTGCTCTATTGGCATTTACCCATCTCTCTTTGCTGTCTTCTATCAATCTGCTGGTCACACCCCAGTATGTATTGACAATTGAAGCTCTGGGGTTCGCATGATACTTTCCACCTCACTCTTAGCAGTACATTGGCTTGGTTCAGCATCCATGTTGATGCCCTCCCTCCACTCCAGTTGTTCTTCCCTGAACTTTGTCATCACCACTTTTGGCACCCCCTTTAAAATCCCAATGTACCAATTCTCTCCAACCCCTAGACCATAATAAGCTCTAGGGAGCCAGGAACTATATGTTCCTTACATTCACCCACTCCACACCCCACACTCAGCCTCTGCCACATAGGACATGCTCAACAGATATTTGTTGAACAAATTAATGCCAAAATCAATTTTCCTGTCTTTTACAAATTCATTATTAAATGAAAACTTTAGACTTATTCTCAAGTTTCAGACAGAAAGTCTCTTTTTGGAGGTTGAGAAGGTATTTATTGTTAATTAAGGCATAATTTACATTAATAAAAATGCATAACCGTATTCGTCAAGGTTCTCTAGAGTGACAGAAGTAGTAGGATAGATGTATATACAAAGGGGAGTTTGTTAAGGAGCACTGACTCACGTGATCACAAGGTGAGGTCCCACAATAGGCCATCTGCAAGCTGAGGATCCAGGAAGTCAGTCCAAGTCCCAAAGCCTCAAAAGTAAGGAAGCCGACAGTGCAGCCTTCAGTCTGTGTTCAAAGGTCCGAGTCCCAGAGTTGAAGAACTTGGAGTCTGATTTTCGAGGGCAGGAAGCATCCAGCTGGGAGAAAGATGTAGGCCAGAAGACAAAACCAGTCTAGTCCTTTCCCGTTCCTCTGCCTGCTTTTATCCTACCACGCTGGCAGCTGATTAGATGGTGCACACCCAAATTGAGGAAGGGGCTGCCTCTCCCAGTCTACTGACTCAAATATTAATCTTCTTTGACAGTACCCTCATAGACACACCCAGGAGCAATACTTATATCATTTCAATCCAATCAAGTTGACACTCAATATTAACCATCACAATAACTTTTTGTGGTTTTTTAAAATTCTATTTTGAGTTGTAGGATCCTTTATATATTCTGATGAGTTTACACAAATATATTCACCTGTGAAAACATCAGCCTAATAAAGATAAAGAATATTTCCATCACTCCAGAAAATTTCCTCATATCACCAAACCCCAAAACTTCAGGCAACTGCTGTTCTTATTACCATGGCTTTCATGTTGCCTCTACTAGAACTTTATATAAATGGAATCATGCAACATATTCTATTTGGTATCTGGCCTATTTAACAACATACTATTTCTGAGATTTATATATGTTTCCATTGCAGGTAACAATAGTTATTCCTTTTTTTATCTGTTAGTAGTATGTCGTTATATGAATATGTAACAGTAAGTTTATCCATTTATCCTTTGGTAAGCATTTGGGTTCTGCTCCATTTGAAGTTATCATGAATAATGCTACAATGAATATCTGTGTACAGGTCTTTGTGTGGATGAATATATGTTTTCATAACTTTTTGGTATATATCTATAAATGGAATTGTTGAGCCATAGGGTAGTTATTAAAAGTAGTTGCACCATTTTATATTCTCACCTCAATACATGAGCATTCCAATTGCTCCACATCCTCATCAAAACTTAGTATTGTCAGTCGTTTTAACTGTAGCCATTCTAATGGGTAGGAGTATCTCATGGTTTCACTTTTTATTTCCTTGATAACTAATAATATCGAGCAACTTTTCCTGTGATTGCTAGCTATTTGCATTTCCTTTTTTGGGAGATTTTTGTCCAAATAATTTGCTCATTTTCTATTTTTTTTTTTTTTGCGTGTGTTTTTGTTTTATTTTTGTCTTTTTATGTTGAGTTTTAGAATTCCTTTACATATTCTGAACACAAATACTTGGTTTCAAAGTCAGTGAATTGCCTTTTCATCTATCTTGAAGAGCAGATGTATTTTTGATGAAGCACAATTTATGATTTTTTAATGTTTAGTGCCAGGTATTTGTAGAAGGAGTCTTTGTCTACCTTTGCTTTATTGTAAAAGCTTCAAAATTTTAGATTTTATGTTCAGGTCAAATCTCAGTTGATCTTAATTTAATGCTTGTGCAGAGTATGGAGTAAGGGATCAAAGTTCATTTTTATCCATATAGGTATCCAGTTTTTCCAATTCCATGTGTTGAAAAAGACTATTCTTTTCCCATTGACTTGCATTATCAACTTTGTTTAAAATGAATGGACTGCGTAAGTGGCAGGAAGTTTTGTTTTGTTTTTTTTTTAAATATAATTGAGCCTTTAAAAAGGCCAATCTTTGTTAAAAGTTAAACAAAAGTTAAAAGTGATGATGACAAAGTCCTAACTGGCTGTCCTTGTGGCTTCAAAGCAGATGATGGAACAGTGGAGCGAGTTTAGCATGGAAGGGTGAAGGAAGCTTTAGGGACATTCATCATTACATCTCAGGGGAAAGCTGAGACTTTCTTTATACCCGGAGATATATGTCAGCCAATTCTGTTCAGGTTGCATAGCCTCTGATGCCAGTTTCTGAGCGTTACCTATTACATCTGTCAGAGACATTTGAACAAGAGCAACTCCATCTTGAATAAAGGCTGGGTAAAATGAGGCTGAGACCTACTGGGCTGCATTCCCAGACACTTAAGGCATTCTAAGTCACAGGATGAGACAGGAGGTCGGCACAAGATACAGGTCATGAAGACCTTGCTGATAAAACAGGTTGCACAGAAGCCAGTGGAACTCCACCAAAACCAAGAAGACAACGGGAGTGACCTCTAGTCATCCTCACTACTACCTTCCCACCAGAGCCATGACAGTTTACAAATGCCATGGCAACATCAGGAAGTTACCATATATGGACTAAAAGGGGGAGGTATGAATAATCCACCCCTTGTTTAGCATATCGTCAAGAAATAACCATAAAAATGGGCAAGCAGCAGCCCTCACGGCTGCTCTGTCTATGGAGTAGCCATTCTTTTATTCCTTTACTTTCTTCATAAACTTGCTTTCACTTTATGGACTCGACCTGAATTCTTTCTTGGTGAGATCCAAGAACCCTCTCTTGGGGTCTGTATCCAGACCCCTTTCCTATAACACATCCACACTAATTATTTTATTTTTGGCAAAATAATGTTAGAGCCAGTAACGTCTGAGAGGCCAACGTTCCATGGCCTCTCGCATATGAGGAAGGGCCGTTTACAGAGGGACTAAATGAGTCACCCAGTGTCACCTTGTCAGTGTGTGCCAGAGCAGAACTGTGCCCAAGTTAGAGAGTGGCCTCCCCTCTACTCAAGCATGTTCCAGAATGTGTGTTTTGCATACTGTTTGTCCCACAAGATGGCCTGAGCAGGGGCTGTGCAGGTCTGGGATGTGGGGTGCTATGCTATTCTCCTGGAAATACTCTAAGCTTTTCAGCATGGTTAAGGATTTGAGAAGTGTCCAACACAGAACACTGTTTGATTTTGTTTAACTCAGCTTCCCCAATCTCATTTCATCACGGAAGCCTTTTATCAAGTAGCTTGTATTAACTTGCTTCAAAACATTCCCCAAGAGATGTGGATCTAGCACACTATGGGGCAGGTCATGTTAGTTTTCTCTTGTCGTTATTCTTGTTATCTGGATGGCAAACATTTACATGGGCTATCAATACTAGGTTGTGTTGGCCGCCATGAATCTAAAACCCCTGGTAGGTTTTGGTATTTCCTAAAGATGATTTACTTAGACTCCTATAGCAGAGTAAAATGAGAAGGAAAGATAGAAATAGCCAGTGTTTTGGTGAGGACTGACATAATGATTTTTTAAAAATGCACCTGATTCTGCATTCTGAATCCTCCAGCCTCCTCAGCATGGGGATGGAGAACTGGAATGGGGCAAGACACACACATGCACATGCACACACACACAAGCAGACACACACCCACAGAAATAGTCCTCTGAGGATTCATTTAAGATTGGCTTAGAAGAGCTTTAGAAAAAAAATGTGAACCTTTCTGAAACTCTCAATGCCTCATAATTAATCTTTGTTGAAATAACATTTTCAAGACCCTTTTTAGGAGCCTGCTCCCAGTCTCCATCATTCCTCCAGCCAATGAGTGCTGGTTAAAGTGAATGAGATCAAATTGCCAGTTAAGAATCTAAATGAAGGCTATTGATTTACTCCATTGCAATGAACAGGTTATCCCCAGAAGGTGGACTCTGAAATGCTTCATTGAATTCCACAAATAAATAAGGGAATTTCTCCCCACCACTGTAATCCCTCAAGTGCCAGTGTCTGCAGGGATATTTTCTTTTACAGCATACTAAATGAAAATCTATCAGGAGATTGAAATTGGCACTAATAAGTGAGCATTTCTCACCTCTATCACCTTGGGCTTGGGGAATGCCCTTGATACGTTCGATTCCTCCCCTTACATGGGGTTTGCGTGGGAAGTCTCTATTACTTAAATTGTATCTTTTCCATATGTCATTATTTAAGTGACCACTTTCCTCAAAATAAAGACTGAGAACCACCATTAGAAGTATGCTGTTATGAGCTGAGTTGAGGCCCCCTCTCCCATACCATACACTGAAGTGCTAGCCCCCAAGACCTCAGAATGTGACTGTATTTGTAGGTAGGGCCTTTAAAGAAGTGATTAAGGCAAAGGAGTCCAATCTTTTGGCTTCCCTGGGCCACAATGGAAGAAGAAGAATTGTTGTGGGCCAAACATAAAATACACTAACAATAGCTGATGAGCGAAAAAACAGGTCCGTGTATAAATCTCATGTTTTAAAAAAGTATGAATTTGTGTTGGGCAACATTCAAAGCTGTCCTGGGCTGCATGTGGCCCTAGGGCTGCAGAATGGACAAGATTGGATTAAGGTAAAACAAGGTCACTAGAGTGGGCCCTAATCCAACAGGACTGGTGTCCTTATAAGAAGAGGAGATGAGGACATAGACCTACACAGAGAGGAACCACCATGGGAGAACACAGGGAGAAGACAGCATCTCCAAGCCCAGGAGAGAGGCCTCAGGAGGAACCAGCCCCGCTCACACCTTGTCTCAGATTTCCAGCCTCCAGGACTGCGAGAGAATCAATGTCTGTGGTAAGCGGCCCGGTCTGTGGCACTTTGTTATGTCAGTCCGGGCAAACCCATACAGATAGATGCTTATGAAATCTTCCCAGTTACATTTCAAGCAGCCCTTTTTACCCATTTCATTTGGTGGCTGGCCGAGCGGAGTACCTTTTAGTTCCCATAACTCTAGAACGGAGTTCCATCAGTGCCTCTGTTGCTGCCTCGTTCCAGTCAAGCTTATTTCTCTGGTACCGCTTGCCTTGTCTTCCAAGCCTGACCCAGTTTTTCCCCAGGACATCTTTACACAGACCAGCTGCTCCAACATTCCCACTGCTGACTTCACTCTCTTACTCCCTGGATGAGTCGGAGCCTCTCATGCCACCTTTAGTGATCATGTAACTTGGCCTTTGTGATCTTGTGACTGGGCAGAGTAACTTGGCTAGGATGCAAAATAGCCTGATTTTTTTGGATACAATTATGTACAGTACCTTGCCAATAATTTGAATTTTCTTGTCTCTATTAAGATATCTGTACTCAGTAATACATGTTTATGAGTTTTACCCTGGATAAAAAATGAGCCATTATCTTCCTCCTTGCAATATATAGACTATATTATTATTCTATATATAGACTATATATAGTAGTACAGAAAGACTATATTATCATTTGATGTATAGTCTAGACTATGTATCTTGTATATGTCTATATATTTTATTGAATGATAATATTATCTATCAGTACTAGACTATATATCAAATAATAATAAAGTCTATGAGTTTGCTAGGACAATATACAGACTATATCATTCTATATATAAACTATATGTAGAATAACATAGTCTAGACAATATATAAACAGTATATAAACTTTATATAAAATATATATAAACTATATATAGAATAATATAGTCTATATATAATCTATATAAGCTATATATAGAATAATATAGTCTATATATAATCTATATAAGCTATATATAGAATAATATAGTCTATATATAATCTATATAAGCTATATATAGAATAATATAGTCTATGTATAATCTATATAAACTATATATAGAAAAATAGTCTATATATAGAAAATAATATATTCTATATATAATCTATATAAGACTATATTGTAGTCTATAGTCTATATATAGACTATAATGTAGTCTATAGTCTATATATAGACTATAATGTAGTCTAGTCTATATATAGACTATAATGTAGTCTATAGTCTATATATAGACTATAATGTAGTCTATAGTCTATATATAGAATAACTATATTCTATATATTCTAAATATATAGGATATATTCTATATATATTATATATTCTCTTTACATGTATTCTCCTTTACATATATTCTCTCTATATTCTCATATATATGTGTGTGTATACACACACACACACACACACATAATGTCTTCCTGCTCTGCAAATGAAGTGTGAAAAAGTTATCTTAGGATAAGCTCAGAAAAATCAGAGAAATATTAGAAGACACCTGTTACATGGTAGGTTCTGCAGCAAAGGTTTACTTATTCGGTTGTTAGCAGGCAGCACTTGAGCCAACTTCCGCAGGTGTCAGTTTTCAGTGTTGGCTCGTGGCCACAGTTTTATCCTGGAGCAGCAGGCTCACCTGGGAGACCTGCTGGTAACCGGGCATAGGGGAGCAGGGCTGCGATGGGAGAATGAGCTGAATCTGCCGGGAATGGTTGTGGCATGAGATGCTGTGCAAGCTAAACACAGTGTGTCACTCATGTGCATGGTTTGGGTATCGTGGATGCCTGAGGGAATGCAATGAGAGGTTTCCAGGAAACCAATAAAAATATGAAGTCAAACTCCAGCTGGTGAGCATTGGCAGGATAATTAAGTTTCCTGAGGAAAGATTTCTTCCTAAGGGAAGATTTAGGTATCAAAATCCCAGTCATTGTAGACAGTACCACGGGACAGAATCCAATCCTAGAGGAGAGAGAATCCCACGTTTCCTTCTCAGACACACCAGGGTTCCCCAACCTTGATGCTATTGACATTTAAAAAGATTATTCTTTGCTGTGGGACACTGTCTGTGCACCATCAGCACTACTGACACTTAACAAGATCATTCTTGGCTGTGGGATGGGGTCTATGCAACATGGGATGTGCAGTATCATCCCTGGCCTCTTCCCACTAGATGCCAGTTGCACCCACTCCCAATGGTGGAAACCAGCAACGCCTCTAGATATTACCAAATGTTCACAGGTGGTAGGAGGGTGTGCATCACCCTGGATGGAGACCCATGGAGTGAGAGCAACCGCATGGGGGCCACGCAGAATCTCAGCACCATGGACAAAATCAAGAAAGGCACGCTGGGTGGATGATGGGTGCCACTTCCCAAACTGCAAAGGTGATGCTGGATATCTGGCACACTGTCAGAAGGATCTGAGGGCACGATTCTGCAGGGAAGAATTGAACGATCCATCAGTGGCATCTGGCCAAAGCAAAGGAGCAGGGATAGTGGCATTTCTGCCATGTCTTTGTCATTGCAGGCCTAAGAGACAGCAGGGAAGGGAATGGTGTGATTTGATGGGCCTCTGATAATGGGTCTGCTTTGCAACAGGAATCAGCACCATTCCCTGAAGGCAAGGAGCACTGAGCCTGCAGCTTTTCTTCCCATCACTACCGTGCCATGATTGTTGCAAGGATAGTGAAGCCTTGGGCAGGCTGCTGGGGCCCTTGGAAGGTCGAGATAAAGAGAAACAATACACATTTATACTTCTGAGAGGTTATGCAATATAGAACACCTTCCCCAGTTTAATATAAGAATAAGCAGTCTCTGTTCTCTAAAAGCCAGAAGGCTTATGGGGGAGACCAACGCACTAATTTAGGGCTTCAGCAGAAATTTCTGTAAAGTGAGGTGTGCCTACCTTTTTCCCTAAATGAGATGTCCCCTACCCTACAGATTGATATTTGATGATGCAAAACAATTAAACAAAAGACTCTCTTTGCTGACCTGTGAAATCTGAAGTTTTTACGGTGAAAAGTGCTAATACATTTTCAAAGTTGACATAGTATATTTATCACTTTACACCTAACGGTCTTTCTATGACGAATTGACTTAAGCGCTTTGTACTGGAGAATCAGCACAAATTACCTTTTTTAAATAAGGGGAAGGCTGAAGTGACAAGCTTGTCTCCCCTGGAGTTAACAAATACAGTTCTCTTTTAGAATAGGGCGCTTTAAAGTTGGAGAAGTTCTGAGAGCTTGAGGGTCATTCAAACTGCAAGGTACCCTGTTCACCGAGTAATTCAGGTTCAGAAAAGTCAAGCAGAGATATATGCAGTGATGTGTGCAAGGCTTCACAGCTGGGAGGTTGTACTACATCCCCACAATGATAAGCCTTTGCTGCCTTCTTGATCACTTTTGCTACATCTGAATTTTGTTCAGTATCATGGCAGGACCTTGGAGTATCTTTGTAATCACTGAAGGGTGCACCAAATATGTAGAGAGAAGCCGTGCTTAGAAAAGATTTTAAGACAGAATTGGAATTTTGGGAAATGGAAGTTCCAGTGAGTGGTGTTAATCTATATAGCAGACAGAGAAGAGTAACTTCTATCAGGGTGAACAGACCAGTAAGCAAATCCTGAATATGCCCAAAAGAAGAGGACGTGTTCTGACAGGCTGGCCACAGCTCTCAGTTTTTCAAAAAGCAGGAAGAACACCTACAACAGTTCTCTGAGTAGTGGGGAACACTGTCTTCCTCCTTACGGAAGACTGAAGAAATCCTCCTAGGTAATTACACCGGAGAACACAAACTGTAATCACACTGTTTTGTAAGGGAGCACTTCATGCCTGGGCAGATTCACTCCTGTTCAGTTCCATCGCCTCTGAGGCGTTGCTCAGATTCAGGTGCTACTCTGCTGGTAAAAGAATACATTGCAGCCATGTGGGTCCTGGCAGAATGTGATACTGTGATCTATTTAATCATGCACACACACTCAGACAAAGAAGGCTAGGTTATGTCGGCCGGGCACAGTGGCTCACACCTGTAATCCCAGCATTTTGGGAAGCCGAAGCCGGTGGATCACGAAGTCAGGAGATCGAGACCATCCTGGCTAACATGGTGAAACCCCGTCTCTACTAAAAATGCAAAAAAAAAAAAAAAAAAAAAAAAATTGCCGGGCGAAGTGGCGAGCGCCTGTAGTCCCTGCTACTAGGGAGGCTGAGGTAGGAGAATGGCGTGAACCGGAAAGGTGGACCTTGCAGTGAGCGGAGATCGCGCCACTGCTCTTCAGCCTGGACAACAGAGCAAGACCCTGTCTCAAAAAAAAAAAAAAAAAAAAAGAGAGAGAAGGCTAGGTTATGTCACAGAAGTAAGAAGTAATTTGAAACACAATATTGTTTCAAAACATTTGAAGACCAATCAGTGTTACCCACAATATTGTCAAACTAAAAAAGATGAAAAAACAAAAACAAAAAAACAATGTGATCATCTTAGTAGATGTAGAAAAAGCATTTTTAAAAAACCCAAACTCCAGCCCTTATTAAACCCTGCAGCAGACTAAGAATAGAAAGGAACTCCTTCAGCCAACCTGATAAGGGCATCTACTAAAAATCTAAAATTCTTGTTAATGGTAAAAACTTAATACTTTTCTTTAAGTTTAGGAACAAAATAGAAATGCCCACTCTCCCCATTCTATTCAACATTTTACAAGAGATCGGAACCGGTGCAGTAAGAAAACAAAAATTAATAGAAGGCACTCAGATTAGAAAGGAGGTGGTAAAGCCATCTTTATGCCTAGACAACATAAACAAAAATCCAATTGAATACACAAAAAAGCTACCTGAACTATTATTAATTGAGTTTAGCAAAGTGACAGGACACAAGCTTAATATACAAAAATCATGTACTGTTTTATATACTAGCAATGAAGAATCAATACTATTTTCAATAGCTTCAGAAATATGAAATATTTCAAAATAAATGTGAGAAGATATGTATAAGACTCGTACTCTGAGAACTGCAAAAAATTCTTGAGAGAAATAAAAGGAGACATAAATAAATGGGGAGATATACACTGGGCACACGTTGGAAGACTTAATAATGTTAAGATGTTTAACTTTGAAAAATAGAACAAAGTTGAAAGACAAATGCTATTTGATTGCAAGCTGTGTTAGAAAGCTGCAGTAATCAAGACAGTGTGGTATTGGCATAAAGATAGACAAGTAGATCAATGGAACAGCATAGACTCACACATATATGCACAACTGATTTTGGCAAAGGTACAAAACAGTTCAGTGAAAAAAGGATAGTCTTTTCAGCAAATGGTGCTGGAACAACGGGATATTCATATGCAAAGAAATGAACTTCGGTTTATGCCTACAAATAATGCATACAAATAAACATACACGCATCCTAATGTTACTCAAGATAGACCATAGACCTGTATATAAAACCTAAAACCATGAGACTTCAAGAAGCAAACAAGCAGCAAAATCTTGAGACCAAAAATAAGATCTCACATATACATCCATTCTTAGTCAGTGTCTGTTGATGAGTTTCTTATATTATGTATCATTTTTTCCTGCTTCTTTGCATGCCTAGACATTTTTGATTGGATGCCAAACACCGTGAGTCTTCTTTTTAGGATGCCAGATATTTTTATATTCCTGCAAACATTTTTGAGCGATCTGCTCAGTTTGGGTTAAGTTACTTGGAGACAATTGGCAACGTTGGAGCCTTGCTATTGTGAATCATTAGGGAGATTCAGAGCAGGACTCAGCCTGCAGCTAAATATTCCCCACTATTCACACAAGACCTTTCTGAGTAGTCTAGCCAAATGGCTTATGCATTACAAGGTTTTTTTCAGTCTGGCTGGTGGAAACAGGCACTCTTTCCAGCCCTGTGTGAGCACCATGCACTATTTTCTCTATTTCAGATGGTTCTTTCCCCAGAGTGGGTTGTGTGCCCTACAGCCCTGTCAAGGCAGTCAGCTGTGCCAAACATGGTGTTCACCTTGTTAGTTTCCTGGCTCTCAGGGAGCACTGTCCTTCATTGCCTTATTTCCAGAGTCATAAAACCACTCTTTCGTATATTTTGTTTGTTTTTCTGGTTGTTTCAGGTACGAGAGTTAAGCCAGTCTATGTTATTCCTTCTTGGTCAGAAGAGGAAATCCCTCCTTTACTTATATGTGATGTTCCAGAACAATAGCACACTCCCAATTCTGGGTCTGTTTACTGAACGTTATCAGTCTATTCCCTTAACTGTAAACATCTAGAGGCTAGGAACACCTAACTTTCTGGGAATGCCGACCAGCAAGTTCAAGTCTCATTTTCCTAGCCCTCACTCAAGATGGAGCCACTCTGGTTCAAATGCCTCTGACAGATACTGCATCCTTCTTGGAAAGGGCGGGAGGAAGGAAGGCCATGGAGAACCAGCAAGTTAGGATTCATTAGCATTTTTGCATTTATCAATAAATACAATCTCAAAGGAGAAGATCACACTCTCATTGTGTTCCATGGGAATCAACAACATCGCCATTGCAGAAATGAAAAACACGTGGCCTGATCTATAAACAATGAATTTTTGTTTCTTTAGCTTTTTGCAACAGTTGGTTTTCTCCAAAGTGCATTAAGATATCAAAACATTGTTCATTCAACTCCTCGAATTTTTCTTTGATTTAGACCCAATACACCAAAGGTGTGCTGGTCATGAGAGACATTTGGGATTATGAGTAAAATTACAATCATATATTATTTTCCTTATTTATAATTGTGTTTGCTTGGTGATGACTAAAAGATAAAATGAATAGTTCTTTTACTGGAAAGGGGTCCAGATCCAGACCCCAAGAGAGGGTTCTTGGATCTCGCCAAGAAAGAATTCAGGTCGAGTCCATACAGTGAAAGCAAGTTTATTAAGAAAGTAAAGGAATGAAAGAATGGCTACTCCATAGACAGAGCAGCCCCAAGGGCTGCTGCTTGCCCATTTTATGGTTATTTCTTGACAATATGCTAAACAAGGGGTGGATTATTCATGCCTCCCCTTTTTAGACCACATAGGGTAATTTTCTGACATTGCCACGGCATTTGTAAACTGTCATGGCGCTGGTGGGAATGTAGCAATGAGGACCGCCGGAGGTCACTCTTGTGGCCATCTTGGTTTTGGTGGGTTTTAGCCAGCTTCTTTACTGCAAACTGTTTTATCAGCAAGGTCTTTATGACCTGTATCTTGTGCTGACCTCCTATCTCATCCTGTGACTTAGAATGCGTTAACTGTCTGGGAATGCAGCGCGGTAGGTCTCAGCCTCATTTTACCCTGCTCCTATTCAAGATGCAGTTGCCCTGGTTCAAACACCTCTGACAGTTCCACATGTGCTCATGTTACTTCTGTTTTGGGGGAAAACATTGGGTGGGTTTGTACCGCTCATCAGGCTTTGGTGTGTATGCAGGTGGGCATGAGTAAAGTAGATCATATATAACATCCAATTCTAGGAAGAACTCAGAAATCTCAGCTGCCAGGAGAAAAGAAAGACTTGTTTTTTCTGCTGATGCACAGCAGGTAAAAGGAAATCTATTCTCACTTCCCACAGTTCTACCAGCAAAAGCTGTTTTAACAGCAGGAAAACTGAAAGCAAGATTGCAACTGGAACATAGAACCAAGAACTTGCGATTTGCTCAGTCCCATTCCCCATTGCAGTGGATGTGTGGCCTGAGAAGTTTGACAATAAATAATATCTCAGGATGCTGCTGTCATGGGCTGTGAAATACACAGACTTTATGGTCATAACAGCCTTTAAACAAGGACCTTTGTTTATTCACCGGTTCCCTCACCCTTCCCGACATAGAGTGAATAGAAGGGCCTTTGAGGGGACCTAAAGAATGTGGTGCATTCGATATGTTTAATTGCAGAAAAAATGCTCTCCTGGCTACTCAGAAACTAATAACATCTATGCAATAATATAACATGAAAATGTGTAAGTGCAATGCCTTAGGCTTCGACTCTGTGTGCAGTGGCAGCTAATAGTGGAGGGTTTCGGCCAGTGGGGTGAAGTCCTGTGACTTTTCTTCAAAAAGAATGTTTGCTGTAAGGTCAACTCAAGAGCCAGGTTATCAATTAGGGGGTCATTGCAGAAGTTGAAGCCAAAGGTGATGGTGCATGGGACCACAGCCATACCACGGCAGGTGGTGGAAAGTGCTGGATTCTCACAGATGGATCTTGTACATGGAAACAATATCCTGGACCCCTGTGGAACTGGAGTCTCAAGGTCTGGGGTTGTGACCAGCCAAATACCACATCTTTGCTTGCATGAGAATTATTCCCAACATTGGCTCCAGTGTTCCTCTGCCCACAGTCTTGACCTCCCCACTGTCCAGCACCCAAAAAGATACTTCATTCCAGTGCTCCATGAGCAGAGAAAAGACCCTTCTTACCCCTGCTCTCATCTCAATCACAGCATCCTGGCCTCCATGGCATTAGGGTCACTGAACCTCGTGTGGGCTGGAGGTCATGGAGAAAGGTATAGACCACTCTCTAACACTGTATGAATCGTGAAGTTCAGGAAGTGTCTCAGACTGGCATATGATAAATGTGGATCCTATTATTGAAATGGGTGGGGTGGGGAGGACTTTATCTTATGCTACTCAATCTCCTTTCCTGTCCCTACCCACCAAAGGTGTATGACAGGCCTATGAGTGACAGCATCCCCAAGTGGCCAATGTGGGAGTCACAGTTTGATAGTTAAAAAATAGAGATTCTCCTATGAACTTCCCCCATGACCTGAATGCTTGTTCTAGGTCTAAGGCTCAGAAAGCAATACCACAAAATCAAAGCCTCAGAAAGTTCACCACACCTTAAACTCCTGACCTCAAGCAATCCTCCCGCCTTAGCCTCTCAAGTAGCTAGGACTGCAGGTACATGCCATGTGCCAGGCTATTTTTTCAAAATTTTTTGTAGAGATGGAGTCTTGAAATGTTACCCAGGCTGGTATGGAACTCCTGAGCTCAAGCAATCCTTCTGAAAGAGCCTCAGAAGCAAAACTTTCTCTCTGAGCTTCTTCTGCCTTCCTGTCTCTGAGTCCCATTCTCCCTGGAGGCACCTTAGAAACTAGAATCCCTCTTCCCCCTGATGGGTACTAGAAATCAGAACCCCTTTTCCCCAAAGCCAGCCATAAAACCTAAAAATCGGACTCTAATTTTCCCTCTACATTTCTGCGTAAAAACGGGCCATACAGAAATTATCTGGGTTGGGTGTGGTGGCTCAAATCTGTAATTTCAACACTTTGGGAGGCCAAGGCAGGAGGATTGCTTGAGCCCAGGAGCTTAAGACCAGCCTGAGTAACATTGCAAGACTCCATCTCTGCAAAAATTTTTAAAAATTAGTGTGGTATGTCGGCACGCACCTGTAGTCCTACCTACTTCAGAGGCTGAGACTGGCAGATTGCTTGAGTCCAGGAATTTGAGGCTGTGGTGAACCATGGATCAGGCCGCTGCACTTCACCCTGGGTGACAGAATCAGACCCTGCCTCTTGAAAAGAGAAAACAAAAGAAGAAATGATCTGACCTACTTTGTTTGACTGTAGGTCTTAAGACCCCCCTTTCCAGAAAGTTGGTTATTCATTGGTCCTCTCGCCCTTCCTGAAAAGAGTGAATAGAGGGGCCTTTGAGGGGACCTAAGGAATATGGTGAATTTTCCCCACACCCAGAAGGAAGAAGCACTGCTCAGAGAGGCCAAGAAGAATCCAACCCTATTTCTACATGGCTGTCCATACTTTGTTGAACCTAGGCATAAAAATGGACGGTTTCCTCTGTATCTTTTGGTCTTCATTCTAAAGGCTCTCATGTCATATACAACTGTGATCAAATAAATATTTAAGCTTTTTCTCCTGTGAATCTTCCTTTTGTCAGTTGGTTATCAGCAAACCTTCAGAGGGTGAAGGGGAAGCTTTCCCTTGGCCCCTATACAGACAAGAATTTTGAATGCCTTATTTAATTTTTGCTTTCTCAGTACTAAGCAGAGTAAGAGTGAATTCCATATATTCTGTGTCATCCCAGAGAACAGAAACAAGACCAGGGAGTGAGTAAAAGTTATCCAAAGACAGATTTTGATTTCATATTAGAAAACACTATAAACACTATTAGAAAGTGATGTTAGTTATTATTGCAGTGTTGCAATTTGTTGAATCTTGACTTCCTGTTCCTGGCCATATTCTAACCTAACTAAAGGCTCCAGGTTGGGTTAAATGCCTTGAGGTTGCCTAAAATACTCCTCTGTTGTGCTTCATCCTGTTTCTAGAATTTTCTAGATAAGATTAATCTCTAATTTTATGGCTGTCTTCCACACTAGTTTTCATCTTTTTATGGACAGAGATTAATAATGTCTTACTCATCTTTGTATTTCTAGCATCTAATACAGTTTTGAATACATAAAGTTACTGAAAATATAACCCTTGAATTAGGAACTGGGGAGTGGTGGAGGTAATTGTATTGACTGAGAGATAGTATTCGATTCATGTTAAAATCCTGCCACATTTGAAGATTCACTAAGTCTGCCCCTACCAAAAGATTCTATTGCTAATTCATCATTACCATATTAGATGCTATGAATTGGCACCCTAGTAGATTGAGTGCATTCACTCCTACTTTCCAACCTCCAAATTCTGGGTTCATGTTGTGACCACACATTCATGAAATTGATATGGACAGGAGACAGGGAAATACTGGGTAAAGAAGGTAGTTCCCCAGCAAAGGCCCTACACTCAAGCCTGGAGACCCATGGCCCTAAGTGGGAAAAGTTGCCTTCTTCCCTGACATGTCCCCCTATCCTGTACCCATATAAATCCCAAACGCCAGGCTCCAGAAGCAGATGAGGAGATGAGGAGACAAGCAGACAAATGGCAGATGACACAGCAGAGAAAGAGAGAAGGGAAGGAATGTGTGAATGCCAGGAGTTAAACTGGGGGTGGTCAGAGGGGAGATTGGCTGCTGGATGACCAAACTCCAGGGGAAGATCATCTTCTCACTCCATTCCCCCTTCCAGCTCCCCATCCATCCTGCTGAGAGCCACCTCCACCATTCAGTAAAACCCCACATTCATCCTTCAAGCCTGTGTGTGTGACCCGATTCTTCTGGGACACTGGGCAAAGGCTGGGAATACAGA
Organism: Homo sapiens; assembly: GCF_000001405.40. Lineage (NCBI taxonomy): Eukaryota > Metazoa > Chordata > Mammalia > Primates > Hominidae > Homo > Homo sapiens. The sequence continues at coordinate 43,122,105 of NC_000019.10, read as the reverse complement.
AAGCTGTCACACTGGCCCTCTACCCTTGTGAAATGGCAGAAGGTCTATTGAGCTGGTTAACACTTAAGCCATTTGCAGAGAGCAAGACTAAAAGAGCATTGTAACACTTGGGCTGCAGGCACCACCCCTCCTCCAGACACTACTGCCAGGCTGGAGCCCAAAGCACTCACTCCAGCCCCTGCACCTGCCCATCTGTGTGCTCCATCTCCCATCAGGGGTTTGAGCAACTAAGCGGGTGAGCCACACGCCTGTTGCACATCCCGTGAGGTAGATCAGGGAACTCTCCTCCTTCAAAATGGCTAGTGGTAGATATGGAGTATAGATTACAGCTTACATACCAGGGCCAGCACTCTGTTTTAATCACTTTTAGCTCACCAGAGACACTCAGCAAAGCTGACAAAACACAACTTATTCCCATGACAAGAGATTCCCCAAATCAGTATTCCCAAATTACCACATTTGCTGCAGAATCATAGCATGGAAAACCAACCTATGCTTGCTATTCTAATTATTTGTCTTCTAGTTTCATCTCTGGTTGTTGGCCTATTCCCTTGAAGTTGATATTGGATTGATTAGATCCCAGATTCTAGGAGTAGCACTTTTTAAAAAGTCACTCAATTTTATTCCCTGGAAAACCAGTCCAAATCTCAGTCATCCTTTTTCAGGACCGCTGAATGACATGTGTGATTTTCTATGCCAAGTCTCACCAAAATAAGGAAGCTTTTGTTAGCACTGGGTCAGAGCATTCACTGTGGTATTATTTTTAACTTCCTGTGCCTAGACACATCTTGAAAACTAATCAGGAGTAAGCCTTTTGAATTCTACTTTTATTTTATTCTTTAAACATTTAATAGAATTAGTCACTGAATTCTATATCCTCTTGATAAATCAGTCTCCAATTACAGAAATGAAGAAAAAAATTAAGAGTGAACTTAATGCTACTCACATAGGGAGGAAATTACACCCCCCACCCCCACTACCATCAGACACTTCTATTTTATTTTCACAAATGATCTTTCTCCATATTGCTGAATGGACAATACTTTTAACAGAAGAAAATGCCTTTGAGATCAACAGAGGTCATTACGTTTCTGATGAGTTAGGAGCAGGACTCCTGTAGAATAACTCTATACATCCAGGGGCAACCCATTTGCAGAGAGAATTCAAGAGAGTTCCACGGTGCACTCAGGTCTGAGTGGCATCATCTCTCGCCAACCTGTAACGTGTGCACTATCGACTTTGCACATTGGCACTTACACGTAGTCCACTCACTGTTGTGCTTCTGCAGGTTTACAGTCCTCTCAGTGAGAGAACGAGAGGTTCCCTTTTCTTCCTAATCTAATCCCTTCCCATCACCCACCGTGCCTTGCTGGGATCAGCAGCTACTCTACCGATGACTCTGCCAAGCAGAATGAATACCTTTCATCTGAGTGTGCGGTAGTGACTCTCTCAGCAAAGCACTATCTATATCCTTGTGGAGCCAAGGGGATCTCTGTAAAGACAGAGCTATCAGGAACATGTGTCCGGGGGCTAAAGATATGAGGCTTTAGAAGAGAAATGCTTGTTAGTTTCCAAAGATAAAATCTCAGCAGCTTGCTAATAATATTTATGTAGCACCTTAGTGCCAAAAGCTCAAAGCTTTTTTCTCCTGTGTTCACATAACTGGGCTGGCATCCAAACATGTCTCCAGAATGGCTCAGGGGTATCTATTATCCCCATTTTCTCACAAAGGAAACCAAGATAAAAGGTTTAAATGGTTTTGCCCAGAGGGACAGAGGAGACATTAGAAGTAGGGTCAGAAATAGAAGAGAATCACTCAATTTTTACTCTGACGGTGTTATACAACTCTCTGAAATAAATAAGTGCTTTGATGTGCATATTTATATACACAAATCATACACATTGCTATTCTCCAACTGATACAGTTTCTTGATGTTGTAGTATTTATTTCAAAACATAAATGATCTCAATGAAAATACCTTAATGCTAGTGCAAATGCTAACCTGATATGAGATACAGGTTCATAAATCAGACCATAGCAATCAAGTCTTTTCTATGGATGTTGTTTCCAGAAGGTAGGTGCCTACTCAGTTTCTTTTGAACTTATGCTTAGTTCTTGAGCCCTTGAAGGATCCAAGAAATTGCTCTAGAGGAGGTTAAAGTGAACATGCTCTGACGAGGAAAGCCATGGATAGAAACCAAGGTGGGAGAGCAATGTATAAATGCTACCGGGCAGTTGCAGGGGTGCTACCTGCTCCCCACACCCTTTCTCCCCCAGGCATTTTCATGTCTTCATGCTGATAGAAAGTCCCTGGTAATGGCATGAGCATGGTGATGTGCATCAGTAGATGGCTTGTGACTGGAGGAAAGAATGGCAAACGAGCTATGCTTTCATGAGGGAAGGAAGGAGGGAGGGAGAGAGGGAGGGAGCAAGGGAGGGAGGAAAGGAGGAGAGAAGGCAGGAAATGACAGAGTCAGCATACAGTACACTGTTGGGTATTTTCCACTACCAGACACAGTGTACAAATTCTGTTTGTCATCCTGCACCCTCTGTTACTATCTTAAATCTCTAAACGAAATCCAGAACCAAGTGGGCTACTTCCTAACTGATAACCATGATTTCATGGAGAGAAGATTCTGTTGTTTTGCAAGCAACAAAACTGGAGGGAAGTAAGGATATCGGAAGATACCTAGGCAGTTCATCTCACTATTATGAGGACGTCCTCATTGTCTGCAATTGGCCTTGTCTCTCATGGGTTCTTACAAACAAGAGGGAGAAATGTACTCGATATCTCTACAATTCGGTTAATTAATAATCATGGTAGCAATCAAATCCAAAGGGCACATTTGCCCCAGTCATTATCAACCCGAGATGTTTCTAATGAAGAGCCTTTAGAACCTGGGTTGAAAGTAGTAATTGATAGTTGAATGGCCAAGGATTGTCACTGGTTTTGTTGAAGACATTTAATCAGATATGACTCGAGGTTCTCTGTCATAACAGTGCTCACCCTGTTGGATTGTGCTGTGCTGTATTGAATAAAGGAAAGGGTCAGAGTGAGAAACTGTCATCCTGTACCCATGGGGGGATGCCAGGAAGGCCGGGCTGGGCACATTGCTGAGGACAGTGGGCTTCACTCTTGGTTGCATGTTAAATGAGCCTGGGGGGATTCCAAACATCCTGATGTCCAGATCTCACCCCATAGCATTACATCAGAATCTTGGTGGGTGGGATTCAGCATGGGTATCTTTCAAAGTTCCCCAGGCAGTTCTGGTGGGTGGCTAAGTTTGAGAAACACTGCTGCAAGGACTTTACTCTGCTCTTTGTCTCTATGGGCATCTTTCGGATGAAGACTTATGGACATTGAATCACATGAGTCAAATATTGCGTCTCCCATAAGAGGCTCTGCACATCTGCTGACAGACCAGTGTATCACGTTTAAGACTTTTAAAGGGGCTGTTCATAACAATCTGCCCTTGGATTCAGAACCCTTGGTGCAGCATCCGCAGTGGTGCAGTGTCCATAGTGAATGTGTAACATGGTGTGTGGCCAAGATGGTAGAGAGTCTTGGAAATCAAGCCCCGTGAAGAATGGATGAAGATGCAGAGAGTGTTGGGCTCTAGGGAGAGAAGATTTGGGTAGAATGACTGTCCCAGGATATTGAAGTGATGCTTCATGAAACAGGGATGGATTAGCCTTCTCCTACACTAGATGTGAGCAATTTGAGGTATTTTCTGATTGCTCTAAAAGTGCCAATGGGTCCTCACCAGATACGTCTTAAGTGACTATTCCAGGAAAGATTGCTAGGATGAATTGTGGCTGTGACAGTGTATTGACTTGCATGAATATTTACTCAGCCTCTTTGGTAGACACTGGGGAGGGAGGACAGCAAAGACAAAATTCAATATGACTTTTTTCATTATTCCAAACATTGGAACCTTCATTCAATGACATATTAAAATTTGACCTTGGGACATCCAAGGACACAATTCTTCTAGCTTGAATTCTGCACCTCTGGAATGTTTTCTTTTTTATTTAGATATAGTTTTCTTTCTTTTTTTATTATACTTTAAGTTCTAGGGTACATGAGCACAACACGCAGGTTTGTTACATATGTATACATGTGCCATGTTGGTGTGCTGCACCCATTAACTCATCATAGATATTGTTTTCACTATTTACCCCAAATAAAGTTCAAGGGACATGCAGCTCTCTCATATCTAGCTCCACTCCAAAAGTAGGTAACATCACCATACCAATGATGCTGCTAATAATAATAATAAAAAATACAGTGCATTCTATGCTTACATTGGTCCTTCATCATAAAGTTCCTTGCTAGATTGATTTGTATTCCTCAGAATCTGTTTTTTGCAATCTTTCCATTCGTTCTGTATGGCCACAGAATTAACTGGTCTTTTCTGAACACTGCTAAAATAACACCACCTTCATTGTACCCCAGATTAACTAGTAGATGATGCATGTTTTCTTCAAACTACCTTAGCTTTTCTTTTGAATCAAAAACACTTTTTACCCTCCGAAGTATCTGCCTACCCTTCACTTCACTGCTTCCCTACTTTCCTAAAATCCTTAAAATTGTCTCCTATCCCTCATTACTTATTATCATAAGACTGTATTCCTTTGATTCATAGGAAGAATACACCAACTAAACAAAGTTCTCTAGAAGGCAACTTCGGAGACAATTTGATGCCCAACATTTACATAACATAAATATTTTCATTTCTATCTGTAGTAGATATTTGTTGGCCATTCCAAGTGTTTTCTTTGACATTGCATTTTTCTAAAGTTGTTTATTTCATATGTGATAGAGATTATATTTTTCTTAATTAGGTCAGAAATAACTTTATAAAAATCTCTGTCTTATTACTTTCAAGTACTCCTATTTCAGTGTCTACTTCTATCTCAACAATTCCATGAAACCACACATTAGAAAATGTAAACAGTTAAGTAGTAAATTTTATTTTTGCTTAACTGGTGTTTGACTACATTGTAAACCTCCCAACAAGCATTCAAGTAGTTTTAGTCCTTCTAAATTTTTTATACTTACTGCTCCAAATGCTATTTTCAATGTTTCATGACCACAACGTCAGATTATTTGGACAACAACCTTCAAACACAGGACTTTTCCTTAGGCAGAATGTATTTCTTGACTGTTGTCTTAAGGCATGGGTTTGGTTTATTTCATTTTAAAGCATGGGTTATCATAAAGAGAGAATGCCATTTGAATGATGTCTATGTCTATGTCCCCATTAGTTACTCTGGGCACAGAATTAGCAAGAAACATCCTTACAAGTAAAGCAGTTAGGGAAGCATTTTCCTACTTCCAGAGAAAAATCAGAGATTGAAAAATATTTCTTTGAATGCCAGTGACCTGGGCTATAGAGAAAGAATCTGCCCTGCCATAGCAATCCTGGTGTTGACCACCGAGGAGCACCACCTGTTCCTGGGCATTTATGTGTTGTGCAAAGATCATGCAAATATTATTTGAACTAAATTTAAGTTGTGCCAACACTAAGGCAGTATCAGCTAAGATAAACACCTGACTTAGAGGTGATTCACCGACTTTGGGATTATATGGAAAAGAGAGTGCATTAAAAAATTTTTTTTGGCTGGGTGCGGTGGTTCATGCCTGTAATCCCAGCACTTTGGGAGGCTGAGGCAGGTGGATCACAAGGTCAGGAGATTGAGACCATCCTGGCTAACATGGCTAACATGGTGAAACCCCATCTCTACTAAAAATACAAAAAAATTAGCCGGGCGTGGTGGTGGGTGCCTGTAGTCTCAGCTACTCCAGAGGCTGAGACAGGAGAATGGTGTGAACCCAGGAGGTGGAGCTTGCAGTGAGCCAAGATCGCACCACTGCACTCCAGCCTGGGCAACAGAGCAAGACTCTGTCTCAAAAAAGAAAAAAAAATTTTTTGGGTTAGCATCCTTTGAAACTTAATCATCCATAATAAAGCCCTTGTGTACCTATTAGACTTTGGAATTTATATAGTTTTCTTGGGGTTTCAAAGAATAAGATAATCATTAATGAATGATGAAAATCCCCACAATCCTTTTACATTAGGCAGCAGCATGATGACCTTCATTTAATAGAGGACAGAGATTAAAGGACTAATCCTGAAGTCTCTCTGTGCCATCAGTCGTGGAGCTGGCAGCAGGACTTGGACTTCTGTGCCTGTTTTGGTGCCAAATGATTTACCTGCATGGGAAATATGAGGAATGATTTAAGCTAAGTCCCCACTTGCAGTGCTCATATGGCTGGATCTGGTGAAATTATCAGGGGAGAAGTAGCAAAGTGGCATCTTCAGAGATGCCTCATTGCTCAATATAACTGAGTAGACAAAGGGAGTTCACTGAGCTATATTGTCCCAACACACCACTTGTGTCATGCACTCTGTGTGTGTGTCAGAAACTGCTGGTGTTTTACTTATATTGCATCATTTAACACTAACTGTGATAACTGGGGGCAAACCAGCTCAAGTTCCACATAGAACTGATATTTACAGGGTTTTTGAATAAACATAGAAATTGACCCATCCGGTCTTAAAACTTGAAACTTAACATTTGTCAGTCATCTGAGTTAGGAAACGGACCTTCAGGCAAGAGACTGAAATTCACCACATCACCATCAGAGAATGAGACACCAGACTCTTCATTTATCATGATTGCTTCCTTACCCCTCCTTAATTGCTGTTTTCCCTGCAGGTAGTTACCTCCCTTCCCAGCTATATAAACCCTCCAATTTGAGTGGGCTGGAGAGATGAATTTAAGACTGATCTCCCACCTCCTTGGCTGCAGCACCCAAATAAAGCCTTCTTCCCTGGCAATGTTCATTGTCTCAGTGGTTGGCTTTCTGTGCAGTGAGCAATGGGACCTAGACCCAACCCCTGGTGTTTCAGTAGCATGGGGAAACCAAGGCATGTTTTTATCTCACAGAGCCAGGATTTGAACCTCAGATTCTGGACCTAGTGTCTTCTTGCCTGGCCACTGTGCCATTGTCTATTTTTCTGCTTACTTGCTCCTTGAAGGTGATTCTGCATGTTAGAATCACCTTCTTCCAGTGGAAAGTCTCCCTCTCCACCTGTTCTTGTGTTAGTCTCATGTGTAGCCTGCTCACTGTCATCAGGCTGAAATTCTTTAGCACAGAGCAGTCACACCATGTTCTTGCTCCTGGATCCTTTGTGGCTTCTGGTGAAATTCACACTGAATTTTGGAAAAGGCATTTAACCTCAGCCATGATTGAAACCAAACACACATTCCAATACCTCATACAACTTCTTGTGAAATCAGTGGCCCAGCATTAGTGAAACATCACTGGTATTCAAAGATTGCTTTCTCTACCTAAACAACAGCAAAAAAAATCAACCCGATTTAACAAAATAGGCAGACGACCTGAATAAACATTTCTCCAAAGAAGATATACAAATGGCCAGCAAGCATAGAAAATATTGATCAATATCACTAATCATTAAGGAAATGAAAATGTAAACCACAATGAAATTATACCTTATGCGAATTTAAATGGCTACTCTCAAACACAAAGCAAAAACCCCAGAAAATAATAAGTGTTAATGAGACTGTGGAAAAATTGGAACCCCTGTGCACTATTCATAAGAATTAAAATGGTGCAGCCACTGTGAAAAACATTATGGTGGTTCCTCAGAAAACTAAAACTAGAGGGACTGTATGACTTGGCCATTCCACTCCTGGGTATAAAGCAAAAATAATTGAAAGCAGAGACCGAAACAGATATTGGTACCTCCATGTTTATAGCAGCACTATTTACAATAGCCAAAAAGTGAAGGCAACCTAAGTGTCCATAGATAGATGAATGGATAAACAAAAAGTGGTCTATCCATACAATGAAATATTATTCAGCCTTCAAAAGGAAAAAAATTCTCACATATGTTACAACATGAATGAACCTTGAGGACATTATGCTAAGTGAAATAAGCCAGTCACAAAAAGATACACAGTGTATGATCTCATTTATAGAAGTCCCTAGAGCAGTCACAATCATAGAGACACTGGAATAGTGGTTACCTGGGGTGGGGAGGAGGAAAAATGAGGAGTTAGTGTTTCATGGATATGAATTTTCCCTGTTACAAGATGAAAAATACTCTCTGAAGATGGGTGGCGCTGATGGTTGCACAATGCAAATGTATTTCTGAACTGTGCACTTAGAAATTTTTAAGATGGGGTCAGGTGCAGTGGCTCATACCTGTAGTCCCAGCACTTTGGGGCTAAGGCAGGAGGATCATTTGAGTCCAGGAGTTTGAGACCAGCCTGGGCAACATAGGAAGATCTTGTCACTCCCAAAAATATAAAAATTAGCTGGGCGTGGTGTTATATGCTTGTGGTCCCAGCTACTCAGGAGGCTGAGGTATGAGGATTGCTTGAGCCCAGGAGGTGGAGGCTACAGTAAGCCATGATTGAGCTACTGCATTCCAGCCTGGGCAACAGAGCCAGACACTGTCTCCAAAATAATAATAATAATAATATGGCAAATTTTGATGTGCATTTTATAATACCACTATTAAAAAATTAAAATTGCTCACCCTTGCCTCACTCCTGTACCTCTGCTCATTGTCACTCTTCCTGCTTCCATATCCTTCCCTTTAAATTCTACCAACTTTTAAAGGTCTAGTCCAACATGACCTCCTCCATGAAATAGTCCTTCTTGCAAACTGTGGAATGGAACTCTACCTTCTCTGAACGGCCATCAGTTTACTTAGGTTTTGATAGCCCTTGACTCACAAGTCCATATTTAGCGCTGCTCCAGGCAGGTCACACCACCACCCCTAGTGGCCCCCACAAGACTATGTGTTCCCTAAGGGTAGAAGTCATATTTCCCTCCTCTCTTCATCTGCCGACTGACTTATACATACATAATAAGCATTCGAGTTGAATAATTTGATAGTTATTTTCCTTTTTGTCAGAACTTTAGGGAAGATACTGGAATTGTCTCCGGTGCTTCTAAGGCTTTGCATTCTTTCATCATTGGACTATATATGGTTTCTCAGATAGCAATTTACATTTTGCAGAAAGACCTCAAACTGGCCTAAAGCTCTTTGAATGAATCCAGATAAGCTGCTTCCTAAAGAAAGAACCTCCTGACTTCCTAATACTTCTTTCATACCCTAATCTTTAAACAATGTTTCTAGCAATAATTCCATTTTCCACATACGTAGCAGAAGATCTGAGTATCATCTAAATATGAAATCACTATTTTTCAAATTTTATTAGGTTTCTGTTTAATGGAGAATTATCACTGTCAGTACATCAGATCTAAACATATGGTCATTTAAACGAATAAAAGGCAAACCTTTCATTATGATCTTTACGTTGTGGTAAGTTGTATATGTTTGTATAGAAAATTTTGGGAAATGAGCAAAGTGTTTGGGTTGGATCAACTATTTCATATCAGTCTTTGTTTGTAAGCCACGTTATTGTTAAGGAGTCAGTCAGAACCACCCTTTTTGGTAATTTTACGTGGCTCACTCTTGGCAGATCTGGCTGTGAGCAGGGTTTAAAGTTGGCTTACTATATGGAATTATTTTTAGGACAACTTCAATGCACTCTACACTGAGCTAAAACAAAAAAAAAAAATGAGGCTTAGCTCCTGACTCTGGACAATCTAAATCTACATTTGCTACATCCAAAGCAAATAATTTCTGTTTATTTATTTATTATTACATAAGGAGTTCATTCTTATTATAAAAAGGATGAAACCGGCAGGAGCAGTGGCTCACACCTGTAATGCCTGCACCTTGGGACGCCAAGGTGGGTGGATAACTTGAGTCCAGGAATTCAAAACCAGCCTCAACAACATGGTAAAAGCCCATCTCTACAAAAATACAAAAATCAAGCATGCATGGTGGTGTGTGCGTCTAGTCCCAGCTACTCAGGAGAGCAAGGTGGGAGGACGGCTTGAGCCTGGGAGGCACAGGTTGCAGTGAGCTGAGATTGCACCACTGCACTCCAGCCTAGGCAACAGAGTGAGACCCTATCTCAAAAAATAATTGGTTAAAACCCTTGCTGTCTTTATTGTTTATTCCTTCTCTTCTTTTTTTTTCCATGACAGCTGTTTCAGGACAAGAAAGTTCTTTTCATCTCTCAGTTGGGGCCAATGTCAGCATCATGACTGGTGTACTGGCTGGAGTTACTCTCTTTATTATATCAAACTCTTATCAGAGTTTTAGCAATAGTCATTTTACATGATGGTCATTCACAGATAGTTGTTTTGATTCTTCCTGAAAGCAGTTGCAATCAGCTACAGTCCAAAATTGCTTCTATTTCAAAAGATTTATGGAAAAGATACTGACAAGTACTCTTGCATACAAGTTTCTGAGCAGTTCAAGATTATATCACTGGACTGTCTATAGACTTTCAAAGCTTTAACAGACTGGTTGATGCCTTCATGAAATATGCCAACCTAGACCAAGCAGAACAAAAATAATTTCATTGAAATAAATGATAACGTGGATAATGTTTTTATAATTTTTATTTGAAAATTTGCTGATTCTTTAAATGATTTTTTCCAGATTTATGGAATTTTTCTTCTTTTAAGCTATCTATATCTAAAGCAATTTGGTAAAGTATACTTTTGGAAACAATAATTGAAGTCCATTTATTTTTGCTCTTTACCTAACTGTCCCAGGATTGGGAAACTATTCATGAGTATTCATATGTTTATGCTAATACAGTTATTTGCACAAGTTTAGTAAGAATCTTCTCTCTTTACAAAAGGGCACGTTTCAAAACATTGGTTATATTACCAAGCCTTTGACTGAGATGTTATATTTGAGAATATACATAGAATGGACCCATAAGTACTGCAGGCAAAGTCTGAAGATGGCCTTTGAGAGGTTTGTAAAAGTTTAATCTGAGACTCCTTATAAAAACTTCTAGCGAAGCAAACTTCAGGAAGAGCCTCTGTCGTCCATTGCTACTCTTGATGCACCTATGTAAAGAATCCCGGCAAAGTTTCATAAGACTAAACCTACTTTGTAAACAAATTTGTCCTACTGGGTTTATCTTTGGTAAAAATAGATATGCCTATAGAGAGAAAAATAATGTTGCAAATAAAAAGTGTAGTATACCTGCTATGAAACTGCAGCTCTGTTCATTGTTTTTGAGTTTTTATTATTCACCGGTAGACTGGACTAGACCCTGAATTCTTCTAGTTCCTCCCATCCAGTTTTTTCTTATTGAATCAGTAAGAACAAAATCTGCTCTGTTACTGAAGTCCTATAAGCTGGAGGTGGAAAGCTCAATGTAAATTTCACAGGAAAACCCTCGTGCCTGAAGTATGAGTCACTCGGAGCTCACCAATATGTTTGACACCATAACTACAGACACTCAAACTTAAAACCAGGATAAGAAGTTGACAACTTCACACTGTGAAAAGCTTTTCCTAAGTTGCCAGAACAAGTCTTCACATCAAAATCAGGCTCTTACCCCTCTTAATTTGTCCATGCTTATGCCTGCCTCTTTCACTTGGCAGGATGATGGTATCATTAGAATCTCACGTGAAGTAGCTTCTGAGAGTAGCGTAACAGAGTGACAGATATATCACGTCACCCTCAAAGTTTTACAGAAGATATCATTTAGTCCACCCAATGGCTGACATTAGCAGCATCTTTAACACAATTGTTTGTTCAAATGTACAGTGGCCCTTTTAAAGTTACATTTTCAGACTCACTTGTTTTCACTCCCTGTTTTAATTTAATGAGCCATCGAATGCTACATAATAAAGTTGTTCCCTACCAGCTGAACAGGGAGGAGCCTGTGCAGTTTCTGACACTGATTGTTACACATAAACAAATGTATCGAGTATAATAATGACTCAATCACAGAAGTTACCAAACATACTACTTGGTTAAAATTGCTAGACTCTTCTGGCTCATTCTTTGATCTATTCTATTTTGCTTGGTTTGCATCTTGCCTAAAGTGCATACTCCAAACTTTTGGTGTTACCCTCCTAATAGTCATATTAGTAGCCTCTCTGGTGTGATAAATTCTATAGGTTTTTAAATTCTACATTTTGGTGTGGTGAATTCTACAAAAGTTTTTAGAAAGTTTTGTGTGCAGCCATCAACAAATACCAAAGGGTCTCTCTTTGGCTGAAATGACAAAAACTCAAAGAAATGTGTGATCAGGAAGACATCATAAACCTATAAATGATGGAAGCCCAATATGATGGTTACTGAGATGAATGCCAATGCTTTAAATTTTGGTCACACTCACCTAAGTGAGAGCCTAGAGACTCCAAAATAGAACCACTCATGCTAAATGCTACAGTCTACAACTGAAATTTTAATGAAGCAAAGAGATACCAGAACAGACCTTTGTTTTTGGTTGAAAACAGGAGATTCCACTCTACCTGAGATAGCATAATAAAAGTTTCCTCTGCTTTAACTTTTACAGAAAAGAGACCTGAAGTACCCTAATGTTCACCAATTTATTTATTTATATGGCTTTGTTTACTGGTTCCCACTTGACAAAACCCACTGTTTTGTTATTGTATAGCTCAGGGAGGGCTGTCACCATATTTGTAGAGTAAGAGCTGCCTCAAATAATAAACAAAAAATAAAATCTATAACTACATTAGTTGTAATTTTGTCTTTTGATGCATGCTCACACTCAGCATTGGCCAGTGGAGTTTCACAGGCTCATCATTCTCAGACTGATGCCCCTGCTTTTCTTTGTCACTTACAAGGACACTTCTGATTACAATGGGCCCACCCAGATAATCTAGAATAACGTCCACATCTTAAGATTTTAATTTTATCACCCCTGCACTGTGTTTTTACCAAGAAAAGTAAATGCACAGGTTCTAGAGCTAGGGTGCAAACATTTTAGGAGTCCGTTATTCTGCCAACACAGGTAACTTTCATAAATGTCACCCACAACAAAAACTTGCTTTGCCTTCCTTCTGTGTCTCACTTTTCTGTCTGTGCACAACGTCAAGGTGAAACACACAAGCTCTGTGAAGTAGCTGGATGACTCTAGACCACTCATTTGAGCTCCCTCAGCCTCTTTTCTCATCTTCAGCAGAAGGGTGACCCTTCACGCATCAGAAAATGAAAGTGGAAGAGTAAATCAAAATGTGTAAGATATTAGTCACAGAGCAAGGTACCAGATGAGCCCCTGGGTAAACTTTTGTTTTTTTTTTTGAGATGGAGTCTCATTCTGTCACCCAGGCTAGAGTGCAATGTCGCGATCTCAGCTCACTGCAACCTCCGCATCCCAAGTTCAAGTGATTCTCCTGCCTTCAGCCTCCTGAGTAGCTGGGATTACAGGTGCATGCCACCATGCCTGGCTAATTTTTGTATTTTTAGTAGAGATGGGGTTTCACCTTGTTGGTCAGGATGGTCTCAAACTCCTGACCTCGTGATCCACCCACTGCAGCCTCCCAAAGTGCTGGGATTACAGGCGTGAGCCACCATGCCCAGCCGATAAACATTTTTATCAGACCTTTCCTTTCACCATTCCATTTCTGTCACCCTCACTCATCTTCTCCTCTGACTTTTTTCTCTTCAGTGACTTACTCAGTCTAATACACTGTTTAGCATCAAAAGCCACACTACAAATTCTTTTGTGACTCTCTTGGAATATTCCTGTGATGCCCAGAACCTTGGAAGCCTAAGCCTTACATCAGTGTGCCCTGAATATGAGATATGGGGTCAAAGGAGATTATTTTGGAGCTTTAAGTTTTAAAGACTGTGCTGCAAGGTTTCAGACTTTCATGGGGCCTGTATCCTATTTCCTTCAGCCTATTTCTTCCCTTTGGAATGGGAGTATTTACCCAATGCCTATACCTCCATTGTGTCTTGAAAGTAACTAACTTGTTTTTGAATTTACAGGCTCATAGGTAAAAGGAACTTGCCTTGTCTCAGATGAAACTTGCTATTTCAGACTTTTGAGTTAATGCTGGAATGAGTTAAGACTCTAGAGATGGTTGGGAAGCCATTCTTATATTATTCAATGTGAGAAAGACATGAGATTTGGGAGGGATGACGTGGAGAATAATATTTTTTTGGACCTTTACCCCCACCCAAATCTCATGTCAAATTGTAATCTCCAAAGTTGGAGGTGGAGCCTGGTTGGATGTGATTGGATCATGGACGTGGTTTCTCATATTTTAACACCATTCTCCTTGGTGCTGTTATGGCAACAGTGAGTTTTTATCTGGTTGTTTACCAGTGTGCAACACTTGCTGTCTTCCTCCAGTTCCCATTATATTAGATGTCTTCCTCCACCATTGGCTTTCTCCGTGATTGTAAGTTTTCTGAGGCCTCCTCGAAAGTTGAGCAGATGCCAGAATCATGCTTACTCTACAACCTGCTGAATCATGAGACCATTCAAACTTTTTTCTTTATAAATTATTCAGGTTCATGTATTTGTCTGTAGCAATGTAAAAACAGACTCATACAGCCTTATTCTCAGTAGAAAAAAAACTAGGGAGTAAATCATTCTAACTATGTACCACAAGCAAAGCCCAAGACAAAGAACAGAGCTATGAAGAAAATGCCTGGATAATCTCATCTCTCCCAGCATGGCTAAAAGGCACAGCTGGAGGATGGGATGGGTTTTGTCCCCAGTTCTTACTGTGGTCACTCATCTAGAACTCAGAATTTAAAGCTTCAAATATAAAGACATAAGCTCACAGACAAATTAAGAAAATGTATATATATGGAAGCAACTGTTTGATGACCTTAAAACACCTAGTAAAGACAATATAAGCCTGCCTGCCAACAGACATAGGCAAAAACGTATAAATTAAATTACGAAGACATTTCTTCTTTATTTTACCAACAATTTTAAAACTATATTCACCAAAGGTTATTAAAATCACATGTATAGAAAAGCATTTGGGCTTATTCACTTAATTTGTGAGTACTCATTTATTTTTACATTAATTTGAAACTATGTGTCAACAGTATATAAATGTGTGACATAAACATGTATGTTATAAAACATATAACATATATATGTTCACATAAAGATAGAGAGAGACAAAAAGATTTTAGAATTTTGATTTTAGGGCTTTAGGCATGAGATCGGTAAAACCCACCATTTTAAAGGAAAGTTGGATTCAAATTGCTTTCTTGTAAATGGTAAAGGTTAACATTTATCTGAGGAAGGCTTTACTGAGTTTCAGAGAAAATACATAGCACATTTACATCTCAAAGCAAAGAGAGAAAGAGAGAACTTAAGCTCTTTCAGGAAAAAATTTGGTGTGTTCAAGGAAGATTAAAAAGATGCCAAGGTAACACAAAAATAATAGAAATTCACCATGGGGTTTTATTTATTTATTTTTTATTAGACTTTAAGTTTTAGGGTACATGTGCACAACGGGCAGGTTAGTTATATATGTATACATGTGCCATGTTGGTGTGCTGCACCCATTAACTCATCATTTAACATTAGATATATCTCCTAATGCTATCCCTCCCCCATCTTCCCACCCCACAACAGGCCCTGGTGTGTGATGTTCCCCTTCCTGTGTCCATGTGTTCTCAGTGTTCAACTCCCACCTATGAGTGAGAGCATGTGGTGTTTGATTTTTTGTCCTTGCGATAGTTTGCTGAGAATGATGGTTTCCAGCTTCATCCATGTCCCTGCAAAGGACATGAACTCAACATTTTTTATGGCTGCATAGTGTTCCATGGTGTATATGTGCCACATTTTCTTAATCCAGTCTATCATTATTGGACATTTGGGTTGGCTCCAGGTCTTTGCTATTGTGAATAGTGCCACAATAAACATACGTGTGAATGTGTCTTTATAGCAGCATGATTTATAATCCTTTGGGTATATACCCAGTAATGGGATGGCTGCATCAAATGGCATTTCTAGTTCTGGATCCCTGAAGAATTGCCACACTGACTTCCACAATGGTTGAACTAGTTTACAGTCCCATCAACACTGTAAAAGTGTTCCTATTTCTCCACATCCTCTCCAGCACCTGTTGTTTCTTAAAAGATGTAGCTTTTAATTTGGTCTCTGTTCTTCAACTGAATCACTGTGCTCAAGATAGAGCCCATTAAGGAAGAGGGACAACAATGTCTATGCAATTTTTAGATTCTAATCATTTAAATATGTAAAAAAGAGAACCAGTTGGAAGGGACAACATTTAGACATTAAAAATCAAGGATTTCACTGAATCCCAGGTCCCCAAGAAGAGGAAAATGCAATGAGGACCATACTGTGCAACACTCCCACAGAGTACCTTGCTACAAAGGCATTTCCTTAATTGTTTAAACTGTGTCTTTTGTATCTAAACATGCAAAGAAATGAGTAGCCCTCTGAAGCTAGAATAATTTATTATAACCACTGTTAGTCACCTTCAAAACCATAGCTCTTACCACTGACCTGGCAATCATTACACACACAAGTCAAATATTTTTACAGTACAAAGTAATGTAAAAGGCAAAGAGGTCAGGTAACACAACGGAGAGAAGAACAGAGTTTTAGACCTGAGAGAAATCTATTCACTTGCAACTCTTGGGATTCCATGAGAAAAGAAAACTATGGTTAATCCCCTACAGGAGAGTCTGTGTCATCTTTTCTGTTTTCCTAAAGGGGTCCTAATACAGGAGTTATTGAGAAATTATTTTTAGGCAGCTAGAAAGGGTAAAAGAATTCTTGGTGGAATTTTCCTTTAATAAAAAGCAGCCCCCAAGCCATTTCTAACAGAAAAAATACTGAATGATCAGGCTGCAAGCACAGATATGCATATATAGATGCAGGCAACTAAGAGCCAGGTACTCCCAATATGGCGGTTTCTGTTCTTTTTTCCTTGTCACCACAAGTGCAGGTGTCATGGTGACCACCAGGTAGAAGTCACATTTGCATAATAAAAGATTACTGTGGGAGGACCAGTCTTTTCTCGGGCTATGTAAACAGCACACCTGGTCAAAACAACCCCCTGGACCCTATGTAAATCAATCAGTGCCTCCTCAAGTCTCTGTATAAAATCAATTGCATTCCACCCCAAATTGGAGACCCTCTCTTAGGTGACTGCTTTCTCAGTATGAAAAAGCTTTTTCTCTCTCTCTTCTTTTTTATCTGTTAAATTTTTCACTCCTAAACCCACTCTTTATGTGTTTCCATGTCCTGAATTCTTTCTAGTGTGTGACAAAGAACCATGGATAGATTCCCAAACAGAGCCATTTTATTTGGGAGTTCTTATCCGGGATTGTGATCAGAAGATAGAAACATCAGAATGGTGAGTATGGAGCAAACCTCAAATCTCTCCTTTAATTTCAAGGTTCTCTTCAAACTAGTTTCCTTTCATGGAGAACCTCACCATCACATGAGGCTGGGGGATGTCCTGGAGCAGCTGAGAATTTCTGGCCAGGACACACCCTGATGTTATTCAAAAGCTTCTGGATTGAACACAGCCTCCAGCAGCTCATCCAGATGTTAGTAATGGGTCTCCTAATTTGCTATCCTGTTGCAAATTTGTTCTTCCTTTCTATCCATGGTCTCTATGTCTCCTATTCTTTCTGTGTATGCAATATGTGCAAATTTTTACAGTTCAGGGAACAGTTCTGTTAGGAAAGATCGGTAAATGCTATAATAACTAACCCAATAGGTCCCTTCCTCTCTCTCTCTCTCCTTCCTTTGGTAAGCACATGGTATTTCTAAGCCAACAGTGTCACCTAGTGGAAGCAGAAATCCTCCTCATGAGGCACATTTTTGGTCCTCTGCCATAACACTGCACTTTTAAAATTCTCTCTTTTTGCACTGATAGAAAAGCCCTTTCTGTGAATGGGGAAGCTCTGCTTTCAACAGTTAGGAGTAAAATGTCTTCCGTAGCCAAATTTTAGTTCTGATACTGTCCCATCAGCAGGAAAAACTGCCATTAGGTCCCTATGTTCA
Organism: Homo sapiens; assembly: GCF_000001405.40. Classification (NCBI taxonomy): domain Eukaryota; kingdom Metazoa; phylum Chordata; class Mammalia; order Primates; family Hominidae; genus Homo; species Homo sapiens. Next base: position 43,104,194 of record NC_000019.10, on the reverse strand, counting down.
TTTAAGGTACTTATTCTATCTCCAATTAGAACACGATTTAATTAGTAAGGGCATTTTAAGAACAGAGTTAACCAGGACCACTTTTCTGAGGGAAAATGTTTTAGCACGGGCCATAACCGGAAACTGGCACATTCCATCTGTTAAAGAAAGCTTGCTCAAAGGCAACTGCTACAGTTTCTCCAGAGATCCATTTTTCAGGAAGCCAGGCAGATCACAGGCAGATAAGCTAAGGTTACATGGGTAAAGTGTGGCTAATCCCATCACTTCATTTATCCAGTTCCATGGCTTAGAAGGCCACACCTAGAACCATGGGCGGCACATTTTACACAGTGCCAGGACTCAGGAGCCAAGGAGAGAAAACAGTTGGGGGGATGCTCCCACTGTCTTCCACTCCACTCTGGGTCACAATGAAAGGAGGAGGACTATAAGGACACTTTTATTTTCACTTCTTTTTCTAGATGGCTAACAGAGCATCTTCAGCTTGCACCCCTCTGGAGTGCACTCTGAGGCACTAGAACTCTTTTAACCTCAGGACTTTGAAGAGAAAAGCAACTCATTCTATTTTGCACAATGACAGGACATTTTTACTAAACCTTTACAAGCATTGTAACAGCAACCCAGATTTTTTTAACAGCCATATCAGGCAGGCCTATAAAGAATAATCCCCTCGAATTAGAAAAGCAAATTCCAAGGGAACCATCTGAGAAGAAACTCCATAATTTGGGATCCTTCCAAGTTCCCTTCTCATTACAGGACCTTAGGCAAATAAAGTAAGACTTAGGCTGATTTTCAGACAATCCTGATAGGTATATAGAAGCTTTCCAGAATTTAAGTCAGGTGTTTCACCTCACATGGAAGGATGTTATGCTGCTCCTAAACCAAACCCTAACTGTAGCTGAAAAATAGGCAGCTCTGCAAGCAGCAGAGAATTTTGGAGATGAGCAACATATCTCCTATAATACACCAAAAGGGAAGGAAGGAGATATGGAAAGTGAAGAAATAGCAGAAACACCATTCCAAATAAGAAGTGAAGCAGTACCTCTTGACAACCCTGATTGAAACCCCAATAGCTCTGCAGATCAATGGAAAAGAAAAACTAAGGCTAGACCTCTTAATTTCTCTAAACTGTCTAGGATAGACTAAAAGCCAGATGAGAATCCTGCAGCCTTTATGGATAGGTTGAGAAGGGCACTATTAGCACACACCTTTTTATCTCCTGATTCAGTCAAGTGACAGCCCATTCTAAAAGATAAGTTTATTATATAGAAATCTCCCAATATTAGAAGGAACCTACAAATGCAAGCTATAGTAGCAGATAGCACCTTGGAAAACCTTCTGAGGGTAGCCACTTCAGTCTTTTATAATAGGGACCAGGAGAAGGCCCAGAAGAAAGAGAGAAAGCTCAAGAGAAGGACAAAGCCTCTAGTAGCTGCTTTGCAGAGTTGCAAAGTCCAGGATCCCAGAGGTGTATCCACTAGTTGCTCTCGGTATGGCAGGCCAGGGCATTTTAGGAAGGAGTGTCCAAAGAGCAAGAGGAAGCCACCTTGACCCTGTCCAGCCTGTGGTGGAGACCACTGGAGATGCAACTGCTCCCAGAGATGGAGGTCACTGGGTTCAGAAGCAGTCTCACAGTTGTCCAGCAGGACTGATGGGTCCTGGGGCTCAAACCCCTGGCTCCAGCAGCTGAAACTGCCATTACAGCACAGGAGACACAGGTGATTCTGGAAATTATAGGAAAGAAAGTAGACGTCCTTCTAAACACTAGATCCAGTCTCTCTCTTTTCTCCTTTCTTATCCAGGCCTCCTCTCTTCCCATAGCACAACCATAAGGGGTGTCTCATTAAAAATTCAAATACAATATTTTTCTCAACCTGTACTTTACAATTAGGAGGACCTATTGTTTACACCTGCTTCCAAACCACTGTCACAATAGCTCCACTAGTCAGAAAAGTCTCCAAATTAACCCTAGGAAAAAACGGTTTACACCTCCACTTAATGTGGCAAAATTACTTTCCTCTAGAGGGAGCGCTTAGCTAGCAAACAGCTGGTAAAGCAAGAAATATATAAGGCAGGATAAGCAGTAGTCACTCTAAATAACATCTCTCTTCAGGTGCAGGTGCTCAATCAGCTAAACAAATAGTTCTTACAAGGGTACTTAAATTAAGCAAGAGAAAGGTAGCTAACATTTACATTGATTCCAAGTATGCTTTTTTAGTTCTTCATGCTCATGCTGCCATTTAAAATAAAAGGCATTTTCTTACCACTAATGGATTTCCTATAAAATACCACCAAAAAATTAACATCTTATTATCCTCAGTTTTCTTCCATGAGAAATAGCAGTGATACATTATAGGGAACATCAAAAAGGGAACAGATGAAGTAGACAAAGGAAATAGGTTCACTGATCAGGCAGCTAAGTCACTGGCAAGGCATCAACACAACTCAAAGCCTTCTAATCTAGGAAGACTCCATAAGATAAATTAAACCTCAGTACCTTCCAGCAGAAATAAAATAGGCCACTTCTCAGGGTATCCTTTCCAGTCCTCAGAATGGCTGTAGTCAGAGGATGGCAAACTCCATTTGCCAGCCTTCAGCCAATGGGAAGTCCTTAAAATCCTTCACCAAGCTTTTCACCTAGGAAAGGATAAAACTTATCAATGTGCTCACAGATTATTTTCATATAGAAAATCTCTACATTTGTTAAGCATATAACCTCTCTAGCTCACTTCCAACAGGAACTGACACATCTAGCAAAAGCCCAACCCCAGGAAATAGGACCACCCTTATTTAACCCAGATTTGGTATTAGTGGAAACTCTCTTCTCTCTCTCTCTCTCTCTCCCCTTAAGTGAAGTAGTTAAAATGGCACATTATATATATATATATGTGTGTGTATATATATATATATATGTATATATATATACACACAGACACACACATATATATACACACATATACATATATACATATATACATATATATACACATATACATATGCGTGTATACTTATAGACATATGTATCTATATATTAAATTTATATAAACATAAATTCACATCTAATGAATATAAGTATGTATGTGTTTCTATATACACACTCAACCACAATTTTTTGAAACGTGTTTGGTGAAAAAAAAAACCCACTATGTAAAACACCCCCACCCTAATCTGATAGCCCTCATACACTTCCATGCAGACCTCTCATGACATTATCTGCAGACAGGTTCAAGAGTTTAAGGACATGAAACAGTCCAGGAGACAGCACAAGCACAACATAAATGTATTTGCAGAGACTGAGAACTAACCTGGAGGCAGGAACCTCAGTACTGCCAGGACACATACCCTCCCTCCATGGATTCTGACTTTATCTGACCAAGCCCACTATCCAGATCTTGTTGTGGGGCTGGGGTAGAGAAAGTCACAAAGCCTGTTCCCTGGACACTCTGTGTGACACTCAAGACCACCCCCACCCCATCATTAGGTCTCCCCACACAGGTCTGACCATCAGGCATCGTGAGGAGGACTCTAGCATGGGCTCAGAAATCACACAAAAGAATTAGCCACAGAGAGAAACACTGAGCTAGAGGAGCTGGTTGCTGACATGGAACAGGGTCCCTGCAGTTCACAAGTCCAACCTGGTCTGAATTCCCCTCAATTCATAAGCCAGGCACCCCTGAGAAACAGCTTTTTCCCATGGTCTCCTCTGTGGTAACACACTAGGGTCCCTCGCTTTCAAGATTCCAGAGATGGAAGAAACCTGGACAGCACACATCCCAGCTTCACCCTTCCTCTCTCTCTCCCTCCCTCCAGGAATCAGGGCTCAGGGCTCAGGGCTCAGAAGGAAAGGCAGAGCCCAGTGAGGCCAGAGTTAGTGAGATATCTGAAAGGTGTTCAGTGAAAAAAGTGCATCCCCCTTTAATTCTACCTGATGAGCCCTGTCCTGTCCAGCTTCCTCCACCCTGAGGACTTCCCCAGACACCCTCTCTAACAAGATTGATGGTTCCATTTCCTTCCTGCTCACACTGAGGCCTGTCCTGCCTTCTGGGAAATGAAAAATGCACCAAAATCAGCCAGAGTAGCCACCCTTGCCAGGATCCGTAATGAGGCAATGTCCCCGGGTCACCAGGAGAATGAGCTTCCACTGTGTCCCAGTCCAGGGCTCTTTCCCTCTGAGAGGCTGACTCATGAAACAGACCACCAGAAAGAGATCAGTGACTGCTCCATCCATTCTTATAATCACCTGACAGGTTCTTGCCCTCTGCACAGGCAAAGCCAATTTATTGTGAAGGTGATGTGTAGTAAAGAATAGTTTTACTTAGCCCAAGGCTGCCAAACAGGAGGACAGAAATTTATTATGACTCAAATCACCTTCCCCAGTGGCTCTGAGGTTAGAGTTTTTCAAAAACTTTGAGGGGCGAAGGTCTAAGGAATAAGTACTGTTGACTGGCTGGAGATAAAATGATGCAGGTAGGAAAATGGTATGTATTTGTTGAATCTGCCTCTGAGTGGGGGCCACATGACTGGTTGAGCCATTGGTCATGAGTCTAGATGAGGTCAGCTGGTTGCCAGAATGCAAAAGTCTGAGAAACATCTCAAAAGATAAATCTCAGATTCTACAGTAGTCTTGCTATCTATAGGAGCAACTAGGAAAGTCACAAATCTTGTGACCTCTGGACACATGACTCCTGAGCAGTAAGAGATTATAGAAACTATGCCTGCATTTTAGCAGAATTTGGGCCCCTCCCATAATTTGTGGTCTTTTCTTAGATTTACCAAGGTAGTCCCCGACAAGGAGGAGCTGATTTTAGGGAGGGACTATTATCATCCTTGCTTTAAAGTTAAACTATAAATTCCTCCCATGCTTACCCTGGCCTATGCCCAGGAATCAGAGAAGAGAGCCAGTTTGAGACTAGAGGTGAGATGCGGGCAGCCAAGCTAGCTTCCTCTCACCATCATATGCTTTGCAATGGTGGTTTCTCTTTCTACATGGACTCACCAGGGGGTCAGAGGCAGAAGGACAGATCTGCAGTTTCCAAAGCCCATGGGCTCATTTCACCCATTTCACTCATGACTCCATCCTCAACCTGCTGTGGGGCTGATATCCTCCAGTCATGCCCTAGAGACTTCGAATTTCCATCAGGTATGTAAGTAGCTTAAAAATTTTCACTCAGTTCTAACAAGAAGTAAAAAGCTGAACAAACTGAAAAATCAACAACTCGTTTAGATTTCTCTGGAAGCAAGGTCTCAGTGCTAACTGGCCCACATATTGGAGAGACCCACAGGCAAATACAGAGCATGCACCATACCTCAGCAGAAACACAGGCACAGAAACCCCAGTGGGCACCAGTGCTGGGGTCAGAAAACCTGAACTGTAATTCAGGAAATTCTGGAGGCTCAGTGTGGACACAGCACAGAGATAAACACACCAGTGGATGGATTAGTCTTGGGAGTAGGGGGACAGATTTATGACTCTTAGCTCCTGGAGTCTACCAGTTTCTCACAGTCAATATCCAAAAAGAATCCACCTCCTTCTTGTAGGAAGAAGGGAAAAAAAAACACTTGGAAGGTTGTCAGTGAATTATGTTCTTCTTGGTAAGACCTACATTTAAGAGAAACTATTTTACTGCAGCCTAATTAGCTGGGGTTTGATGGGAGCTTAACTGGCCAGGGGGAGGGGAAATAACCAACTCCAGCCTCCTCAAGTTATCATATTCCACCTAGTGGAAACAAAAACCTGAGAGGCACTTGTGACATTCACAGCCCAGGACACAGACCACATCCAGAATCACAGAACCCTTCCCTCCCCACACTCACCACCATGTCACTGAATGCCTGCTCACTCAAGTCCCTTTTACACAGTACATCATGTGTGGTTTTCAAAAAAATACAAGACAGACTATGGCAAAAAAAAAAATGCAGTTTGAAAGACAGAGCAAGGATCAGAACCAGACACAGATGTGGTAGGGATGCTGAAATTATCAGACTGGAAATTTAAAACAACTCTGGTTAAGGATTATGATGGAAAAAGGAGACACCTTTCAGGAATAGATGGGTGATTTAAACAGAGATGGCTATTCTAAGAAAGAAGCAAAAGAAATACTAGAGATTAAAAACACTTTAAGGGAAATAAAGAATGCCCTCCATGGGCTTACTCGTAGGCTGCACACAGCTGAGGAAAGAATCTCTAGTTTAAGTGTGTAATAATAGAAACTTCCAAAATTGAAACAGCAAAGTTTAACAAGAGTGAGAAAAAGTGGAACAACATATTCAGCTTCATATTCAATATTTTGTATTAACAATAGCATATTTTATATTCTGTAGTCGTATTTTATATTTTGTAGCCTAAAAAGCTGTAACATACATATAATGGGAATACTGATGGTTCCTAGGACTAGGTGGAGCTGGCCAGGTGGGTGCTGTCTGATTTACTGCCTGTTTCATGCACACCTGTGTATTCATAATAACAACATTGTCATAAGGTGGGGTCCTTCGGGTGGGGAGATGCGTGAGCCACTGCTGCCTCACTTGGACTCTTCTCAATTTAAACAAAGTTAATCAAACTCTAATTGTTTGACCCTGCTCAATTCAGAGTTCACCAATATTGCTGCTCGATCCACACTTCAGAAGTCTGTGCATCTCCCACACAGAGCAGGTGGCCCCATGGCCTCTGAGCCCTCAGATCATCATGCATCCATCTGACTTTTGACACACAGACCTGCTGTGGGCTTTTAAGGACTTGGATTGGCTGAGAGGTGGGAGATGTCAACTCTGATTGGAAAATGCTCATGGAGAAATCAAGGGTGCCACACAGGGGAATCTTCTCTGTTATCTGCACAGCGAATCTGCTCAAGCCCTATGTCACCAGCAACCCCTCGGAGGATGAGGAGGCTGTGGTCTTAACCTGTGAACCTGAGACTCATGGCACAATCTACATGTGTTGGGTAAATTGTCATAAACTCACACTCAGTCCCAGGCTAAAGATGTCCAATGATAACAGGATCCTTGCTCTACTCAGTGTCACAAGGAGTGACACAGGACTCTATGAATGTCAAAGGAAGAATGTAGTGAGTACAAGCCACAGTGACCCAGTCACCTGGATGTTCTCTGTGAGTATCCTCTTTTCCTTCATGGACAAGGCTGCCGGCCCAAATCCACATAACCCTAGGCCAGACCTCTCTGTCCCTCTCAGGTCCAAGTATGAAGACACTTACCCCTGGACCCCCAAGCTGGCCATGACTTCCTGTCCCAGGCAAACCTAAGTAGGCCCAGGAAGGCAGGGGCTTCTCCGGTCTTAGGAGACTCAGCTTCCACAGCTTGTGATGGGAGAAACAGGTGAATATCTTAGACTCCTCCAGTTCAGTGAACACAGAGGAAGTTTGGCTGGGACTTCGGGGTTGTGACTTGGCAAAAAGGAACACTGTGTCCCTTTCACAGACCAGGAGCTTCCCATTCCCTCTGATAACATTACCTGTGGCTTTATTCTCTTTGCTCCAGATGGCCCAGATGAACCCACAACTTATCCTTCAGACACCTATTACTATCCAGGGTCAAACCTCAACCTCTCCTGCCTCATGGGCTCTAATCCATCAGCAGAGTATTCTTGGCTGCTGAATGGGAATAACCAGCAAACAGGACAAGAGCTCTTTATCCCCCAAGTCACTACAGAGAATAGTGGGGACTATCTGTGTTATGTCCATAACCCAGTCACTAATGGCAAAAACTTCACAACCAAGAAAATCACAGTCCCTGGTAAGTGGATCGCTGGAGCATTGGCAATATGCTTTCAGGTGAAGCCTATCTGGCTTTCCAAGAAAGAGCCAGGAAGACATTTTTATTCTCAGCCTGTGTCCCATGCACAAAATAAATCTCAAATTTTTCTTCTGAACACTCCCAATTCATATCTACAGATTCTCTTCCCTTTGTTTTCCAGATTTCTGGTGGATGACCTTGAGTCCAGCCTGAGAAATGTAGGGAAATGGCTTTATCAGCCCGAAGCCCTATGCAGTGTAAGGGCCTTCACAGAGGGAGAAAGAGGAGGGTCGTCATGGTCAAGCTGTTTCTGTCACCAAAACATCCCTCCTGTCTCCTTTGTGTGTGTCTGTGTCTGTGTGTGTGTACTCCATGAGCTGCGATGAACATCAGTCTTCAAAACAAGCCCATACTTTTCCCAAATGAGAGGAGGAAGCCCCTTGGTGAGGGAGAAGCAGCTCAGACTCTGCTCCCTGCATTGCTGTGGGCTCGCCCAGTGACCGACCCTGCCCTGACTCCACCCGGGCTGGGACTAGGGCATGTGGATAAGGTGCCTGGGTGGCCTGTTCTGAATCTGGCTAAATCGAGCGGCCAGTAGAAGCCAAGCCTCCCATGGGTAAGGCTTTAAAAAATGGGAATAGGGCTGTGTCCTGGCTCTGAAGTCACTGCCTGTCTGAGTTTGTGGACACAGCTCCTGGAACACAGCACAGAGGACAGTGAGTGATGCACACTTGGAGAAATAGGGAGATTAACTCACAGAAGCTCCCTATGGCAGGGAAGGAACAGCGACAAAAAGTGTGTACTTATAGAGAGGGTAAGAGTACCAGACACTATATATGTAAGATTTACCGTTAACTGTTTCTAAGCGTGCAATTTAGTGTTGTGTTACTAACAACACTATCCATTTCCAGAGCTTTTATCCCACTATACTAAACCTCTGAACCCAATAAATGATAACTCTCATTCCTTCTCCCCTTAACCCCTGGTAATCACCATTCTAATTTCTGTCTCTATGTAACTGACTATTCTAACTATCTTACATAAATGGAAGTATATAATAATTATGCTTTTATATCTGGCTTATTTCCCCTCACATAATGTCTTCAAGGTTCATCCATTTTGCACCATGTGTCAAAATTTTATCCCTTGCTAAGACTGAAGAACATTCCAAAGTATGGATATACATTTTTGTTCATCCACTTATCTTTCAATAGACTTTTCGGTTGTTTCCACCCATTGGCTATTGTGAGTGATGCTGCTGTGAACATCAGTGTACGAATATCTGTTCAAATATTTTTCAATACTTTTGGCTGTATGTCCAGAAGTAGAATTGCTGGTTCAAGTGGTAATGCTTTAATTTTTTTAAGAATCTGACATACTGTTTTCTTTTCTGTTGTTGATGTTGAGACACGGTCTTGCTCTGTCACCCAGACTGGAGTGCAATGGTGCAATCTTGGCTCACTGCAATCTCCACGTCCCAGGTTCAAGTGATTCTCGTGCCTCAGCCTCCTGAGTAGCTGGGACTACAGGCGCATGCCACCATACCCAGCTAATTTTTGTACTTTTAGTAGAGATAGGGTTTCACCACGCATGCCGGGCTGTTCTCAAACTCCTGACCTCAAGAGATCCACCCATCTCGGCTCCCAAAGTGCTGGGATTACAGGCATGAGCTGGCCATGCCATGCCACTTTTTCCACAGTGGCTATAACATTTCCCATTCCCATCAGCAATACACAAAGAGCTTCAATGTTTCTTCGTACTTGAAAACACTTGTTTTGTGATGTTATTGTTCATGTTGTTTTTATCAAAGCCATCCTAATGTGTGTGAGGTCGTGTATCGCTGTGGTTTTGGTTTGCGTATCTCTAAACATTAGTCATATTGAGAATCCTTTCATGTCCTCATTGGCCATTTGTATATCTTGTTTAATAAAATCTCTATTTTAGTCTTTTCTCCATTTTTAATTGGGCTTTTGTGTTTTTGCTGTTTTTGATTTGTAGTGTTCTTCATGTATTCTGGAAATTAATCCCTTATCAGATATATGATTTGCAGAAACTTTCCCTATGTCATAGTTTGCCTTTATACATTCTTGATAATGGCCTTTGATATATAAAAGTTTTAATTTTCATGAAGTCCAATTTATCTTTTTGTTGCCTGTGCTTTTGTAGTTATAACTAATAAATCATTCTGAAATTCAATAACATGAAGCTTTTTCCTTATGTTTTCTTCTGAGAGTCTGGTAGCCTTCACTCTTCCATTTAGGTCTTTGATCCACTGTGGGTTCATTTTTTTGTATATGGTGTGAGGTAAAGGTTCATTTCATAATTGTCCATGGATAGCCAACTTTCCCAGTATCACTTGTTAAAAAGACTGTCCTTTCCCCATGGAATGGTCTTGGCACTCTTGACAAAAATCATTTGCCCATATATGCAAGCTTTCTTTCTGGGTTCTCTATTCTATGCCATTAGTTACTATGTCCTCGTTTATGCCAGTACCACACTGTATTGATTACTGTAGCTTTGCAGTAGATGCTGAAATTGAAAGTGTGAGTCCTCCAGTTTCCTTTTTCCTTTTCAAGATTGAAGTTTTTAATTCCATCTTGGATATGCTGCACTCAGATATTTTTGAAGGTTTTGGGATGTGAGAAAGGCTGATTGCTATTTGCTACAACTTTAGAACTTTTCACCTTTTCATAGCTGCATCTTTCTATTGGTGTCTCAGTTGTGGCAGCCATGAATGACCTCCATGGCAGGGACTTGACTGACAGAGGGCCCAGGTCAGGGCATTCCAAATTCACCTTATATATATATGATAAGTCTATCGTGTATATACTTATTTATATATGATAAAATTGGCATTTATATTACATATGTGGATTTTATATATATAAATGGCCTAGTGTTTATGTGTTACCTTTTTTCATAGATATGGAAATATGTACATATTTTAAATTGTTACATATTCTATATTTTTAGATTATTATATATTGTATATAAATCTATAGAGAGAAATATGTATATGCTTTTTCCATATATATAGAAAAAGAGAACACATAAAACACTAGGAGGCTGTGGACACAGCACATGGGCCACAGCACAGAGGACAGTGAGTGACACACACTTGGAGAAATAGGGAGATTTGGCCATGGGAGCTCTGCATGGGAAAGAAGGAAGGGGCAGTGACAAAAATTGTGTATTTATAGAAACGTTAAGACTACCAGACACTACATATATATATATAACATATGTCAATTTTATTATATGTAAATGTCCTGGTGTTTTATGTGTTACCTCTTTTTCCATATACATATATGGAAAATATGTATATGTTTTACATTACTATACATTTTATATTACATATTTTATCATATATATTACATATAAATAAGTATATGGAAATATATATTTTTTTCTATACACATGAAAAAAGAGGTAACAGATAAAACACTAAGACATGGTTACTGGCTACATGTGGGAGAGACAGAAAAAAGCTAAGTGCAAAAAAATCAAGCCTGGTATGTTAGTTTATGCCCACTGAGATGCATCCAAGATGAGATTGGACATGCAGGATAATTTATTAGGAAAAGTGCCTGTGAGGAAAAGTGGGGCAGGCATGAAAAAAGTCTGTTGAGCTTTGGGACCACCATGCAAATCTGGTTCCTGTGAAGGAGAAAGAGAAAGAAAATTTAGCTAGAGTTCAAAGAAAGCATGGCAAGACTGATGGGGAGTCTTCCCCCCAGTCACCCAGGAGAATAAAACAGAGGCTCATAGAACTGGGCTTGCTTTCATATCCCTGCTGGGAGCTTCAGGAAAGTGAGGACTCTATGTAAAGTAGGTTATCAGTTTGGCAGGCACTGATTTGGGCCTTCTGTCAATCAAGTCAATTGATTATTAATTAATCGATTATTAGCTGGGAGTGCTGGAATTACCTAGGGAAATTTTTCAACATACATAAGCCTATACTTTCTCAGTCCTATTCATTAATGTGTTCCATCAAGAACTCTGTAATCCTCTTGAGAAACACAAGCTGCCATGGAGACCTGACAGAGTCTTATTCATGCCTACCACAACTGACACACTGAGAAAAAGATGCAACCATGAAAGGGTAGAAAGTTCTAACGACACAGAAAATAGCAGTCAGCCTTTCTCACATCATAAAGCCTTCAAAAATATCTGAGTGCCGCATGGTCAGGATGAAATTGACAGAAGACTGATCACTAACCTAGAAACATGTTGACAGATTAAAAAACTGCAAGAATATAGTTGGCTAATCATCTACCAGCAACCCTCCCACAAAATTAATGTAATCCCCGAAGGGACAAATAGAAACAACTTCATACTTAGTGATGGTTCATAAGGTACCACACTGTAAAATAACATCACCTTTATTCCTTCTCTTCTTTTCTTTCCATGACAGATATTTCAGTACAAGGAAGTTGTCCTGGCCTTTCAGGTAGAGCCACTGTCAGCATCATGATTGAAGTACTGGCCAGTGTGGCTCTGATCTAGCAGCCCTGGTGTAGTTTATTTCAGGAAGACTGGCAGGTATGATGGCCTTTCCTTTTGTTCTGTTTCCTGCAGGGCTGACTGTCATGCTTGGGAGAGGGAAAGAACTTCTTTGCCAGTATTTGGGACTGGACCTCCTCCTCCTCTCACTAAACTCCTGCTTCTCAGCACTTATTCCTGCAGGTCTCTTCTCCCCTGTTCTTCATGCTCCCTGTACCCCACTGTCTCCTACAAATGATTATCCTCAGCCTCTGCTCATTTGTTTCCCAGATTCAATACCTTATAAAACGCTCTTGATCATTTTTTTTAACATCTCTCACTTGTGTCATTCTCTCCATTCCCACAACTTCAACAACTGCTAGAGGTACTGCTTGACTTATCTCCAGTCTTTGAAATCTTCCTTGTGTATGACTGCCTCATTACCTTCCTAAATTCTAGTTAACTCCCCTATTCAAAAATCTTCAGGGATCTACTCTTGCCTATCTGATAAGTTCACATTTCTTCTCTTTACTAATTTTTATTGCTTCCATTCCCTCTATTTCCTAGTATAATTCCTCCATTCTAATTAAATATGTCTTTCTACACATCCCTTCCCCTCCAGCTGATATACACATAGAATGCTTAGTTCCAATGCTATGGCTAAAAACAGGGTGATCTCCCATCTACCGTCTGCATTATGGGCTTACCCATACCCTTCATCACAAGCAACCTCTGACCTCCTGGAGAACAATGACTCTAGCATTAATGTGTAAACCTGAGACTCAGAACACAACCTACATGTGATTGAAAACATTTTCCTGATGACCAACTCATATGTTCATGAAAGATACAGAAATGAAGAAGGCAAGGTTTCTACCCCAAGGAACATAAAGCCTAAGATAGACGATAAGACCCAAAAAATAATTATAATACCAAAATAGAAAAAAGTGAATGCCACAAGAAATCAGAGAAATCTGAGGGGAAATACAGCTACACATTGGAATCACTGGAAAACATTTTTTTAAATGGATGCCCAAGCCCCACCCATAGGATCCAATTTAATGGTCTAAAGTGAGACTCAGGCATTGGTAATTTTTAAGTCTTCCCAGATGTCACTAATGTGTAACCAGGATAAAGAACAGCTGTTCTAATAGGAAAACTGACACCTAAATTCATGATTATTAGCTGGGAGTATTGGAATTATCTAGGGAAATTTTTCAGCATACATAAGCCTATACTTTCTTGGCCCTATCCATTAATGACCTCCACCAAGAACTCAGTAATCCTGTTGAGAAACACAAGCTACATGGAAAAGCCACTTTATTTGACCTGTAAAATTATATGAAAAGCATTTTCAAATCATAAGTGGTAAAGGATGCTAAACCTTCTCTATGTTATATTTATGGATATGTTACTGATATGATTGTTCCAGAAATTGTATGAGATTCCTAGAAATTAAATATGTTATCAGCCATTAATGTCATATACCACAGAAATAACTAACTTTTTATGTGAGCTGTGTTATCATAATGAATTCTCATCAGAGTTTTAACCATAGTCATTTAAAATCTTTGTCATTCACAGATGTTGTTTTTATTCTTCCTCAAAGCATTTCCAATCAGCTACAGTCCAAAATTGCTTCCTTTTCAAGGAGATTTATGGAAACGATGCTGACAAGAACTCTTTAATACAAGTTTCTCATAACTTTCACATTATACCACTGGACTGTCAAAAACTTCCAAAACTTTAACAAACAGGCTGATATCTTCATAAAATTCTCAGCCTACCAAGCAGGAAAAACATTGATTTCATTGAAACAATTGATAATAATGAGGATAATGTTTTTATGACTTTTATTTGAAAATTTGCTGATTCTTTAAATGGTTTGTTTTCTAGATTTATGGAATTGTTTTCTTTTAATCTATCTATAGCTTATAGCAGTTCAATAAACTATACTTCTGGGAACAATAATTGAAGCATTTACTTTTGCTGTCTACCTGACTGCCCCAGAATTGGGCAACTATTCAGGAGTATTGATATGTTTATGGTAATACACATATTTGCACAAGTATAGTAAAAATCTGCTCTCTTTTTAACACGACACATTTGAAATCATTGGTTATATTACCAAAGCTTTGACTGGAATTTTATATTTAAGAATATAGATAGAATGAACCAATATGAACTGTAGGCAAAGTCTGAAGTCAGCCTTGCTTTGGCTTCCTATTCGCAAGAGGTTTGTAAATGTTTAATCTGAGATTCCTTATAAAAACTTACAGCAAAGAAAATTTTAAAAGAGACCCTACATGGTCCATTGATACTCTTGCTGCACTTATGTAAACAATCAGACCACGTTTGAAGAAACTCAACCTATTTTGCAAACAAACTTATTCTACTGAAATTATCATTGGTAAAACTAGAGATGCCCATAGAGAGAAAAATTATGTGGAAAATAAAAACTGTAGTACACCGGTTATGAGATTGCAGCTCTGTTCATTGTTTCTGTGTTTTTATTATCCACCTGTAGACTGGACAGTTCCCTGAATTCTACTAGTTCCTCCAATTCCACTTTCTCCCATGGAATCACAAAGAGCAAGACCCACTCTGTTCCAGAAGCCCTATAAGCTGGAGGTGGACAACTCAATGTAAATTTCATGGGAAAACCCTTGTACCTGAAGCGTGAGCCACTCAGAACTCGCCAACATTTTCGACACCATAACAACAGATGCTCAAACTGTAAACCAGGACAACAAGTTGATGACTTCACACTGTGGACATTTCTTCCCAAGATGTCAGAACAAGACTCCCCATCATGATGAGGCTCTCACCCCTCTTAAATGTCCTTGCTCATGCCTGCCTCTTTAACTTGGTAGGATAATGCAGTCATTAGAATTTCACATGTAGTAGCTTCTGAGGGTAACAACAGAGTGTCAGATATGTCATCTCAACCTCAAATTTTACATAACATCTCAGGGGGAAATGTGGCTCTCTCCATCTTGCATACAGGGTTCCCAGTAGAAATGAACACAGAGATATTGCCTGTGTGTTTGCAGAGAAGATGGTTTCTATAAAGAGTAGGAAAGCTGAAATTATAGTAGAGTCCCCTTTAAATCCACATTGTGTGGATGGCTCTCACCATTTCCTAAGAGATACATGGTAAAACATGACAGTAATACTGATTCTAGCAGAATAAGACATGTACCACATTTGCTAATACTGTTCTCTTAAAATAATTTTAAAAGAATGGGGTGGGCCCTCCCATGTGTCCAGGCCAGGTCTCTGAACAGAATCCTCCATCTGCAGTAACAATGCCTAAGAAGATGACATGGACTTGGTCCCGATATGCAGCCATTCCTGTATACCCTTCCCCTGCTGCAGGGCCGTACCAGCCCAGGGCCCAAATCTTCAGCTGCAGAGCTGAGACAGAACATGGGATACCCAGCAGCCCTTACCTTCTTCCAGTCCACTGCAGTGGCTACCGGCATGGCCCATTTACCCCTGAGGACACACATCTGCTGACCCATAGTTTCTAAGAGTCAGACTTTCCTGGCTTCTCTGAGTCCCAGCTACTTTCACTCTGCTGAACCCTTCTTCTCCCCACAGGTGTCATTGCCTTAGCAGACACCTCTTTCAGCTGCAGCTAACAGGTAAGATAAGACCCAGACCCCAGAGGATAAACAAGGATTTCAAAACCTACTGTGTCCAATGGAGATGCCCACTTGTGGGCGGCAAGCCACCCAGGTGCCGAGGCAAGAGACTGAGGGAACGAGCCGTTCCAGTATAATAAAATGTAAAAGAAGAATAGTTATACCAGATATAGATCTTAGATATGATTATATATAAATATCATTAATCATTAGTTGGTAGCAATTGCTCTTTATTCCAATATTATAATAATCCTTGGTCTATAATCATAACCTAGGAAAAGCCAGGCCATACAGAGATAGGAGCTGGGGAGACATAGTGAGAAGTGACCAGAAGACAGGAGTGCGAGCCTTCTGTTATGCCCAGACAGGGCCACTAGAGGGCTCCTTGGTCTAGCGGTAACGCCAGCGTCTGGAAAGATGCCCATTGCCAAGCAGACCGTGGTCTAGTGGTAGCCTCAGTGTCAAGGAAAAACACCCGCTACTTAGCAGACCGGGAAAGGGAGTCTCCCTTTTCCTGGGGGAGTTTAGAGAAGACTCCACTCCTCCACCTCTTGTGGAGGGCCTGACATGAGTCAGGTCCACCCGCAGTTATCTGGAGGCCTGACCGTCTCCCTGTGATGCTGTGCTTCAGTGGTCACACTCCTAGTCTGCCTTCATGTTCCATCCTGTACACCTGGCTCTGCTGTTTAGTTAGCAGTAGCAAACTAGTGAAAGTACTAAAAGTCTCTAATAAGCAGAAATAATGGTGTAAGCTCTCTCTTTCTCCTCTCTCTCTCTGCCTTGGCTGCCAGGCAGGGAAGGGCCCCTTCTCCAGTGGACACGTGACACATGTGGCCTTACCTATCATTGGAGATGGCTCACACTCCTTATCCTGCCCCTTTGTCTTATATCCAATAAATATCAGCGAAGCCTGGCATTCGGGGCCACTACTGGTCTCCGCATCTTGGTGGTAGTTGTCCCCCAGGCCCAGTTGTCTTTTCTTTTATCTCTTTGTCTTGTTTCTTTATTTCTACAATTTCTCGTCTCTGCACACGGGGAGAAAAACCCACTGACCCTGTGGGGCTGGTCCCTACACCCACTGTATAGAGACATAAAGAAGTTGAGATGTATACAACTCCCCCAACAACATTGTATCACAAAACAATGTCCTCTCTGCCCCTCATCATGGAATTTACTGTCTCTCACCACGTGGGCAGGTGCTTCCAGGGTCTCACAATTCTTCCACAATAGGCAATGCACACTTTAACATAGCACTTCAGCAAATAAAGTGGTGAGAGTTTACCTACTTAGATAAAGTTTCTTAAAATGTTCTCCCAAATTTCCCCCTGAAGAAGACAGAAAAGACTTTCCCAATTGTGAAACATTAGCTTCCCCATCTTTCAAAAATGGACACCTGAATAGCCAAAACAATCTTGCCAAAATAAATTGTAGGACTTGAACTTTCTTATTTGAAATCTCACAAAGGAGTACAATTATTAAAACAGAAGCTGCTGGCAAAAGAATGGACATAAAGAAAAATGGGATAGAATTGACAGTCTAGAAATAAACCCTCACACTTATGGTCAATTACTCTTTGAAGAGGGTGTCAAGACAATTTAATGGATGAACAACTCTCCTTTCAAATGATAGTGCAGAAACAACTAGATAACCACATGCAAAACAGTGAATTTAGATTACTCTAGCTTCCACCATATCAAACAATTCTCTAAAAAATTAATCACTGAGTTAAATATCAGACTTATAACCATAAAAACATCTTAAAATAGACATAGAGGTAAATATTGATGACCTCAAATGTGCAATGGATTCTTAGATATGATACAAAAGCATGAGAAACAAGAAAAAAAGATAAATTGGGCTTTATCAAGATGTGAGCCTTTTGTACATCAAAGAAACTTATCAAGAAAATAATTAATAGACACAGAATGAGAGAAAATATTTGCAAACCACATCAAGAAGGACATGAAAGGATACTCAACATCATTAGTCACTAGGAAAATACAAAGTCAAAGCTGCAATGAGACACCACATCACACCTACGAAACTGGCTACCATTCTTTTAAAATGTTAAATAACAAGTAGCAGCATTATGTAGAATTTGGAATCCTCATACATTGCTGGTGAGAATATAAAAAGTACAGCCCCTAGGAGAAAGAGTTTTGCTTTTCCTCAAAAAGCTAATCATAGAATTCTCATTTGGCCCAACATTTATTCCTAGGTGTACACCCAAGGAATTAAATCCAGGGACTCAAACAGGCACTTGCATAGGAATGTTGATTGCAGCATTATTCAAGAGATAAAATATGAAAACAATCCAAGTGCTCATCAACACATGAATAAATAAATATGGTGACACACACAACAGAATGTTAATCTGCCATAAAGAGGAATGAAGGTCTGACACCCGCTGGAACATGCATGGACTTTGGAAACATTATGCTAACTGAAATGTGTCAGAAACAAAATAACATAATTGTATAATTCCATTTATGTGAAACACCAAGAATAGGCAAATTCATAGAGACAGAGTAGAGATGATCAAAGTCTAGGGTGGAACATACAGGGAGTTATTGTTTAAAAGATACAAAGCTTCAGTTTAAAATGATAAAAATTTTCTAGGAAAAATACTGGTGATGGTAATTTAACACTGTGTATGTGGTTAATTTCACTTGATTGTGGATTTTAAAGTGGTTAAAATAGCATATTATTCACAGAACTGTGAAAAACAGATTTCTATTATTTAATTCACCCAGGCTAAGGTGTTTGTTATGGCAGCTGAAGCCCATGAATACATCATCTGACCCAGTGTTTCAATGAAACGCATCAGATTTTCAATCAAGTTAGTTGGAAGCTCCTGTCCCCAGCAGAACCAGAGGCCCCAAAACAAGAGCTCCAGCAGGGGCTCAACCAGCACAGGTCCCATAGGGCAGCCTCAATGTCAGGCCCTGGATGGCATGTGAGGCTACAATGATACAACCACAATGTGAAAATGTAAGTATTTTTAATACTTACACACACTAGGGAGCACTCAGCACACCTGGAGACCACAGAGGTCAGTGAGCACAGGCAGGGAGGAAAGAGACCGGTGAGCCAATGGCTTTATTAAGTCCAGGGTGTTATCTGACAGGTTTCCAGCAGGGAGCTTTAATGGATGTGTTCAAAGCAAGCAGCAAACACTGGGACCAGGAGCTCAGGCTGTGACTGAGAGGTGGTCACTTTAAATGTGAGGGCGAATGTCAGAATTATCAGTTTAAAGAAAGCAGCTGGAGAGAGGTGAGCCCAGCACACCAAGCAGGAGAGATGCCTCTAAGATTTTATCTCTGGACACCAACTGGAGCCACCTGAACCAGATACAGTATTGAAAACTGCCATGGTGACCAAGCCCTGCCTCTGATTTGAGGCAAATAAACTTACACCTTAAAAAATGAATGCCAAGGCAACATGACGCTATGAGCATCACGACATCCAGGGACACCAGAAGGGTGTGATACTGTGCCCTGGAGTCAGAATCCTGGGTTCTGGTCCCTGGGAGTGAGAAAATGAAAATGACTTGTCCCTGCCCCTCAACATTGATCTTCCCACCCTGCTGCTCCCTCTTCTGCTCCCAAGCCCATGTCCAGTGCTCAGCCCCAGACATCACTGCCCCCAGGGTATACACAGTGCCGCCTACTGCACACAAACACAAACTCACAGAAGGTGACAAAAATCTGCGTTTCGGACATCTGATTGTGAAAGAGGGAGAACAGTGAACGTAGAGTCACACAGACTGGGACTCACGGGGCTGGAAGGTGAAGGAGCTGTAACATAACATATGTGTGACCTCGTGTGAAGTGTGCAGATCCACATGGAATAAAACATGCAGCCTGGCCTGGGATTGCTGCCGTTCACACTTCCCTCCCTGTCCACAAGAGGGCGACAGAGTCCCTCCCAGCCTGGAGCCTTCCCAGGGGATGCCAACCTCCCTCAGCGGAACCCACAGCCCAGCAGTGTCCACCCTCACCAGGGTCACTTGGGCCTAAGTCCTCAGCGCCCTCCATGCTCCCCACACGGACTCTGTCAGCTCCTCCCTGCCTTGGCTGCCGCCAACCTAACACCACTCCCTCTGCAGGGAGCTCCTGCCCCACACACCTGCTCCTTCCCTGGGCCCAGCTAAAGGCATCTCCCAGGGCAGCGCTGGTGCACGCGACACTACACTGGGAGCTTTCCCCTCCTGACCTCCCTCCATCCTCATCAACTCTTTCTGTCACTGCTCCCTAAATGCCCACCCCTGCTCCATCTGTCCTGTTCTCTGGGGCATCCCAGGCCAAGCCTAGAGCTGACACAGAACAGCGGCTGCCTGAGGGCCCACAGCCTCCCCGGGAATCAGCCAGGCACCCTGTGACCTCCCTGCCCGCTGCACCGCGCGGGGCTCAGAGCGCATGTGATGGTCACACACAGGTACCATCCGGGATGGGGCCACCTGCCCCCAGCTGTCCCTTGGGAAGACAGACCTCTCTTGTGTCCTTGCGGGGAGATGAGGGGTGTTATTGCTCTTTGCTCCCAGAACACAACTCACCCCCACCTGCCCTCTCAGGTGTGAGCAATGTCCCTCCAGACAGGATCTCTGGCCACTGCCTGTTCCTCCTCTACACACAGCAGCTTGGCCAGGTCAAAACCCTCAGGACAGACCCCTGGGTATGTCAGCACATGGAGGGCTGAGCCCATCATGGCCACGGAGTAAGTCGGGATGAATCTCTCCAGCTCTGAACCCCTGCTCTGTCCCAGGTTCCCCCTCCTGCGTCTCAACAAGCCATGTCCCGCGGGGTTCCTGGGTAACTCCCCACTTCCTCCTGCACCACCACGGGGAAGGTGTGGTGACCACAGGACAATCAGCTGGGCAGAGAAGAGAGGACATCAAAGATGGTCAGGAAGAACATGAGAAACCCTGAGCACCAGCTCAGCAGCCAAACCCCAGGGAGTCAGAGAGTGACCGAGAACTTCCCCTTGACTACGGGACTCACAGCCCCCACTGAGCAACCAGCACAGGCCTCTCCTACCAAGAGGCATGAGAGATTCACCCTGCACACCTCCAGAAAGGACAGTTTCCTCTAGGACACCCAGGTCCTGAATGTCCATTCTTGGAAGCTGCAGCCAAGCTAGACACGATTAGAGAAAGGAAGGGTCCCTCTCACCAGGCAACACACAGCTCACCCACAGCACAATGGGACATCACTGTGACAGGGACCTGGTGCAGCTCCAGCCTCCTGCACTGAAGGGGAGAGCCAGATGGGGATGAAAGAGGGCAAAGGTCGTGAATGTGTACCCCGACCCAGGGCCATGGGGACAGCAGGAGGCTGAGGCCCAGGACTGTCCTTGCCCAACCTGCAGGGTATGTGTGTCACTGTGTGGGTCGGTGTGTGTCTCTTTTGTGTGTGTGTGTGTGTGTGTGTGTGTGTGTGTCTGCACAAAGTGTGTGTTGAGGTTTGGTGAAAGAATCACTGCTGAAAAAGGCAGAGGCCTCCACAATCCCCAGGGACCTGAAACACAGACAAAAGGAAAACAGAAGGAGGGACAAGGAGGCAGGACTGAGAGAGGAGGGGACAGAGAGGTGTCCTGGGCCTGACCCCACCCATGAGCCTGGGAATTGCTGCTGCCCCAGGAAGAGGCTCAGTGCAGAAGGAGGAAGGACAGCACAGCTGACAGCCGTGCTCAGGAAGTTTCTGGATCCTAGGCTCATCTCCACAGAGGAGAACACACAGGCAGCAGAGACCATGGGGCCCCTCTCAGCCCCTCCCTGCACAGAGCACATCAAATGGAAGGGGCTCCTGGTCACAGGTGAGGAGAGAACTTCCTGGGAGAGGACAGGAGGAGGAAGAAGAGTGACTGGATGGGGTCTCCTGGAGAGGATGGGGTTCTAAAAAATGAAAGAAGCCAGCACTTAGGGAGGCTGAGGTGGGTGGATCACGAGATCAGGAGTTCAAGGTCAGTCTGGCCAACACAGTGTAGCCCTGTCTCTACTAAAAATACAAAAAATTAACCAGGTATTGTCGTGTGTTCCTGTAATTCCAGCTACTCAGGAGGCTGTGGCAGGAGAATCACGTGAACCCAGGAGGCAGAAGTTGCAGCGTGCCGAGATAGCGCCACTGCATACCAGCCTGGGCGACAGTACGAGACTCCGTCTCAAAAAAAAAAAAAAAAAAAAAAAAAAAAAAAAAAAAGAGAGAAGAAAGAAATAAAAGGAAAGAAGGCTCTGTTGGAGCCTGGATAGGGGAAAATATACCAGAGAGGGACAGGGGTCAAAACAGGAAAATCACATTGAACTGGAATTGGTAAGAGGTAGGAAAATCTTAAGTGTTCTGTTTTCCTGATTAATCATCAGGGGCCACATTTTGAAAAATGATAATAATAACTATATCAGATGACACTTCAAATAAAAATATAAGCAGGACGTGAAACACTGTCCTCAGCAAAAAACCTCAACAATTGGGGGAGAAAAAAAAAAACACCAAGGGTGTGGAGGGCCCTGAGAAGTCTCACATCTACAGGAGTCTGCAGCCTGTTCCAGGCACTGGGGTGCAACCAAGATCACAAAAGTCCCTGTCCTCACTGAGCTCATGCTGTCATGGGGAGGAAGACAGACATACAAAGAGATCTAGAATGTGAGGTCAGCTGTTAACAAGAACCCTTTAGGGAGCAGAGCAGGGAAAGGTCAGAAAGGGAAGACCCAGGGTCTCTGAAGGAGGTGTCAGGAAAGAAGTCTTAGGATACCCTGATGTGAGCAGGACCTGATGGGGTCATGCGGACCCCTGGGGAAGAGGATTCCAAACAGAAAAATGCCAAGGTCACAAGTGGTGAAGGAATGGGGGTCATGCTGCTGACCTTGACCTAGTAGGACAGTAGTACACACACACATACACACATACAAACACACATGCCCCTTTTGTGTGTGTGTGTGTGTGTGTGTGTGTGTGTGTGTGTGTGTGTGTGTGTCTTCAAGGCTGAGGATTGAAGAGACCTCCTCAGGACCCAGGGCCCCATCTTTTCACCCCAATACATAGGTCTCAATATTGTCTGATGCTCTCTCCACCTCCTAGCATCACTTTTAAACTTCTGGAACCTGCCCACCACTGCCCAAGTCACGATTGAAGCCCAGCCACCAAAAGTTTCCGAGGGGAAGGATGTTCTTCTACTTGTCCACAATTTGCCCCAGAATCTTACTGGCTACATCTGGTACAAAGGGCAAATCAGGGACCTCTACCATTACATTACATCATATGTAGTAGACGGTCAAATAATTATATATGGGCCTGCATATAGTGGACGAGAAACAGCATATTCCAATGCATCCCTGCTGATCCAGAATGTCACCCGGGAGGACGCAGGATCCTACACCTTACACATCATAAAGCGAGGTGATGGGACTAGAGGAGTAACTGGATATTTCACCTTCACCTTATACCGTAAGTGATTCCACATGATCCCTGGGTGTTGGGGGACAGGGGTCATTTCTACTTCACACACACAGGATTGTCAGGCCTAGACTGTGCCTGTGTCCCTCTCTGCATTATGTCCCATGCTGGGGTTTGGGCATTTAGTGCAGGACACACACAGAGGAGACACATTTCAACAGATCAGAATTCCTTTCCCGCATCCAGACCCTGCAGACACTCGCTGCAGAGGAAGGACAGTCTGATGGGGGGACTCAGCAGGAGGAGATCAGTCTCAGCCAAGCACCTCATGCCCTCTTCATAAATTTGACCCTGAGAAAGACCCTGGAGAACTGAGCAGGGCTTGGCCTGAGGGGTCCCCTGAGATACTCTCAGAGAAGCTCAGCCCTAGAAACCTCAACCTCCAAACCCTGTCCCTAAATCCTTGCTCCAGATAAAGCTTAGGAGCCTGTGCCAGGGCTGGGTTGTGGCTTCATGGGCAGGGCTTACTGGGACCAAGGATTTACCAGCTGTCTGAGGACTGTGTCTCCTGGAGCTGTTCACCAGCTAGGGCTCAGCCCTCAGAGCCTCATCTGGGCAATGGTGTAGAGGACAGAGGTCAAAACAGGAGAGGCAGAGTGGAGAGGACAGAAAGACAATCTTTGAAGACCATCAGCCAACTGCCTTAGGAGGCTTAGGAGAGTCCATAGGAAGTCTAATGTCCCCAGAAGCAGAAACAGAAGACAGAAGATGTACCTGGTAGCAGCTTGTCCACAGGGATCTGATGTAACGGTGCTTTCTCATGGAAGCAAATTAATAATAAATGCTGTTTGTGTGAAACCTCCACTGTGCCAAGCATTAGATCAAGTGACTGTGAATACTTTAACATTTATTCACAGATAGCATGAAAAGCCACAGTCCATTTGCCATTTAGCTTATTTGATTGAGAGAAAACTGAGGCACAGGAAGGCACAGTCACTGAACCAGAGTCACACCAACACAAAGGGGAGATCAGGGTCACATGAGGTCTGCCTGCAGCCACAGGCCCTTCCTCTCCTCCACCAGAAGTGAGGGCTTACTGGGTCCCAAGGACCCCATGTCATTTATTGGCTCAAATCCTCTCTTCTTAGGCATCCAAACCTCAGAGGAGTGAGAGCAAATGGTCAGCTGATTAATCTGTACTCCAGAACTAAATCACCTGCCTCAACTGTCAGAATCAGTGCAAAAAACATGAGCAGGCCTCCCTCTCAGATCTTAACCCCCATCACTGAACCTGAAACCCTGTGTTTCCCAAAGTGTCCATGTCACTGTCATGAGAGGATCAAGGAGAGGACCTTGTTTTCTTTCCCCACTCACACCCTGCATCAGCACAGGCCCAGTGAGAGACACACACACTCAGGAGCTCTCACATAACAAATGAAGGAATGGAATGAAGAAATGAATGATCCAAAACCTCTTTAGAGACTGGATGTTGGATGCAGAATCCTAGGAGGTCCTAGCCACACCTGTCCCTTGTCCTTCAGAAGCTGACACCCATGTTTCATCCCCCCACTACCTCTTGCCCCTAAAGCAACCCCACCTCATGTAACTCTGAAGCTCTTTGGCCACCAGAGGGTTCTCAGGGCTCCTTGGTTCTGGACTGTGGAACTGGGGGCAGCTGGTCCCTGGGGTCTCTGACGTCAGTGTAGCCCTCACTGCTCACTGCCATGGTGTCTCTGCCTCTCTCTGCTTCTCTGTGTCCCTCATCTTCCTCCCACTTCATTCTGACTGGCAAGCCCTGTCCTGCACAGCTTCTTCCCTCACACCTAGGCCTTCCCCAGACACTCCCTCTAACTAGGCTGGCTGTTCTGTTCCCTTCCTTCTAACACTGTGGCCTAGCCAACCTCCCAGGAAATAGGAAAGGTGCAGAAATCACCTGGAGTTGCCACTCCTGCCAGGCTTCATCTCGAGCCAATGTCCCCAGGTCACTAAGAGAATGAGCTTCCACTGTATTCCCATCAAGGGCTCTTCCCCTTTGTGAGGCTGACCTGTGGACAAGACCATGGGACAGGGATAGGAAGTCCCTCCAACCACTCTTATCATTGTCAGACAAGTTCTTCTGGCCTCCTGCACACACACACAAAAAAATTATTGAAATGGTGATTTGTAGTAAAGAAAGATTTTAATGACTCCAAGTCTGCCAAACAGGAGGACAGAGGTTTATTATTACTCAAATCAGCCTCCCCAGTGGATCAGGGCTTAGAGATTTTCAAGGATAGTTTCAGGGGCACAGGACTGAAAAATGAGTACTGCTGATTGTTTGGTGATGGAATCATGCGGGCGGAGGGAAATGATCAGTTTGTGCTGGAATCCGCCTCTAGGTAGGGACCACATGACTGGCTGAGCCATTAATCATAGGTATGGATGAGGTCAGCCAGTTGCCAGAATGCAAAAGAATGAGAAACATCTCAAAAGACCAATCTCAACTTCTATAATAGTGATGTTATCTATAGGATCAATTAGTTACAAATTTTGTCAACTCCAGCCAAATGACATTGGAGCAGTCAGGGATTATAGAAACTGTGACAACAATTTAGCAGAATTCGGTTCCCTCCTATAATCTTAATCTCATGGTCTTTCACTAGTTTGACAAAGGCCGTCCCTGGGCAAAGTAAGGGTGTTAGTTTTATGGAGGAACTATTATCATTCTTGCTTCAAAATTAAACCATAAACTAAATTCCTCCCAAGGTTAGCCTGGCCTATGCCCAGGAATAAGTGAGGACAGCCAGCCTGAGACTAGATGCCAGATGGAGTCAGCCATGCTAGTTTGCTGTCACTGTTGTAATCTCTGCAATGACTCACCAGGGTGTCAGAGGCTGGACAGGCCTGCAGTCCCCCAAGCCCATGGGCTCATATCACCCATTTCACTCGTGACTCCATCCTCAACCTGCTATAGAGCTCACATTCTCCAGTCACTTCCTAGAGACTTCTGGCTTCCGGTCAGGCATATAACAAGCTTGGAATTTGTCACTCGGTTCCAACACTAAGTAAAAAAGCTAAGGAATCCCTAGCTTGAGGACGTGTCAATAGAAATTTCCAAAACTGAAACAGGAAAGTTCAAGAAGAGTGGGGAAGAAAAAGTGGAACAACTGATTCAACTTCATATTTAATATTTTGTTTTGACAGTAGCAATTTTTAAATTATGTAGTTGTGGGACAAATACAAATGCTGTAACGTACACGTAATAGGAATACTGGTGGTTTTGAGGACCAGTTGGAGGTGACCAGGTGGGTGCTATCTGATGGTTTTACTGCCTGTGCCACACACAAGTGTTTCCTCATGATGATGCCGTTTTCATAAGTTGGAGTTCTTCTTGTGGGGAGACACATGAGCCATTGGCATCTCACTTAGAATCTTCCTATTTCACACAAACTTAAACTCTAGTGGTGTTTCCTGAGCTTAAGAGAAAATGAAGAAAGCATTTCACATACCTGTTTTGGGGTCCTCCCCATTTTTCCTAACTCTGCACAGAAATTAGAAGCAGGGAGTTCTTTCTATATTTACTAACATAACACACATCACTTCTTTTAATTTGGCATCCTTCCTCCCTTTATGTAATTGATGCACTGACCAGTTCTGTCCTTTTAACGGGACTCTCTCTACTTAAGGAGCTGCTAATTTCCAATCACCTTTGGCATCTTTCTTTGAGCATAATGTGATCCTGCTGGAATTCACGGCACACCTAAACCTTATTTTGGTCTCAGGAGAAATACTACTACCAGCAATTGATCTTAGATGTTTGGATCATCAGTAAAAATTTCCACTTATGAAAACATTTTAATATTTCCTCCAAATTTTTTTTGTTACTAGAGTCAGAACATAACATGAGGTCTAAACTCCTGACAACTTTTTATGGGAAAATTACAGTATTACGAATTGAGCATCCCAAATCCAGAAATCCACAATCTGAAATGCTCAAAACTCAACCCTTCTGACCACTGATGTGATGCTAAAAAGAAGTGCTCACTGGCGCATTGTGGATTTTAAATTTTTCAGATTTGGGATGCTAAACCAGTACATATACGGCAAATATTCCAAAATAAAAAAATTAGAAATCCAAAACACTTTGTTTTAAGCTTTCTGCATAAGGAGCACTTTATCTGAATGAACTATAGGCACGAGGCTGTACAGGAGATCTCTAGAACCTCCTTATCCTGCATAACTGGAACCGCACACCCACAGAACAACGCCCTATTCCCCTGATCCCAGCTCCTGGAAACTACTATTCTACTCTCTGATTCACTCTGGAATCCACTGATATGAGGTACATAGGGTAGTTAAACTCAGAAACAGAGTAGAATATCTAATGAAAGTATCTGCAAGACTTCTTCCCAAATATTGGTCTAATATCCACCAAACACATATGGTCCATGAGGGCCAGACTTCCATCATCAGTTCATGTTCACCCTTTCCACCAGTCAGTTTCGCATTTGCAAACATCCACATGTATTTCTAGAAAGGTCCACATCGTCCTCACCTGCCCTCTACAGGGGGAAGGGAGCATTGTGGACCCAGAACAGGGCACATGGTCTTGTTCAGAAGCTATCAGCTCTTGCCTGTCCCCTTCACTCTTTGTAGGTCATTCCTTGGACTCTGCTCTATCTTTAGAGGTCACTGGCTCAAGTCACTCACTATGAGACACCTGGGAAAACTGCCCCACCTTGTGGCTCCACTGCCTGATGACTGAACTGACCTCCAGGCTTGACTCTGGTCTCCCCTGTGTTATTTATGCTGAAGTACCCAGTCCCAGGCCAGGCTTTCCAGTACCCAAAGGGTTTAAAGACAATGGGAAGTTCCATCATTCATCTCTTGGATGTCCTTGGCAAGGGAAGCTGCAGAGAAAACATACCTCAGGGGGCAAAGTAAGACTGAAACTAAGAAGATTCCAGCACTGCATGCTCCAAGTGAGGACCACAAGGTGGGCCAGGCAGGCACTTCGAGATGGAGGGACTCAGAGAGGCACCAGGGGCTGTGACTGCTGGTCCTGTGTCTTTCCATGACCCAATGCTGCTGCTCAATACACACCTGAGAAAGTCTGTGCTTCTCCCACATAAAGCAGGCAGCCTCACAATCACTGAGCCCTCAGATTGCCATGCATCTGTCTTGTAACACACACACCTGCCATGGGCTTTTAAGGACTTGGGTGGGCTGAGAGGTGGGAAATGCCAACTCTGATTGAAAAATGCCTTTGGAGGAATCAAAGGTGCCACACAGGGCAATCTTCTCTCTGTTTTCTGCACAGTGGAGACTCCCAAGCCCTCCATCTCCAGCAGCAACTTAAACCCCAGGGAGGCCATGGAAACTGTGATCTTAACCTGTGATCCTGAGACTCCGGACACAAGCTACCAGTGGTGGATGAATGGTCAGAGCCTCCCTATGACTCATAGGTTTCAGCTGTCCGAAACCAACAGGACCCTCTTTCTATTTGGTGTCACAAAGTATACTGCAGGACCCTATGAATGTGAAATACGGAACTCAGGGAGTGCCAGCCGCAGTGACCCAGTCACCCTGAATCTCCTCCGTGAGTATCTTCTGTTCCTCTGTGGGCCAGACTGCCATCCCAAATACACATGGCCAGAGGCCAGGCCTCTCAGTCCCTCTCAGGTCCAAGTACAGAGACCTTTACCCCTAGGCATCAAAGCTGGCCATGACTTTCTGCCCCAGGCAAACCAGAATAGGCCTAGGCTTGATCCACAATAGGAGAAAAGAGGCTCCTCCTGTCATAGGAGACTCAGGGTCCACAGCTTGTGATGGGAGAAACAGGTGAATGTCTCAGGCTCCAGATCAGTGAACACAGCGGGGATTTGGCTGGGAGTTCAGTGTTGCGGCTTGGCTCACAGGGTCACTGTGGCCCTTCCACAGACCAGGATTTTCCCTTCCCTCTGACAATAGTGCCTGTGACTTTATGCTCTTTGCTCCAGATGGCCTGGATGCCCCCACCATTTCTTCCTCACACCTATTACCATACAAGGGAAGTCCCCAAGCTCTCCTGCCTCACAGACACTCACCCACTGGCAGAGCATTCTTGGCTGATTGATGGGAAGTTCCAGCAATCAGCACAAGTGTTCTTTATCCCTCAAATCACTAAAACATATAGAGGGCTCTATGTCTGTTTCATCCATAACTCAGCCACTGCTGGAACAAATCTCATAATCAAGAGGACCATAGTCCCTGGTAAGTGGATCCCTGAAACATTGGCAATATGTTTTCCAGTGAAGTCTATCTAGCTATCAGGGAAGAGCCACCTGCCCTCTGCAAAGGGAGAGGGAAAATCAAAACCCCAGGACAGGGAATATGTTTCTGCTCCAAAACCACCAGCTTTTGCCTGTCCCCTCACTCTTTCTAGATCATTCTTTAGACTATACACTAACAATGAACAATCTGAAAGGAAATTAAGGAAAGAAATTCAATTCACATTAACATCAAAAGGAATAAAATATTTTGGAATAAGTTTAACCAAAAAGGTCAAATGATTATACCTTGAAAACTACAAAACATTGCTGAAAGAAATTAAAGACGATATCAATATATGGAAAGACATTTCATTTTCATGGATTGGAAGACTCAATATTGTTAGAAAGACAATACTACCCAAAGTGAGTTGCAGATTCAATGCAACCCCTCCCAGAATCACAGTAACATTTTTGGCAGAATTAGAAAACTCCGTCCTAAATCTGACCTGACAGGCTCTTATTAATGACTGCCACAACAGAAACACTGTGAAAAAGATGCAACCATGAAAAGGTGGAAAGTTCTGATGACACAGAAAATAGCAATCAGCCTTTCTCACATCCCAAAGCCTTAAAAAATAAACGAGTGCAGCATGGCCAGTATGGAATTGACCGAAAACTAATCACCAAGCCAGAAACGTGGTGAGAGAAAAAAAAGGGCAAGAATATCTTTGGCTTATCACCTCCCACTTTTGCCTACTAATCTGATGCTGAAAAGAAATGCTCACTGGAGCATTTTAGATTTTGAATCTTTCAGATTTGGGATGCTAAACCAGTAAGTATATGACAAATATTTCAGAATCAAAAAATGTCAGAAATCCGAAACACTTTTTGTCTTAAGTCTTATGCATAAGAAATACTCAATCTGTGTGAACTATAGGCATCAAGCTCTACAGCAGATCTCTAGAAACTCCCTACCTTGCATAACTGAAACTGCACACCCATGAACAACTTCTGATTCTCCCCACTCCCAGCTCCTGGCAACCAGCAGTCTCTTCTCATATTCACTCTGGAATCCACTTACATGAGGTCCCTAGAGTAGTCGAACCCAGGGAATCACAGAGTAGATTGTTCAATGAAAGAAAATATTTGAAAAACTTCTCTCCAAATTTGTCTCATATCCATCAAACACACATGGTCCATGACGACCAGATTTCCAGCAGTTCATTCCCACCCTTTCCACCAGTCAGTTCTGCTTTTGCAAATGTCCGCATGTATTTCTGGAAAGATCCACATGGTCCTCACCTGCCCTCTGCAGAAGGAGAGGAAACTTAAAGAACCCAAGACAGGGAACATGCTTCTGCTCCAAAGCCACCAGCTCTTGCCTATCCCCTTCACTCTTTCTAGATCATTCCTTGCACTCTGTTCTATCTTTAGAGGTCACTGGTTCAAGTAAGTCATCATGAAACACCTGCAAAAAGCTGCCCCACCTTGTGCCTCCACTGCCTGATGACTGAACTGACCTCCAGGCTTGACTCTGGTCTCCCCTGTGTTATTTCTGCTGAAACATCCAGTCCCAGGCCAGGCTGCTCAGTATCTTCAGGGTTTCAGGACAATGGGAAGTCCCATTATTACTGATCTCTAGAATGTCCTTGGAAATGGAAGCTGCAGAGAAATCACATCTAGGGGGGCAAAGTAGGATGGAATTTGGAAGGGGCCCAGCAGTTGCACATTCCAGGTAAGGAACCCAAGGTGAGCCAGCCAGTCAACTGATTAGGGAGAGACTGGGAGGGGTACTGGGGCTGTGACTCCCACTGACATGTCTGTCCATGACCCAACACTGCTGCTCAATTGACACTTCAGAAAGTCTGTGCTTTCCTAAGACAGAGCAGGCGGCCTCACAGTCTTTGAGCCCTTAGATCATCATGCATCTGTCTTGTGACACACACACCAGTTATTGGCTTTCAAGGACTCAGGTGGGCTGAGAGGTGGGAGATGGTAACTCTGATTGAAGGATGCCTGTGGAGGAATCAAAAGTGCCACACAGGACAATCTTCTCTCTGTTATCCACACAGCGAAGCTGCCCAAGCCCTAAATCACCATCAACAACTTAAACCCCAGGGAGAATAAGGATGTATTAGCCTTCACCTGTGAACCTAAGAGTGAGAGCTACACCTACATTTGGTGGCTAAATGGTCAGAGCCTCCCGGTCAGTCCCAGGGTAAAGCGACCCATTGAAAACAGGATCCTCATTCTACCCAGTGTCACGAGAAATGAAACAGGACCCTATGAATGTGAAATACGGGACCGATATGGTGGCATCCACAGTGACCCAGTCACCCTGAATGTCCTCTGTATCTTTTGTTCCTCTGTGGGCCAGGCCACCAGCTTAAATCCAAATGACCAGGGGCCAGGCCTCTCAGTCTCTCTCCGGTCCAAGTATAGACAACTTTACTTCTGGACATCCAAGCTGGCCATGACTCCCTGCCCTGGGAAAACCTGGGTAGGCACAGCCTTAACCAAGAATATAAGGGGAGTGGACGGTCTTGTCGTGGGAGACTTGGGGCCCACATCTTGTGGTGGGAGAAACAGGTGAATACTTCAGGGTTCGGCTCAGTGAACATAGAGGGGGTTTTGCTGGGACTTGAGGATGTGTCTTGTCTCAGAGGGTCACTGTGTCCCTTTAAGAGACCAGGAGCATCCCCTTCCCTCAGATGGCATCACCTGTGGCTTTATTCTCTTTGCTCCAGATGGTCCAGACCTCCCCAGAATTCACCCTTCATACACCAATTACCGTTCAGGAGATAACCTCTACTTGTCTTGCTTCGCGAACTCTAACCCACCGGCACAGTATTCTTGGACAATTAATGGGAAGTTTCAGCAATCAGGACAAAATCTGTTTATCCCCCAAATTACTACAAAGCATAGCGGGCTCTATGTTTGCTCTGTTCGTAACTCAGCCACTGGCGAGGAAAGCTCCACATCGTTGACAGTCAAAGTCTCTGGTAAGTGGATCCCAGCATCCTTGGCAGTAGGGTTTTAGGTGGAGTCTATCTGGCTTTCAGAGAAGAGTCAGGAAAACATTTTTATTCCCAGCCTGTGTCCCATGGGCAAAAGCAAATCCCAAATTCTCCTCCTGAACCCTCCCAATTTGTCTCTACAAACTCTCTTCTCCTTGTTTTTCTGTTTTCTCATGGCTGACCTTGTGTCTCGCCTGAGAAAGGTAGGGAGGGGTCATTATCAGCCCTGAGCCCTATGTGGTAGAAGAGGCTTCACAGAGGGACAAGAAGGAGTGTCCTCAAGATCAAGTTGCTTCTGGATGTCACTAACACATCCCCTTCTGCCACGTCTTTTTTTTCTTGTACCTATTCCATGAGCTACAAGGAACATCTGAGGCTTTGAAACAAGCTCACACTTTTCCCCCAAATGAGAGGAGGAAGCCCCTTGGGTGAGGGAGGAGCAGCTCAGACTCTGCTTCCTGCTCTGCTCTGGGCTCCTCTGGTGACTGGCCCTGTTTGACTCCACCTGGGGTGGGACCAGCATGTGTGGAGAAAGACCCCTTGTGGACTGTCCTGAATTTCGCTAAATGGAGCTGCCAGTTGAAGCCAAGCCTCCCCCGGGCCAGGCTGCAGGGAAATGAGAAGAGAAGGAGCCTCAGGGCAGACTCCTAAGCCTGGTCCTGGCTCTGAAGTCAGCGGTTGTATGAAGCTGTGGGCACAGTACGTGGGACACAGCATGGAGGACTGTGACTGATGCAGAGCTAGAGAAATAGGGAGATTCACCCCTGGAGCTCTGCATGGCAGGAAAAGGGCAGTGCCAAAAAGTGTGTAATTATAGAGAGGGTAAGACTACCAGACACTTTATATATATCTAATATAAGGCTTACCATTAGCTATTTCTAAGTGTGCAATTTAGTGTTGTGTAACCATCACACTATCCATTTCCAGAACTTTTTCCTCTTACCATATTAAACCTCTGTACCCAATAAACAGTAACTCTCACTCCTTCTCCCTCGAACCCTTAGCACCCACCATTCTAATTTCTGTCTCTATGTAACTGGCTATTCTAACTATCTTTTATAAATGGAATTATATAATAATTATCCTTTTGTGTCTGGCTTATTTCAGTTAGCATAATATCTTCAAGGTTCATCCATTTTGCACGATGTATTGGAATTTTATTCCTTGTTAAGGTTGAATAACATTTCAACGTATAGACACACCTCATTTGCCTACCCACTTATCTTTCAATGGACTTTTTGGTTGTTTCCATTTTTTCGCTAGTGTGAGTAATGCTTCTCTGAACATCAGTGCACAAATATTTGTTCAAATTTCTTTCAATTCTATGGGGAGTATGTCCAGAAGTGGAATTGCTGGATCAAACGGTAATTTATTGTTTAATTTTTTGAGAAACAGCACACCAATTTTTACAGTGGCTATAACATTTCCCATTCCCATCAGCAATGCACTAGAGCTCCAATTTTTCCATCTGCTTGAAAACACCTGTTGTTTTGTGTTGCTGTCATTGTTGTTGTTTATCAAAGCCATCCTAAAGTGTGTGAGGTGGTGTAACATTGTGGTTTTGATTTGCACATCTCTAAGTATTCATGATGCTGAGGAACTTTGCATGGGCTTACTGGATATTTGTGTAACCTCCTTGGAGAAAACTCCATTTTAATCTTTTGTTCATTTTTTAATTGGGTTTTCGGATGTTTGCTGTTGTTGACTTGTAGCTTTTCATGTATTCTGGAAATTAATTTCTTATCACACATATAATTTGCAAATATTTTTATCATTTCATGGGTTGCCTTTTTACTTTCTTGATAATGTTCTTCGATATGTAAAAGGTTTTGATTTTTATGAAGTCCGATTTATCCGTTTTATTTGTTGCCTATGCTTTTGTTGTTACAACCAGGAAATCATTGTGAAATCCAGCATCATGAAGCTTTTCTTCTAAGAGTTGTACAGTTTTTGCTCTTACATTTAGATCTTTGATCTATTATGGGTTGATTTTTGTACATGGTGTTATGTAAAGGTTCTAGTTTTCTTGCCCTTGAATATCCAGCTTTCCCAATATCATTTGGTGAGAACACTGTCCCTTCCCCATTGAATGATCTTGGCACACTCGATGAAAATCATTTGGCCATATATGCAAGAATTTCTTTCTGGGCTATTATACTTCATTAATTTCTATGTCCTCCTTTATGCCAGTACCACACTGTATTGATTACTGGGGCTTTGTAGTAAATGCTGAAATCAGAAAGTGTGAGTCCTCCAGCTTCATTCTTCCTCCTCAAAGCTCTGTGTCTATTTAGTCATGAGATGCAATATAAATTTTAGGACAGATTTTTGTTTTTCTGCAAAAATGTCACTGAGATTCTGATTGATAGGAATTGTATTGAATCCGCAGCTCACTTTGGGTAGCACTGTCCTCCTAACAATATTGAGTCTTCCAATTCATGAAAACAAAATGTCCTTCAATTTATTGATGTCATCTTTCATTTCTTTCAGCCATATTTTGTAGATTTCAGGTATAATCATTTCACCTCTTTGGTTAAACTTATTCCTAAATATTTTATTCTTTTTGATGTTAATATAAATTGAAATTTTTTTCCTAATTTCCCTTCAGACTGTTCATGGTTAGTGTATTGAAATACAACTGACGTTTGAATGCTGATTTTCTATTGTGCAACGTTACTGAATTTATTTATTAATTCTAATAGGTTTGTTCCACCTTTAGGATTTTCTACATATAAGTTCAAGTTATCTATAAACAGAAATAATTTTACTCCTTCCTTCCAATTTGAATGTCTTTTTTTAAATTCTTGCCTAATTTTTCTGACTAGACCTTTCAACACTATGTTGAATAAAAGTGTCAAAAGTGGGCATCCTTGTCTTATTCCTGCTCATACAGGGAAAGCTTTCAGTCTTTCTCCGTTAAGTATGATGTTACCATTGGGTTTTTCACATATTGCCTTTATGTTGAAGTGGTTTCCTTCCATTCTTACAATGTTTTTCTTATGAAAAAATATGGAATTTCATCAAATGCTTTTATTGATTCAATCTTATTAGTGATTATAGTTTTATTCATATTTTTGTGTGTTTCTAGGAGTTTGTCTATTTCATCTAGGTTATCCAATTTATTGGCATACAATTATTTATAGTACTTTCATAATCATTATTTTATTAGAATTGGTAGTAATCGCTTCATTTTTCTTTCTTTCTTTCTTTCTTTCTTTTTTTTTTTTTTGTTGAAAAGAGAGAGACAGGCTGTCACTCTGTAGGCCAGCCCAGGATGGAATACAGTTGTGTGATTATGGCTCACTGCAGCCTCAACCTCCTGGGCTCAAGCAATTCTCCTTCTTCAGCCTCTCAAGATGCTAGGACTACAGGTGCATGTCAACATGCCCAGCTAATTGGTTTTTTATTTTTTTGTACACACAGCGTCTCCCCAGGTTACCTATGCTGGTCCAAACACCTGGTCTCAAGAAATCCTTCTGCTGTGACCTCCCAAAGTGCTAGGATTAAAACATGACCCACCATGCTCAGAGTCCATTTTCATTTCTGATTTTAGGAATTTTAAACTTTTCTCTTTTTTTCTTAGTCAATCTAGTTAATGGTTGTCAATTTTGTTGATTTTATTTTGAAGAATCAACTTTTGGTTTCAGTAATTTCCTCTATTCTGTTTCCGTTCTCCATTTTATTTATGTCCACTCTAATCCTTATTATTTCCCTCATTCACTGTGCTTGGGTTTAGTTTGTTCTTCTTTCATATCCTGAAGTATTAAAGTAGGTTGTTGATCTGAGATCTTTCTTCTTTTTTAATGTAAGAGTTTACAGTTATAAATTTCTTGCACAAGACTCAACTTCTCTGAACCTCTGATTCCTTACCTGAATATTGCAATGACAGTGCTTTCTTCATACCATTCTTTTAAAGATTTAATGCAGTCAATGAAACAAGATGCCACACACAGAGGAACCAATGTCAGCTACTATATTACTATCATCATCATCAACCTTGAGGTCAAATAGTCCTAGAATGAAATCTCAGATCCCCCTGTCACTAGCCATATGACACCAGGAAAGTTTTTACACCACGCTAAGCTTCTGTCTTTTCATTGCCAAAATGGAAATAATGTCTACCTGACAGGGTTATTGTGTGGATTAAATGAGATACAGGGAAGTATTTAGCACAGGGCCTGGCACATAGCAAGTGCCCCTCAACAGTATCTACCTTTTTCCATATATATATATATGGAAAAAGAGGTAACACATAAAACACTAGGACATGGTTACTGACTGCTTGTGGGAGAGAAAGAAAAAAAGCTAAGGGCAAAGAATCAAGCCTGGTATGTTAGTATTTACCAACTGAGATGCATCCAAGATGGGATTAGACATACAAGATAATTTATCAGGGAAGACATCTGTGAGGGAATGTGGGGCAGGCATGAAGGTAGTATGGGAGAACCCACAGACCACTATGCAGAGCTGATTCCTATGAAAAACAAAGAGAAAGAAGTTTTAGGTACCAATGCAGTTCTAAGAGTTTTTGCAAGGCTGATGAGGAATCCTCCAACCAGTCACCCATTAGAGTTAAAGAGAGCCTCGGAGAACTAGGCTTGCTTTCACACCCTTGCTGGGAGCCTGTAGGAAAGAAGCTTTCTGTGCACAAGAGGTGGTGAATTTGAAATGCACTGACCTGGGCCTTCTGCCAATCAGGTCCCTGCCATGGAGACCTGACAGAGTCTCATTCATGACTGCCACAACAGAAACACCGAGAAAAAGATGCAACCATGAAAAGGTGAAAATGTGGCAAGTTCTAATGACATAGAAAATAGCAATCAGCCTTTCTCACATCTGAAAGCCTTCCAAAATATCTGAGTGCAGTAGAGAATTGACAGAGGACTGATCACCAACCGAGACACATGGTGAGAGGGAAAAAAAACTGCAAGAATATAATCATCTCCCATCAATATTCCAAGAGAAATAATGTGGTCCTTGAAGAAACAATTATAGAGTACCTCATGTTACATGCTTGTTCCTGATGCTCCCCCATGTAAAATAACATCACCTTCATTCCTTCTTTACTTTTCTTTCCATGACAGCTTCTACAAGAATAGGACTTCTTCCTCTCCTTAATCCAACATAGCAGCTGTGATGTCATTTCTGTATTTCAGGAAGACTGGCAGGTATGATGGCCTTTTCTCTTATCCTGGTTCCTGCAGAGCTGACTGCCATGCTTGGGAGAGGGAAAAGACTTATTTGCCTGTATCTGGGACTGCATCTCCTCCTTCCTCCACTAAACTCCTGCTTCTCAGCACTAATTCCTGCAGTTCCCTTTCTCCCTGGCCTTTATGCTCCCTGTACCCCACTGTCTTTTAGACATAATTATCTCCAGCCTCTGCTCATTTGTTTCTCAGATTCAAATGAGAAACACAATTTCACATGGTGAAACCCTCTTCATTATTTTTAACATCTCTCAATAGTGTAATTCTCTCCATTCCCATAAAGCTCAACCACTTCTCAAAGTATTGCTTGACTTCTTGTCTCCAGACTTTGAAATCTTCCTTGCATATGATTGCCTCATTACCTTTCTAAAATCTGGTTAATTGATTTAATCAAGAATCTGCAGGGGTCTACTCTAGCCTATTTGATAAGTTCACATTTCTTCTATTTACTAAGGCTTCTCACTTCCTTTACCTCTACTTCCTAGTATAAATCCTCCATCCTAATTAGAACTGTCTTCCTACACATCCCTGCCCCTTCACCCATATAGACATAAAATTCTTAGTTCCAATGCTATGTCTAAAAACAGAGTGAAATCCCTTCAACCATCTGCACTGCAGACTTAACCACACCCTTCATCACAAGCAACATGTGACCTCGTGGAGAACAAAGACTTTAGGATTAACATGTGAACCTGAGACTCAGAACACAACCTATGTGTGGTTGAGATCTTTTCCTGATGATCAGTTCATGTGTTCAAAAAACATACAGAAATGAAGAAGGCAAGGTCCCTACCCCAGGAGACATAAAGCCTAAGACAGGAAATGAGACCTGAAAATAATCATGATACCAAAATAGAAAAAATTGAATGCCACAAGAAATCAGAGAAATCTGATGGGAAATAGAGCTACACATTGGAATCACTGGAAAACATTTCTAAAAGTGGATGCTCAAGCCCCACCCATTAGTTCCAGTTCAAAGGTCTGGAGAGGGACCCAGGCACTGGTAATTTTTAAGTCTTCCCTGACACTACTAACACGTAACAAGGATGGAGAACTCCTGTTGCAATAGGTAGAACTTAAAACTAAATCAATGATTTTCAGCTAAAAGTACTGGAATTACCTAAGGACCTTTTTCAACATACATAAGACTATACATTTTTGGCCCTATTTATGAATGGGCTACACCAAGAACTCAGTAATCCTCTTGAGAAACAGAAGCTGAACGGAAAAGCCACCTTATTTTATATATTAAATTTATAGAAAGCATTTTCAAATAAGGGATAAGTGATGCTAAACCTTCTCTAAATAATATTTATGGGAATGTTAATAATATGAGTATTCTAGGCTGAGCGCGATGGCTCACGCCTGCAATCCCAGGAGTTTGGGAGGCCGAGGTGGGTAGATCACGAGGTCAGGAGATCGAGACCATCCTGGTTAACACGGTGAAACCCCATCTCTACTAAAAATGCAAAAACAAAATTAGCCGGGTGTGGTGGCAGGCACCTGTAGTCCCAGCTACTCAGGAGGCTGAGGCAGGAGAATGGCATGAACCGCGGAGGCGGAGCTTGCAGTGAACTCAGATGGCACCACTGCACTCCAGTCTGGGTGACAGAGTGAGACTCCATCTGAAAAAAAAATTTTTTTAATGAGTATTCTAAAAATTATATGAAATTTCTGAAAATCAAATATGTTATCATAGTGTCATATGCCACAGAAGTAACTAGATTTCTATGTGAGCTGTGTCTTTACCATAATAAATTCTCATTAGATTTTTAACCATAGTCAGTTTAAATCTCTGTCATTCCCAGACAGTTGCTTTGATTCTTCCTCAAACTACTTACAATCACCTACAGTCCAAAATTGCTTTTTCTTCAAGGAGATTTATGGAAAGGTCTCTTACAAGGACTCTTGAATACAAGCTCCTGATAACTTCAAGATCATACCACTGGACTAAGAACTTTCAAAATTTTAATGAACAGGCTGATACCTTCATGAAATTCAAGACAAAGAAGAAAAATACTCAATGTTATTGGACTAAATAATCAAAAGGATAATGATTTCATAATTTTCTATTTGAAAATGTGCTGATTCTTGGAATGTTTCATTCTCCAGATTTATGAACATTTTTTCTTGAGCAATTGGTAAAGTATACTTTTGTAAACAAAAATTGAAACATTTCC
The DNA here is from genome assembly GCF_000001405.40 of Homo sapiens. Classification (NCBI taxonomy): domain Eukaryota; kingdom Metazoa; phylum Chordata; class Mammalia; order Primates; family Hominidae; genus Homo; species Homo sapiens. Next base: position 43,064,297 of record NC_000019.10, on the reverse strand, counting down.
TTTTGCTCTCTATCTGAGTGCCCCAGAATTGGGAATCTATTCATGAGTATTCATATGTTTATGGTAATAAAGCTATTTGCACAAGTTCAGTAAGAATCTGCTCTCTTTATAACAGGACACATTTGAAAACATTGATTATATTATCAAGGCTTTGACTGGGATGTTATATTTGAGAATATACATAGAATAAACCCATAGGGAATGCAGGCAAAGTCTGAAGTGGGCCTTGGTTTGGCTTCCTAGTCTCAAGAGGTTTTTGGAAGTTTAATCTGAGATTCTTATTAAAAACTTCTAGCAAAGCAAAGTTTAAAAATGGCCTCTACAGTCCATTGCTACTCTTGCCGCACTTAGGTAAAAAATCTGGGCAAGTTCGGTGAGACTCAACCAAATTTGCAAACAAATTCATCCTACTGGAATTATCTTTGGTAAAAATAGAGACTCCTATAGAGAGAAAAACTATGTTGAAAAGAAAAACTGTAGTACACCTGTTACCAGATTGAACCACTGTTCATTATCTTTGAGTATTTATAATCCACTGGTAGACTGGACTGGACCCTGAATTCTTTTAGTTCTTCCAATTCAATTTTCTCCAATGAAATCATTAAGAACAAGAGTGGCTCTGTTCCTGAAGCCATATAAGGTGGAGGTGGACAACTCAATGTAAATTTCATGGGAAAACCCTCGTGTCTGAGGTGGGGGCCACTAAGAGCTCACCACATGTTCAACACCATAACTTAGAGACACTCAAACTGCAAACCACGACAAGTTGATGACTTTACACTGTGGACAGCTTTTCTCAAGATGTCAGAACAAGACTATCAATCATGATGAGACTCTTACCTCTCTTAATTTGTCCTTGCTTATGCCTGTCTCCTTTGCTTCCCAGAATAATGCTGTACTTAGGATTTCACAAGAAGTAGCTTCTGAGAGTAAGTTAACAGTGTCAGGTATATCATGTCAACCATACTTTTTTTTTTTTTTATAAGATGGAGTTTCGCTCTTGTTGCCCATGCTGGAGTGCAACGGCACAATCCTGGCTCACGGCAACCTCTGCCTCCTGGGTTCAAGTGCTTCTCCTGCTTCAGCCTCCCAAGTAGCTGGGATTACAGGCATGCACCACCACGCCCAGCTAATTTTGTATTTTCAGTAGAGACAGGGTTTCTCCATGTTGGTCAGGCTGGTCTTGAACTCCGACCTCAGGTTATCCGCACGCCTCAGCCTCCCAAAGTGCTGCGATTACAGGCGTGAGCCACCACACCCAGCCCACCCATTTTTACATACCGAGAGATCCTTTAATCCACCCAAAGGCTGACGTTAGCTGCACCTGTAACACAACTTTTTCCTCAAATGTATGGAGATTTTTTTAGGCTTCCACTTCTATACTTGCCTATTCTCACTCCCTGTTTTAATTTAACATACACATGCAATGCTAGATAATAGAATTGCTCTCTATCAGCTGAACAGGGGGGAGCCTGTGCAGTTTCTCACCCTTCTTGTTGCACATGGATAAATACATCGGGTTTTATAGAGACTCAGCTGTAAAAATCATGAAATGTGCTGCCTGGTTAAAATGACTAGACTCTTCTGGCTTCTTCCTTGATCTATCCTATTGCAGTTGGTTTGCATCTTGCCTAAGGTGCATATTCCAAACTCTTGATATTTTCCTCCTGATAGTCATACTGGTAGTCTCCCTCGTGTGGTGCAATCTACAGATGTTTTTATTGGTGTGCAGCCATTCTTCAAATATCAAATGGTTTCTCTTGGGCTGGAATTACAAAAACTCAAAGAAATGTGTGATTTATGGGCTGGGCGCTGTGGCTCACATCTGTAATCCCAGCATTTTGGGAGGACAAGGCAGGCAGATCACAAGGTCAGGAGTTTGAGATCAGCCTGGTCAATATGGTGAAACCCTGTCTCTACTAAAAATACAAAAATTAGCAGGGCATGGTGGCGCGCACCTGTAGTCCTGTAGGGAGACCCCCTGAAACTATTGCTACAGAATAAAAGATGAAATGCTCCTGATTATTGTAAATACAAAATTGCATGCAGGATTGTGTAAAGACAATGCCAGGTTGGGCTGCCAGAATGAGCCTACAGCGCGTGATGTGCTTCTGTTATATGGATGGGAGATAGAATTATGAGTTTAGAACACAGATTACAAATGCAACGTGATTGGAATACTTCTGATTTTTGTATAACTCCGTTCCAATATAAAGAGTCTTTTCACAATTGGGAATCAGTAAAATGCCATTTACAAGGAAGTGAAGATAATTTAAGTTTAGACATAAACAAGCTGAAAGAACAGATTTTTGAAGCCTCTCAAGCACACTTATCTGCTTTACCTAGTGCTGAAGTTTTAGACAGTATCTCTGAGGGGTTATCTAATCTCAACCCCTTTCAATAGGTAAAATCTTTGGGAGGATCCACTATCGTTAATTTTGTTCTGTGTATAATTTGTGCTATTGGTTTACTGTTCGTGTGTAAAATTGGAAAAAATATTCTTCAATCCAATCGTGATCAGTGCCAACCTATGATTGCTATGGTTCATTGAAATCAGAGAAAAGGGGGAGATGTAGGGAGACCCCCTGAAACTATTGCTATGGAATAAAAGATGAAATGCTCCTGATTATTGTAAATACAAAATTGCATACAGGATTGTGTAAAGACAAATGCCAGGTTGGGCTGCCAGAATGAGCCAACAGCATGTGATGTGCTTCCGCCTGCAGAGAGCCTATGAATGGACATGCAGTCAGGGAGGTTTCACATAACCAAGATTCCTATCCCAGAAAAGCAGATGTCCATAGCTCTGGGAATGGAATGCGACCCTTGTGGACAGCTTACAAATGACCTTAAATCCCTCACTAACCTACCAACACTCTCACTAAACTTAATAATAAATGCTGGTATATCCAGTGCATTGGTAGCATCGCAGGACCAGAAGGCAGTGACCCCTCTGGACCCAGTTTTCACTATCTTGTGTGTGTCTTTTATTTCTCAACCTGCCGATCTGCCTGGGAACAAAGAAAGAGCCCTGTTGCATTGCAAGCTGCTGGCCAGATCCCGCAATATAGTCCCAGCTACTTGGGATGCTGAAGCATCTGTAGAGGGAGAGCTGCCCCAAATCATAAATCAAAAATAAAAGCCAATTACATCAATAACTAAATTAGTTGTAATTTTGTCTTATCACACATGTTCACAGGAAGTAATGGCCAGTGGAGTCTCTCAGGCTGCATCATTCTCACCCTGACCCTCCTGCCTTTCTCTTTCACTTACAAGGACCCTTATGATGACACTGGGAGCCACCCAGATAAGTCAGAATAAGCTTTCCTTCTCAAGATACTCAACTTCATCACCTTTGAACAGTGTTTTTGCCAAGAAAAGTAAATGCATGTGTTCCAAGAGTTAGGATGTGGATTTTTTTTTTTTTTTTTGAGACAGTTTCACTCATGTTGCCCCAGCTGGAGTGCAGTGGCACAATCTGGGCTCACTGCAATCTCCGCCTCCCAGGTTCAAATGATTCTCCTGCCTCAGCCTCCCAAGTAGCTGGCATTACAGTTGCCCACCGCCACGCCCAGCTAATTTTTGCATTTTTAGTAGAAATGTGGTTTCACCATGTTGGCCAGGATGGTCTCGAACTCCTGACCTTGTGATCCACCCGTATCAGCCTCCCAAAGTGCTAGGATTACAGGCATGTGCCCCTGCACCCGGCCTGGATGTGGACATTTTTAAGAGGCCATTATTCTGCCTCATATGGGTCACTTTCATAAACATCACCCACAACAAAAATGTTTTGCCTTCCTTCCACGTCTCACTTTTCTGTCTGCACAAACCACAGTGAAGCACACTAGCTCTGCTATGAAGTGGCTGGATGACCCTGGGCCACTCATTTGACCTCCCTCAGCCTCTTTCCTCATCTGCAGTATAAGGCTGACTCTTACTGCATCAGAAAATGACAGTGGAAGAGTAAATTAACATGTGTAAGACATTAGTCACAGAGCCTGGTACCTGATGAGCCCTTGGTAAACATTCCTTTCAGTCCTTTCCTTTCACCTTCCCATTTTTCTTGCCCTCACCCATCTTCTCCTTCAACTCCTTTCTCTTCAGTAACTTACTCAGTCTAACCTGCCAATTAAAGAAGCCACACTACCCATTGTCTCATGACTCTGTTGGAATGTTCTTCTGATGCGGTCTGCTATCCACTAAAGGCAATGGGTATTATTTATATGGAGAGGTCTGTTTGCAACAAGAAATCCTTCTTATGCTCACACAAAATTTATACACAATTTCTCTTAACTTACATGTAGCAGTCTCAATTCTACCCTGTCATTTCATACATGTACTCCATTATTTTATTCTTCGGTCTTTCTCCTTACACCTTAAAAATTAGGAGAGTACAAAAACAAAAATAATGGCCTGGGCCAGAAGAGGGGATTCCTTTAGCAAGATGAATGCTTTCCTTTTTCAAGATGAATGAATGCTATGTGCAAGGCAGCCCTGAAGCCCATTTCTGGGTTTGGCTTACATCAAAGCCATTTGACTCTAGGACACATTCTTAGATTCCCAGGAGATAATGATTGCCACGGAATCCACGCCAACTCTGAGTATTCCTACTGTTGGGTAAAGGAATGTTTGCAGAATGTTGTGCATTCTGTTTACTCCTCCTAAATTCTTCCACTCCTGGAAGTTAAGCTTCCCCACTAATCAGCTTCATCTACAGCTGGCCTGCCTGGACCCTGACTGGAAAATACCTCCCCACTCTGGATGGCCAGGGTGGCACCTTTGTCTATTCCCATAATTATAATAGCTCACACTGATGCAGCACTCACTATGTACCAGGTACTATCCTGAGAGCTTTCCAGGAAACTACAGTCCTCACCAAAAAATCCCAAGTACCACAATCCCCATTTTTACAGATTAAAAAAAAAACTGAGGCAGAGAAGTATGTACCCACTGTCACCTAACTCCATAATTCAACCTCATCCTCCACTTCATCTGGTAAGAGGACACTCTAAGATTTACAAGGTCTCCTGAATGACATCCTCCTTCAAAAATGATTTTTGTCCCATTCACTTTCAGGATTTGACAAATAGCCAGAATTTTGTTTTCTGTCTCACCCTTCACTTATGCACCTGTTCCCTAAAACTACACTCACAACTGCACAGCCCTGCATAAAAGCCAGCTTTTAGAAACCTCAATCTCTTTTGGAAAAAAGAAAGGCCAGCTTCTAAGTCTGACAAATCGTCATTTTTTATTCTATTGTCAACTATTTGCATGGCCATTCTCTGGACATAAACGAGTGCACTAGAAACAGAAAGTGTAATGAGAAGAAAGTTGGAGGAGGGTGAGATTCTTGATAGACACACAGGGAAAAGATTATGAATCCAGAAAATTTCACAAAATGGACCCAGTGTGTGTGGCGTTGAGCAATGACAGCCCTACCTGCCACTTTCCCTGGCAGTTGGCCTCTTACTTCCTTCTCAACCTGCCCCTCCTGGTCTTGCTTTCTTAGACCAATACAAACAACCTGGGAGCTGGGGTCAGATCAGAGCACACAGCACTGAGTGGTAGGGTTGGGAAAGACAGAAAAGGAAGACGAGTGTTGGACTCATGAAGATCTGACTCATCTAGGTACACATCACCTAAGCAGGCAATAGATTACTGAAGGGCTTTGCAGGACTCATGGTGGTTATCCAGAATGATTGACTGAGGCAAGGGTCTTGACCAATTGAGTTTTATTGAGCCAGAGCCTGACAGTGCACCCTGGGAATATATGAGTTGCAAAAAACCTCTGTGGCTTGTGTTTTCTCTGAAGACGTTTCAGGAGGCTTAGTATTTATACATTTGATTAAAGGGGAGAAGGCAGGTTGGAAGAGATGGAGTGGGCAGAGAAACAATTGATCTAACGTTGTCTTTCTTCTTTGCCTCAGAAAATAAATATTATCAGAATGAGAGTTAAAATACTTCAGTTTTAGGACCTAGATTTTGATTGCTCACTTAAAGTTACAATTGGCATGTCTTTCTTTTACAAAGAAATATACATCTTGAAAGGTTTTGAAGCCAAGAAAAAACAATTTGTTCAGACAATCATCTGGAGATGCCCGAGATCTTTGGCTTTCCTGTTTACCCCGTTCTTTTCCTTTCCTTTTTTTTTTTTTCTTTTAGAGACACAACCTTGCTCACTCACGCAGACTGGAGTGTACTCACTACAGCCTTGAACTCCTGGGCTGAAGCGGTCCTCCAGCCTTAGCCTCCCAAGTATCTGAGACTATAGGCATGCACAACTGCACCTGGCTAATTTGATTTATTTTATGTTTTGTAGAGACGTGGTCTCCCTTTCTTGCTCAGGCTGGTCTTAAACTCCTGGTTTCAAGTGATCCTCCTGCCTTAGAGTCTCAAAGTGCTGGGATTACAGGCCTCTGCCAGCACACCTGGCCCCCCAATTCTTCAAAAGCTTTCAGAGAAAGCATTGTAGAAGACATGACTTTGTGACTGTAAGTTTCATCTGATCCTACATCACTAGGAAGGCTCATTCTTAAGAAGTCATGCATGGAAAAGGGGATGAAGACAAATCAGAAAAGGGCAAAGGGAAGTCACAGCAAAAAAGGGACAGTATAATCCTGGAACCTTATTAAAGTCACACAACTGCTGCTTCAATTAGAGCAATTCGTTTGGCAAACATCGTTCTAACCCTATAGACTAGGTTTTCCAGAGTTTGTGAAGTATCTTCCAATTGCAATGGCAATCTGACACATTTCTCTGAATTGCAGTCTGAATCCAGTGTTCATGTGTACCTTTTGTATAGTCCACACATCAGCAGCCACAAAGGTTGTTTATATATAAGTTGCTATGATTTCTCCAGAAGTTTACATAAGTCATTGAGTTTCAGCTTGCAAGGTTTAATCTATCCATCTGACAAAAGGCTAATATCCAAAATCTACAAGAAACTTAAACAAATTTACAAGAAAAAAAAAAGCCCATCAAAAAGTGGGTGAAGCACATGAACAGACACTTCTCAAAATAGGACATTTTTGTGACCAACAAACATACAAAAAAAAGCTCATCATCACTGGTCATTAGAGAAATGCAAATGAAAACCACAATGACATACCGTCTCATGCTAGTTAGAATGGTGAACATTAAAAGGTCAGGAAACAACAGATGCTGGAGATGATGTGGAGAAATAGGAATGCTTTTACACTGTTGGTGGGAATGTAAATTAATTCAACCATTGTGAAAGACAGTGTGGCGATTCCTCAAGGATCTAGAACAAGAAATATCATTTGACCCAGTGATCCCATTACTGGGTATATACCCAAAGATTATAGATCATTCTACTATAAAGACACACACACATATGTTTATTGCAGCACTATTCACAATAGCAAAGACTTGGAACCAACCCAAATGCCTATCAATGATAGACTGAATAAAGAAAATGTGGTACATATACACCATGGAATTCAATGCAGCCATAAAAAAGGATGAGTTCATGTCCTTTGCAGGGACATGAATGAAGCTGGAAACCATCATTCTCAGCAAACTAACACAGGAACAGAAAACCAAACACTGCATGTTCTCACTCATAAGTGGGAGTTGAACAATGAGAACACATGGGCACAGGGAGGGGAACATCACACACTGGGGCCTGTTGAGGGGTGGGGGACTAGGGGAGGGACAGCATTAGGAGAAATACCTAATGTACATGATGGGTTAATGGGTGCAGCAAAACACCATGGCACTTGTATACCTATGTAACAAACCTGCAGGTTCTGCAAATGTATCCCAGAATGAAAAGTGTAATAAAAAGTGTAATAAAAAAATGACACACACTCTGTGTGTGTGTGTCAGAAACTGCTGGTGTTTTACTTATATTGCATCATTTAACCCTAACTGTGATAACTGGGGGGAAACCAGCTCAAGTTCCACATAGAACTGATATTTACAGGGTTTTTGAATAAACATAGAAATTGACCCATCCGGTCTTATAACTTGAAACTTAACATTTGTCAGTCATCTGAGTTAGGAAACCGACCTTCAGGCAAGAGACTGAAACTCACCACATCACTATCAGACAATGAGACACCAGACTCCTCATTTATCATGATTGCTTCCTTACCCCTCCTTAATTGCTGTTTTCCCTGCTAGTAGTTACCTCCCTTCCCAGCTATATAAACCCTCCAATTTGAGTGGGCTGGAGAGATGAATTTAAGACTGATCTCCCACCTCCTTGGCTGCAGCACCCAAATAAAGCCTTCTTCCCTGGCAATGCTCATTGTCTCAGTGGTTGGCTTTCTGTGCAGTGAGCAATGGGACCTAGACCCAACCCCTGGTGTTTCAGTAGCATGGGGAAACCAAGGCATGTTTTTATCTCACAGAGCCAGGATTTGAACCTCAGATTCTGGACCTAGTGTCTTCTTGCCTGGCCACTGTGCCATTGTCTATTTTTCTGCTTACTTGCTCCTTGAAGGTGATTCTGCATGTTAGAATCACCTTCTTCCAGTGGAAAGTCTCCCTCTCCACCTGTTCTTGTGTCAGTCTCATGTGTAGCCTGCTCACTGTCATCAGGCTGAAATTCTTTAGCACAGAGCAGTCACACCATGTTCTTGCTCCTGGACCCTTTGTGGCTTCTGGTGAAATTCACACTGAATTTTGGAAAAGGCATTCAACCTCAGCCATGATTGAAACCAAACTCACATACTAATACCTCATACAACTTGTGAAATCAATGGCCCAGAATTAGTGAAACATCACTGGTATCCAAAGATTGCTTTCTCTACCTAAACAACAGCAAAAAAAAAAAATCAACCCAATTTAAAAAAATAAGCAGATGACCTGCATAAACATTTCTCCAAAGAAGATATACAAATGGCCAGCAAGCATAGAAAATATTGATCAATATCACTAATCATTAAGGAAATGAAAATGTAAACCACAATGAAATTATACCTTATGCCAATTTAAATGGCTACTCTCAAACGCAAAGCAAAAATCCCAGAAAATAATAAGTGTTAATGAGACTGTGGAAAAATTGGAACCCTTGTGCCCTATTCATAAGAATTAAAATGGTGCAGCCACTGTGAAAAACATTATGGTGGTTCCTCAGAAAACTAAAATTAGAGATACTGCATGACTTGGCCATTCCACTCCTGGGCATAAACTCAAAATAATTGAAAACAGAGACCCCAACAGATATTGGTACCTCCATGTTTATAGCAGCACTATTTACAGTAGCCAAAAAGTGAAGGCAACCCAAGTGTCCATGGATAGATGAATGGATAAACAAAATGTGGTCTATCCATACAATGAAATATTATTCAGCCTTCAAAAGGAAAAAAATTCTCACATATATTACAACATGGATGAACCTTGAGGACATTATGCTAAGTGAAATAAGCCAGTCACAAAAAGATACACAGTGTATGATCTCATTTATGTAAGTCCCTAGAGCAGTCAAAATCATAGAGACACTGAAATAGTTGTTACCTGGGGTGGGGAGGAGGAAGAATGAGGAGTTAGTGTTTCATGGATATGAATTTTCCCTGTTACAAGATGAAAAATACTCTCTGAATATGGGTGGCGCTGATGGTTGCACAATGCAAATGTATTTCTCAACTGTGCACTTAAAAATTTTTAAGATGGGGTCAGGTGCAGTGGCTCATACCTGTAGTCCCAGCACTTTGGGGTTAAGGCAGGAGGATTATTTGAGTCCAGGAGTTCGAGACCAGCCTGGGCAACATAGGAAGATCTTGTCACTCCCAAAAATATAAAAATTAGTTGGGCGTGGTGGTATATGTTTGTGGTCCCAGCTACTCAGGAGGCTGAGGTACGAGGATTGCTTGAGCCCAGGAGGTGGAGGCTACAGTGAGCCATGATTGAGCTACTGCACTCCAGCCTGGGCAACAGAGCCAGACACTGTCTCCAAAATAATAATAATAATAATATGGCAAATTTTGATGTGTGTTTTATAATACCACCATTAAAAAATTAACACTGCTCACCCTTGCCTCACTCCTGTACCTCTGCTCACTTTCACTCTTCCTGCTTCCATATCCTTGCTTTTAAATTCTACCAACTTTTAAAGGTCTAGTCCAACGTGGCCTCCTCCATGAAATTGTCCTTCTTGCAAACTGTGGAATGGAACTCTACCTTCTCTGAACGGCCATCAGTTCACTTAGGTTTTGATAGCCCTTGACTCACAAGTCCATACTTAGCCCTGCTCCAGGCAGGTCACACCACCACCCCTAGTGGCCCCCACAAGACTGTGAGTTCCCTAGGGGTAGAAGTCATATTTCCAGCCTCTCTTCATCTGACGACTGACTTATACATACATAATAAGCATTCGAGTTGAATAATTTGATAGTTATTTTCCTTTTTGTCAGAACTTTAGGGAAGATACTGGAATTGTCTCCGGTGCTTCTAAGGCTTTGCATTCTTTCATCATTGGACTATATATGGTTTCTCAGATAGCAATTTACATTTTGCAGAAAGACCTCAAACTCACCTAAAGCTCTTTGAATGAATCCAGATAAGCTGCTTCCTAAGGAAAGAACCACCTGACTTCCTAATACTCCTTTCATACCCTAATCTTTAAACAATGTTTCTAGCAATAATTCCATTTTCCACATATGTAGCAGAAGATCTGAGTATCATCTAAATATAAAATCACTATTTTTCAAATTTTATTAGTTTTCTGCTTAATGGAGAATTATTGCTGTCAGTACATCAGATCTGAACATATGGTCATTTAAAGGAATAAAAGGCAAATCTTTCATTATGATCTTTATGTTGTGGTAAGTTGTATATATTTGTATAGAAAATTTTGGGAAATGAGCAAAGTGTTTGGGTTGGATCAACTATTTCATATCAGTCTTTGTTTGTAAGCCACGTTATTGTTAAGGAGTCAGTCAGAACCACCGTTTTTGGTAATTTTACCTGGCTCATACTTGGCAGATCTGGCTGTGAGCAGGGTTTAAAGTTGGCTTACTATATGGAATTATTTTTACAACACCTTCAATGCACTCTACACTGAGCTAAAACAAAAAAAAAAAAATATGAGGCTTAGCTCCTGACTCTGGACAATCTAAATCTACATATGCTACATCTAAAGCAAATAATTTCTGTTTATTTATTTATTATTACATAAAGAGTTGATTCTTATTATAAAAAGCATGAAACCGGGAGGAGCGGTGGCTCATACCTGTAATCCCTGCACTTTGGGAAGCCAAGGCGGGTGGATAACTTGAGTCCAGGAGTTCAAAACCACCCTCAACAACATGGTAAAACCCCATCTCTACAAAAAATACAAAAATTAAGCATGTGTGGTGGTGTGTGCCTATAGTCCCAACTACTCAGGAGAGCGAGGTGGGAGGACTGCTTGAGACTGGGAGGCACAGGTTGCAGTGAGCTGAGATTGCACCACTGCACTCCAGCCTAGGCAACAGAGTGAGACCCTATCTCAAAAAATAATTGGCTAAAACCCTTGCTGTCTTTATTATTTATTCCTTCTCCTCTTTTTTTTTCCATGACAGCTGCTTCAGGACAAGAAAGTTCTTTTGGTCTCTCAGTTGGGGCCACTGCCAGCATCATGACTGGAGTACTGGCTGGAGTTACTCTCTTTATTATACCAAACTCTTATCAGAGTTTTTTTTTTTTTTTTTTTTTTTCATCTTTTTTTTTTTATTTTTATTTTTTTTATTATACTCTAAGTTTTAGGGTACATGTGCACCATGTGCAGGTTAGTTACATATGTATACATGTGACATGCTGGTGCGCTGCACCCACTAATGTGTCATCTAGCATTAGGTATATCTCCCAATGCTATCCCTCCCCCCTCCCCCGACCCCACCACAGTCCCCAGAGTGTGATATTCCCCTTCCTGTGTCCATGTGATCTCATTGTTCAATTCCCACCTATGAGTGAGAATATGCGGTGTTTGGTTTTTTGTTCTTGCGATAGTTTACTGAGAATGATGGTTTCCAATTTCATCCATGTCCCTACAAAGGATATGAACTCATCATTTTTTATGGCTGCATAGTATTCCATGGTGTATATGTGCCACATTTTCTTAATCCAGTCTATCATTGTTGGACATTTGGGTTGGTTCCAAGTCTTTGCTATTGTGAATAGTGCTGCAATAAACATACGTGTGCATGTGTCTTTATAGCAGCATGATTTATAGTCCTTTGGGTATATACCCAGTAATGGGATGGCTGGGTCAAATGGTATTTCTAGTTCTAGATCCCTGAGGAATCGCCACACTGACTTCCACAGTGGTTGAACTAGTTTACAGTCCCACCAACAGTGTAAAAGTGTTCCTATTTCTCCACATCCTCTCCAGCACCTGTTGTTTCCTGACTTTTTAATGATTGCCATTCTAACTGGTGTGAGATGATATCTCATAGTGGTTTTGATTTGCATTTCTCTGATGGCCAGTGATGATGAGCATTTCTTCATGTGTTTTTTGGCTGCATAAATGTCTTCTTTTGAGAAGTGTCTGTTCATGTCCTTCGCCCACTTTTTGATGGGGTTGTTTGTTTTTTTCTTGTAAATTTGTTTGAGTTCATTGTAGATTCTGGATATCAGCCCTTTGTCAGATGAGTAGGTTGCGAAAATTTTCTCCCATGTTGTAGGTTGCCTGTTCACTCTGATGGTAGTTTCTTTTGCTGTGCAGAAGCTCTTTAGTTTAATTAGATCCCATTTGTCAATTTTGGCTTTTGTTGCCATTGCTTTTGGTGTTTTGGACATGAAGTCCTTGCCCACGCCTATGTCCTGAATGGTAATGCCTAGGTTTTCTTCTAGGGTTTTTATGGTTTTAGGTCTAACGTTTAAATCTTTAATCCATCTTGAATTGATTTTTGTATAAGGTGTAAGGAAGGGATCCAGTTTCAGCTTTCTACATATGGCTAGCCAGTTTTCCCAGCACCATTTATTAAATAGGGAATCCTTTCCCCATTGCTTGTTTTTCTCAGGTTTGTCAAAGATCAGATAGTTGTAGATATGCGGCATTATTTCTGAGGGCTCTGTTCTGTTCCATTGATCTATATCTCTGTTTTGGTACCAGTACCATGCTGTTTTGGTTACTGTAGCCTTGTAGTATAGTTTGAAGTCAGGTAGTGTGATACCTCCAGCTTTGTTCTTTTGGCTTAGGATTGACTTGGCGATGCGGGCTCTTTATCAGAGTTTTAACAATAGTCATTTTACATGATGGTCATTCACAGATAGTTGTTTTGATTCTTCCTGAAAGCATCTGCAATCAGCTACAGTTCAAAATTGCTTCTATTTCAAAAGATTTATGGAAAAGATGCTGACAAGTACTCTTGCATACAAGTTTCTGAGCAGTTCAAGATTATATCACTGAACTGTCTATAGACTTCCAAAACTTTAACAAACAGGTTGATGCCTTCATGAAATATGCCAACCTAGACCAAGCAGAACAAAAATAATTTCCTTGAAATAAATGATAAAGTGGATAATGTTTTTATAATTTTTATTTGAAAATTTGCTGATTCTTTAAATGATTTTTTCCAGATTTATGGAATTTTCCTTCTTTTAAGCTAGCTATATCTAAAGCAATTTGGTAAAGTATACTTTTGGAAGCAATAATTGAAGCCCATTTATTTTTGCTCTTTACCTAACTGTCCCAGGATTGGGAAACTATTCATGAGTATTCATATGTTTATGCTAATACAGTTATTTGCACAAGTTTAGTAAGAGTCTTCTCTCTTTATAAAAGGACACGTTTCAAAACATTGGTTATATTACCAAGGTTTGACTGAGAAGTTATATTTGAGAATATACATAGAATGGACACATATGTACTGCAGGCAAAGTCTGAAGATGGCCTACATTTGGCTTCCTCGTCTCCAGAGGTTTGTAAAAATTTAATCTGAGACTACTTATAAAAATTTCTAGCGAAGCAAACTTTAGGAAGAGCCTCTGTGGTCCATTGCTACTCTTGATGCACTTATGTAAAGAATCCTGGCAAAGCTTGGTAAGACTAAACCTACTTTGTAAACAAATTTGTCCTACTGGGTTTATCTTTGGTAAAAATAGATATGCCTATAGAGAGCAAAATAATGTTGAAAATAAAAAGTGTAGTATACCTGCTATGAAATTGCTGCTCTGTTTATTGTTTTTGAGTTTTTATTTTTCACCGGTAGTCTGGACTAGACCCTGAATTCTTCTAGTTCCTCCCATCCAGTTTTCTCTTATTGAATCAGTAAGAATAAAATCTGCTCTGTTCCTGAAGCCTTATAAGCTGGAGGTGGAAAGCTCAAGGTAAATTTCACGGGAAAACCCTCGTATCTGAAGTATGAGTCACTCAGAGCTCACCAATATGTTTGACACCATAACTACAGACACTCAAGTTGAAAACCAGGATAAGAAGTTGACAACTTCACACTGTGAAAAGCTTTTCTCAAGTTGTCAGAACACGTTTCCACATCAAAATCAGGCTCTTACCCCTCTTAATTTGTCCATGCTTATGCCTGCCTCTTTCACTTGGCAGGATGATGGTATCATCAGAATTTCACATGAAGTAGTTTCTGAGAGCAGCGTAATAGAGTGACAGATATATCATGTCACCCTCAAATTTTTACATAAGATATCATTTAGTCCACCCAACGGCTGACATTAGCAGCATATTTAACACAATTGTTTGTTCAAATGTACAGTGGCGCTTTTAAAGTTACATTTTCAGACTCATTGTTCTCATTCCCTGTTTTAATTTAATGAGCCGTCGAATGCTACATAATAAAATTGTTCCCTACCAGCTGAACAGGGAGGAGCCTGTGCAGATTCTGACACCAACTGTTGCACATAAACAAATATATTGAGTATAATAATGACTCAATCACAGAAGTTACCAAACATACTACTTGGTTAAAATTGCTAGACTCTTCTGGCTCATTCTTTGATCTATTCTATTTTAGTTGGTTTGCATCTTGCCTAAAGTGCATACTCCAAACTTTTGGTGTTATCCTTCCAATAGTCATACTAGTAGCATCTCTGGTGTGATAAATTCTACAGGTTTTTTAATTCTACATTTTGGTGTGGTGAATTCTACAAAAGTTTTTAAAAAGTTTTGTGTGCAGCCATCTACAAATACCAAAGGGTCTCTCTTTGGCTGAAATGACAAAAACTCAAAGAAATGTGTGATCAGGAAGACATCATAAACCTATAAACGATGGAAGCCCAATATGATGGTTACTGAGATGAATGCCAATGCTTTAAATTTTGGTCACACTCCCACCTAAGTGAGAGCCTAGAGACTCCAAAATAGAACCACTCATGCTAAATGCTACAGTCTACAACTGAAATTTTAATGAAGCAAAGAGATACCAGAACAGACCTTTGTTTTTTGTTGAAAACAGGAGATTCCACTCTACCTGAGACAGCATAATAAAAGTTTCCTCTGCTTTAACTTTTACAGAAAAGCGACCTGAAGTACCCTAATGTTAACTGATTTATTTATTTATATGGCTTTGTTTACCAGTTCCCACTTGACAAAACCCACTGTTTTGTTATTGTATAGCCCAGGAAGTGCTATCACTATATTTGTAGAGTAAGAGCTGCCTCAAATAATAAACAAAAAATAAAATCTATAACTACATTAGTTGTAATTTTGTCTTTTGATGCATGCTCACACCCAGCATTGGCCAGTGGAGTTTCACAGGCTCATCATTCTCAGACTGATGCCCCTGCTTTTCTTTGTCACTTACAAGGACACTTCTGATTACAATGGGCCCACCCAGATAATCTAGAACAACGTCCACATCTTACGATTTTAATTTTATCACCCCTGCACCGTGTTTTTACAAAGAAAAGTAAATGCACAGGTTCTAGAGCTAGGTTGCAAACATTTTAGGAGTCCGTTATTCTGCCAACACAGGTAACTTTCATAAATGTCACCCACAACAAAAACTTGCTTTGCCTTCCTTCTTTGTCTCACTTTTCTGTCTGTGCACAAATGTCAAGGTGAAACACACAAGCTCTATGAAGTAGCTGGATGACTCTAGACCACTCATTTGAGCTCCCTCAGCCTCTTTTCTCATCTTCAGCAGAAGGGTGACCCTTTGCGCATCAGAAAATGAAAGTGGAAGAGTAAATCAAAATGTGTAAGATATTAGTCACAGAGCAAGGTACCAGATGAGCCCTTGGGTAAAGTTTTTTTTTCTTTTTGTGATGGAGACTCACTGTGTCACCCAGGCTGGAGTGCAATGCTGCGATTTCAGCTCACTGCAACCTCCGCATCCCAAGTTCAAGTGATTCTCCTGCCTTCAGCCTCCTGAGTAGCTGGGATTACAGGTCCATGCCACCATGCCTGGCTAATTTTTGTATTTTTAGTAGAGATGGGGTTTCACCATGTTGGTCAGGCTGGTCTCAAACTCCTGACCTCATGATCTGCACACCTCGGCCTCCCAAAGTGCTGGGATTACAGGCATGAGCCACCATGTCCAGCAGGTAAACATTTTTATCAGAACTTTCCTTTCACCATTCCATTTCTGTCACCCTCACCCATCTTCTCCTCTGACTTTTTTTTCTTCAGTGACTTACTCGGTCTAATATGCTCTTTAGCATCAAAAGCCTCACTACAAATTCTTTTGTGACTCTCTTGGAATGTTCCTGTGATGCCCAGAACCTTGGAAGCCTAAGCCTTACATCAGTGTGCCCTGAATATGAGATATGGGGTCAAAGGAGATTATTTTGGAGCTTTAAGTTTTAAAGACTGTGCTGCAAGGTTTCAGACTTTCATGGGACCTGTATCCTATTTCCTTTGGCCTATTTCTTCCCTTTGGAATGGGAGTATTTACCCAATGCCTATACTTCCATTGTGTCTTGAAAGTAACTAACTTGTGTTTGAATTTACAGGCTCATAGGTAAAGGGAACTTGCCTTGTCTCAGATGAAACTTGCTATTTCGGACTTTTGAGTTAATGCTGGAATGAGTTAAGACTCTAGAGACTGTTGGGAAGCCATTCTTATATTATTCAATGTGAGAAAGACATGAGATTTGGGAGGGACGATGGGGAGAATAATATTTTTTTGCACCTTTATCCCCACCCAAATCTCATGTCAAATTGTAATCTCCAAAGTTGGAGGTGGAGCCTGGTTGGATGTGATTGGATCATGGAGGTGCTTTCTCATATTTTAATACCATTTTCCTTGGTGCTGTTATAGCAACAGTGAGTTTTATCTGGTTGTTTACCAGTGTGCAACCCTTGTTCTCTTCCTCCAGCTCCCATTATATAAGATGTCTTCCTCCACCATTGGCTTTCTCCGTGATTGTAAGTTTTCTGAGGCCTCCTCAAAAGCTGAGCAGATGTCAGAATCATGCTTACTCTACAACCTGCTGAATCATGAGACCATTCAACCTT
This sequence comes from Homo sapiens, assembly GCF_000001405.40. Taxonomy (NCBI): domain Eukaryota; kingdom Metazoa; phylum Chordata; class Mammalia; order Primates; family Hominidae; genus Homo; species Homo sapiens. The sequence continues at coordinate 43,046,923 of NC_000019.10, read as the reverse complement.
TTTTCTTTATAAATTATTCGGGTTCATGTATTTGTCTGTAGCAATGTAAAAACAGACTTAAACAGCCTTATTTTCAGTAGAAAAAAAACTAGGGAGTAAACCGTTCTAACTATGTACCAGATGCAAAGCCCAAGACAAAGAACAGAGCTATGAAGAAAATGCCTGGATAATCTCATCTCTCCCAGCATGGCTAAAAGGCACAGCTGGAGGATGGGATGGGTTTTGTCCCCAGTTCTTACTATGGTCACTTATCTAGAACTCAGAATTTAAAGCTTCAAATATAAAGACATAAGCTCACAGACAAATTAAGAAAATGTATATATATGGAAACAAGTGTTTGCTGACCTTAAAACATCTAGTAAAGACAATATAAACCTGCCTGCCAACAGACATAGGCAAAAACGTATAAATTAAATTATGAAGACATTCTTACTTTATTTTACCAACAATTTTAAAACTATATTCACCAAAGTTTACTAAAATCGCATGTATAGAAAAGCATTTGGGCTTATTCACTTAATTTCTGAGTACTCATTTATTTTTACATTAATTTGATACTATGTGTCAACAGTATATAAATGTGTGACATATACATGTATGTGATAAAACATATAACTTATGTATGTTCATATAAAGATAGAGAGAGACAAAAAGATTTTAGAATTTTGATTTTAGGGCTTTAGGCATGAGATCGGTAAAACCCACCATTTTAAAAGATAGTTGGATTCAAATTGCTTTCTTGTAAATGGTAAAGGTTAACGCTTACCTGAGGAAGGCTTTACTGAGTTTTAGAGAAAACACATAGCACATTTACATCTCAAAGCAAAGAGAGAGAGAGAGAACTTAATCTTTTTCAAGAAAAAATTTGGTATGTTCAAGGAAGATTAAAAAGATGCCAAGGTAACACAAAAATAATAGAAATTCACCATGGGGTTTTATTTATTTATTTTTTATTAGACTTTAAGTTTTAGGGTACATGCAGGCAATGTGCAGGTTAGTTACATACGTATACATGTGCCATGTTGGTGTGCTGCACCCATTAACCCGTCATTTAACATTAGGTATATCTCCTAATGCTATCCCTTTCCCCTCCTCCCACCCCACAACAGGCCCTGGTGTGTAATGTTCCCCTTCCTGTGTCCATGTGTTCTCACCGTTCAACTCCCACCTATGAGTGAGAACATGTGGTGTTTGATTTTTTGTCCTTGCGATAGTTTGCTGAGAATAATGGTTTCCAGCTTCATCCATGTCCCTACAAAGGACATGAACTCATCATTTTTTATGGCTGCATAAGTGTTCCATGGTGTATATATGCCACATTTTCTTAATCCAGTCTATCATTGTTGGACATTTGGGTTGCCTCCAAGTCTTTGTTATTGTGAATACTGCCACAATAAACATACGTGTGCAAGTGTCTTTATAGCAGCTTGATTTATAATCCTTTGGCTATATACCCAGTAATGGGATGGCTGGGTCAAATGGTATTTCTAGTTCTAGATCCCTGAGGAATCGCCACACTGACTTCCACAATGGTTGAACTAGTTTACAATCCCACCAACAGTGTAAAAGTGTTCCTATTTCTCCACATCTTCTCCAGCACCTGTTGTTTCTTTAGCAATGTAGCTTTTAATTTGGTCTCTGTTCTTCAACTGAATCACTGTGCTCAAGATACAGCCCATTAAGGAAGAGGGCCAACCCCAGGAAATAGGACCACCCTTATTTAACCCAGATTTGGTATTAGTAGAAACTCTCTTCTCTCTCTCTCTCTCTCCCCTTAAGTGAAGCGGTTAAAATGGCACATTTTATATATATATATATACACACACACACACACACACACACACACACACACATATATACACATATACGTATATACACATCTAACAAATATAAGTATGTATGTGTTTCTATATACACACTCAACCACAATTTTTTGAAAAGTGTTTGGTGAAAAAAAAACCCACTATGTAAAACACACCCACCCTAATCTGATAGCCCTCATATACTTCCATGCAGATCTCTCATGACATTATCTGCAGACAGGTTCAAGAAGTACAGTCCAGAAAACAGCACATGCACAACATAAATGTATTTGCAGAGACTGAGAACTAAGCTGGAGGTACGAACCTCAGCACTGCCAGGACACATACCCTCCCCCATGGATTCTGACTTTATCTGACCAAGCCCACTATCCAGATCTTGTTGTGGGGCTGGGGTAGAGAAAGTCACAAAGTGTGTTCCCTGGACACTCTGTGTGACACACAAGACCACCCCCACCCCATCATTAGGTCTCCCCACACAGGTCTGACCATCAGGCATCGTGAGGAGGACTCTAGCATGGGCTCAGAAATCACACAAAAGAATTAGCCACAGAGAGAAACACTGAGCTAGAGGAGCTGGTTGCTGACATGGAACAGGGTCCCTGCAGTTCACGAGTCCAACCTGGTCTGAATTCCCCTCAATTCATAAGCCAGGCACCCCTGAGAAACAGCTTTTTCCCATGGTCTCCTCTGTGGTAACACATTAGGGTCCCTCGCTTTCAAGATTCCAGAGATGGAAGAAACCTGGACAGCACACATCCCAGCTTCACCCTTCCTCCCTCCCTCCCTCCCAGGAATCAGGGCTCAGAGCTCAGGGCTCAGGGCTCAGAAGGAAAGGCAGAGCCCAGTGAGGCCAGAGTTAGTGAGACATCTGAAAGGTGTTCAGTGAAAAAAGTGCATCCCCCTTTCATTCTACCTGATGAACCCTGTCCTGCACAGCTTCCTCCACCCTGAGGACTTCCCCAGACATCCTCTCTAACAAGACTGATGGTTCCATTTCCTTCCTGCTCACACTGAGGCCTGTCCTGCCTTCTGGGAAATGAAAAATGCACCAAAATCAGCCAGAGTAGCCACCCCTGCCAGGATCCATAATGAGGCAATGTCCCCGGGCCAACAGGAGAATGAGCTTCCACTGTGTCCCAGACCAGGGCTCTTTCTCTCTGAGAGGCTGACTCATGAAACAGGCCACCTGAAAGAGATCAGTGACTCCTCCATCCATTCTTACAATCACCTGACAGGTTCTTGCCCTCTGCACAGGCAAAGCCAATTTATTGTGAAGGTGATGTGTAGTAAAGAATAGTTTTACTTAGCCCAAGGCTGCCAAACAGGAGGACAGAAGTTTATCATGACTCAAATCAGCTTCCCCAATGGCTCAGAGGTTAGATTTTTTCAAAAACTTTGAAGGGGCAAAGGTCTAAGGAATAAGTACTGTTGACTGGCTGGAGATGAAATGATGCAGGTAGGAAAATGGTATGTATTTGTTGAATCTGCCTCTGAGTGGGGACTACATGACTGGTTGAGCCATTGGTCATGAGTCTAGATGAGGTCAGCTGGTTGCCAGAATGCAAAAGTCTGAGAAACATCTCAAAAGATAAATCTCAGATTCTACAGTAGTCTTGCTATCTATAGGAGCAACTAGGAAAGTCACAAATCTTGTGACCTCTGGACACATGACTCCTGAGCAGTAAGGGATTATAGAAACTATGCCTGCATTTTAGCAGAATTTGGGCCCCTCCCATAATTCATGGTCTTTTCTTAGATTTACCAAGGTAGCCCCCGACAAGGAGGAGCTAATTTTAGGGAGGGACTATTATCATCCTTGCTTCAAAGTTAAACTATAAATTCCTCCCATGCTTACCCTGGCCTATGCCCAGGAATCAGAGAAGAGAGCCAGTTTGAGGCTAGAGGTGAGATGCGGGCAGCCAAGCTAGCTTCCTCTCTCCATCATATGCTTTGCAATGGTGGTTTCACTTTCTACATGGACTCACCAGGGGGTCAGAGGCAGAAGGACAGATCTGCAGTTTCCAAAGCCCACGGGCTCATTTCACCCATTTCACTCATGACTCCCTCCTCAACCTGCTGTGGGGCTCATATCCTCCTGTCATGCCCTAGAGACTTCGAATTTCCATCAGGCATGTAAGTAGCTTAAAAATTTTCACGCAGTTCTAACAACAAGTAAAAAGCTGAACAAACTGAAAAATCAACAACTCGTTTAGATTTCTCAGGAAGCAAGATCTCAGTGCTAACTGGCCCACATATTGGAGAGACCCACAGGCAAATACAGAGCAGCGCACCGTACCTGAGCAGAAACACAGGCACAGAAACCCCAGCGGGAACCAGTGCTGGGGTCAGAAAACCTGAACTCTAATTGAGGAAATTCTGGAGGCTCAGTGTGGACACAGCGCAGAGATAAACACAACAGTGGATGGATTAGTCCTGGGAGTAGGGGGACAGTTTTATGACTCTTAGCTCCTGGAGCTCTACCAGGTTCTCACAGTCAATATTCAAAAAGAATCCACATCCTTCTTGTAGGAAGAAGGGAAAAAAACACTTGGAAAGTTGTCAGTGAATTATGTTCTTCTTGGTAAGACCTACATTTAAGAGAAACTATTTTACTGCAGCCGAATTAGCTGGGGTTTGATGGGAGCTTAACTGGCCAGGGGGAGGGGAAATATCCAACTCCAGCCTCAAGTCATCATATCCCACCTAATGGAAAGAAAAACCTGAGAGGCACTTGTGACATTCACAGCCCAGGACACAGACCTCATCCAGAACCACAGAACACTTCCCTCCCCACACTCACCACCATGTCACTGAATGCCTGCTCACTCAAGTCCCTTTTACACAGTACATCATGTGTGGTTTTCAAAAAAATACAAGACAGACTATGGCAAAAAAAAAAAAAATGCAGTTTGAAAGACAGAGCAAGGATCAGAACCAGACACAGATGTGGTAGGGATGCTGAAATTATCAGACTGGAAATTTAAAACAACTCTGGTTAAGGATTATGATGGAAAAAGGAGACACCTTTCAGGAATGGATGGGTGATTTAAACAGAGATGACTATTCTAAGAAAGAAGCAAATGAAATACTAGAGATTAAAAACACTTTAAGAGAAATAAAGAATGCTCTCCATGGGCTTACTGGTAGGCTGCACACAGCTGAGGAAAGAATCTCTAGCTTAAGTGTGTGTCAATAGAAACTTCCAAAACTGAATCAGCAAAGTTTAACAAGAGTGAGAAAAAGTGGAACAACATATTCAGCTTCATATTCAATATTTTGTGTTGACAATAGCATATTTTATATTCTGTGATTGTATTTTATATTTTGTAGCCTAAAAAGCTGTAACATACACATAATGGGAATACTGGTGGTTCCTAGGACCAGGTGGAGCTGGCCAGGTGGGTGCTGCCTGATTTACTGCCTGTTTCTTGCACACCTGTGTATTCATAATAACAACATTGTCATAAGGTGAGGTCCTTCGGGTGGGGAGATGCATGAGCCACTGCTGCCTCACTTGGACTCTGCTCAATTTAAACAAAGTTAATCAAACTCTAATTGTTTGACCCTGCTCAATTCACACTTCACCAATATTGCTGCTCGAGTCACACTTCAGAAGTCTGTGCATCTCCCACACAGAGCAGGTGGCCCCGTGGTCTCTGAGCCCTCAGATAATCATGCATCCATCTGTCTTTTGACACACAGTCCTGCTGTGGGCTTTTAAGGACTTGGATTGGCTGAGAGGTGGGAGATGTCAACTCTGATTGGAAAATGCTCATGGAGAAATCAACGGTGCCACACAGGGGAATCTTCTCTGTTATCTGCACAGCAAATCTGCTCAAGCCCTATGTTGCCAGCAACCCCGTGGAGGATGAGGAGGCTGTGGTCTTAACCTGTGAACCTGAGATTCATGGCACAATCTACATGTGGTGGGTAAATGGTCATAGACTCACAGTCATTTCCAGGCTGCAGATGTCCAATGACAACAGGGTCCTTGCTCTACTCGGAGTGACACAGGACTCTATGAATGTCAAAGCAAGAATGTAGTGAGTACCAGCCAAATTGACCCAGTCACCTGGATGTTCTCTGTGAGTATCCTCTTTTCCTTCATGGACAAGGCTGCCAGCCCAAATCCACATAACTCGAGGCCAGGCCTCTCAGTCCCTCTCAGGTCCAAGTATGAAGACACTTACCCCTGGACCCCCAAGCTGGCCATGACTTCCTGCCCCAGGCAAACCTGGGTAGGCCCAGGAAGGGAGGAGCTTCTCTGGTCTTAGGAGACTCAGGTTCCACACTTGTGATGGGAGAAACAGGTGAATGTCTTAGACTCCTCCAGTTCAGTGAACACAGAGGAAGTTTGGCTGGGACTTCGGGGTTGTGACTTGGCAAAAAGGAACATTGTGTCCCTTTCACAGACCAGGAGCTTCCCATTCCCTCTGATAACATTACCTGTGGCATTATTCTCTTTGCTCCAGATGGCCCAGATGAACCCACAACTTATTCTTCAGACACCTATTACTATCCAGGGTCAAACCTCAACCTCTCCTGCCTCATGGGCTCTAACCCATCAGCAGAGTATTCTTGGCTGCTGAATGGGAATAACCAGCAAACAGGACAAGAGCTCTTTATCCCCCTAGTCACTACAGAGAATAGTGGGGACTATCTGTGTTATGTCCATAACCCAGTCACTAATGGCAAAAACTTCGCAACCAAGAAAATCACAGTCCCTGGTAAGTGAATCGCTGGAGCATTGGCAATACGCTTTCAGGTGAAGCCTATCTGGCTTTCCAAGAAAGAGCCAGGAAAACATTCTTATTCTCAGCCTGTGTCCCATGCACAAAAGTAAATCCCAAATTTTTCTCCTGAACACTCCCAATTCATATCTACAGATTCTCTTCCCTTTGTTTTCCAAATTTCTGGTGGATGACCTTGGGTCCAGCCTGAGAAATGTAGGGAAATGGCTTTATCAGCCCCAAGCACTATGCAGTATAAGGGCCTTCATGGAGGGAGAAAGAGGAGGGTCCTCATGGTCAAGCTGTTTCTGTCACCAAAACATCCCTTCTGTCTCCTTTGTGTGTGTCTGTGTCTGTGTGTGTGTACTCCATGAGCTGCGATGAACATCAGAGTCTTCAAAACAAGCCCACCCTTTTCCCAAATGAGAGGAGGAAGCCCCTTGTTGAGGGAGAAGCAGCCCAGACTCTGCTCCCTGCATTGCTGTGGGCTCGCCAAGTGACCGACCCTGCCCTGACTCCACCCGGGCTGGGACTAGGGCATGTGGATAAGGTGCCTGGGTGGCCTGTTCTGAATCTGGCTAAATCGAGCGGCCAGTAGAAGCCAAGCCTCCCATGGGTAAGGCTTTAAAAAATGGGAATAGGGCTGTGTCCTGGCTCTGAAGTCACTGCCTGTCTGAGTTTGTGGACACAGCTCCTGGAACACAGCACAGAGGACAGTGAGTGATGCACACTTGGAGAAATAGGGAGATTAACTCACAGAAGCTCTCTATGGCAGGGAAGGAACAGTGACAAAAAGTGTGTACTTACAGAGAGGGTAAGAGTACCAGACACTATGTATCTAAGACTTACTATTAACTGTTTCTAAGAGTGCAATTTACTGTTGTGTTACTATCAACACTATCTATTTCCAGAGCTGTTTTTATCCTACTATACTAAACCTCTGAACCCAATAAATGATAACTCTCATTCCTTCTCCCCTTAACCCCTGGTAATCACCATTCTAATTTCTGTCTCTAAGTAACTGACTATTCTAACTATCTTACATAAATGGAAGTATATAATAATTATCCTTTTGTGTCTGGCTTATTTCACTTCGCATAATGTCTTCACGGTTCATCCATTTTGCACCATGTGTCAAAATTTTATCCCTTGCTAAGATTGAAGAACATTCCAAAGTATGGATATATGTTTTTGTTCATCCACTTATCTTTCAATAGACTTTTCGGTTGTTTCCACCCATTGGCTATTGTGAATAATGCTGCTGTGAACATCAGTGTACAAATATCTGTTCAAATATTTTTCAATACTTTTGGCTGTATGTCCAGAAGTAGAATTGCTGGTTTAAGTGGTAATGCTTTAATTTTTTTAAGAAACTGACATACCGTTTTCTTTTCTGTTGATGATGTTGAGACAGGATCTTGCTCTGTCACCCAGACTGGAGTGCAATGGTGCAATCTTGGCTCACTGCAACCTCCACGTCCCAGGTTCAAGTGATTCTCATGCCTCAGCATCCTGAGTAGCTGGGATTACAGGCACATGCCACCATACCCAGCTAATTTTTGCATTTTTAGTAGAGATGGGGTTTCACCATGCCTGCCGGGCTGTTCTCAAACTCCTGACCTCAAGAGATCCACCCATCTCGGCTCCCAAAGTGCTGGGATTACAGGCATGAGCCGGCCGTGCCATGCCACTTTTTCTACAATGGCTATAACATTTCCCATTCCCATCAGCAATACTCAAAGAGCTTCAATTTTTCCACGTACTTGAAAACACTTGTTTCGTGATGTTGTTGTTCATGTTGTTTTTATCAAAGCCATCCTAATGTGTGTGAGGTCGTGTATCACTCTGGTTTTGCTTTGCATATCTCTAAATATTAGTAATATTGAGAATCCTTGCATGTCCTCATTGGCCATTTGTATATCTTCTTTAATAAAATCTCTATTTTAGTCCTTTGTCCATTTTTTAATTGGGCTTTTGTGTTTTTGCTGTTTTTGATTTGTAGTGTTCTTCATGTATTCTGGAAATTAATCCCTTATCAGATATATGATTTGCAGATATTTTCCCTATGTCATAGTTTGCCTTTTTACATTCTTGATAATGGCCTTTGACATATAAATATTTATAATTTTCATGAAGCCCAATTAATCCCTTTTTTGTTGCCTATGCTTTTGTAGTTGTAACTAATAAATCATTCTGAAATTCAATATCATGAAGCTTTTTCCTTATGTTTTCTTCTAAGAGTCTGGTAGTCTTCACTATTCCATTTAGGTCTTTGATCCATTGTGGGTTCATTTTTTTGTATATGGTGTGAGGTAAAGGTTCAACTCATACTTGTCCATGGATAGCCAGCTTTCCCAGTATCACTTGTTAAAAAGACTGTCCTTTCCCCATGGAATGGTCTTGGCACTCTTGACAAAAATCATTTGGCCATATATGCAAGCTTTTTTTCTGGGCTCTCTATTCCCTGTCATTCATTTCTATGTCCTCCTTTATGCCAGTACCACACTGTATTGATTACTGTAGCTTTGCAGTAGATGCTGAAATCTGAAAGTGTGAGTCCTCCAGCTACCTTTTTCCTTTTGAAGATTGAAGTTTTTAATTCCATCTTGGACATGCTGCACTCAGATATTTTTGAAGGTTTTGGGATGTGAGAAAGGCTGATTGCTATTTTCTATGACTTTAGAACTTTTCACCTTTTCATAGTTGCATCTTTCTCTCAGTGTCTCAGTTGTGGCAGCCATGAATGGCCTCCATGGCAGGGACTTGACTGACAGAGGGCCCTGGTCAGGGCATTCCAAATTTACCTTATATATGTTAAGTGTATCTTGTATATACTTATTTATATATGATAAAATTGGCATTTATATTACATATGTGGATTTTATATATAAATGGCCTAGTGTTTATGTGTTACCTTTTTTCATAGATATGGAAATATGTACATATTTTAAATTGTTATTCTATATTTTTAGATTATTATATATTGTATATAAATCTATAGAGAGAAATATGTATATGCTTTTTCCATATATATAGAAAAAGAGAACACATAAAACACTAGGAGGCTGTGGACACAGCACATGGGACACAGCACAGACGACAGTGAGTGACACACACTTTGAGAAATAGGGACATTTGGCCATGGGAGCTGTGCATGGGAAGGAAGGAAGGGGCAGTGACAAAAATTGTGTATTTATAGAGAGGGTAAGACTACCAGACACTACATACATATATAACATATGTCAATTTTATTATATGTAAATGTCCTGGTTTTTCATGTGTTACCTCTTTTTCCATATACATATATAGAAAATATGTATATGTTTTAAATTATTATACATTTTATATTACATATTTTATTATATATATTATGTATAAATAAGTATATGGAAATATACATTTTTTTCTATACACATGAAAAAAGAGGTAACACATAAAACACTAGGACATGGTTACTGGCTACATGTGGGAGAGAGAGAAAAAAGCTAAGTGCAAAAAAATCAAACCTGGTATGTTAGTTTATGCCCACTGAGATGCATCCAAGATGAGATTAGACATGCAGGATAATGTATTAGGAAAAATGCCTGTGAGGGAAAGTGGGGCAGGCATGAAAAAAGCCTGGGGAGCTTTGGGACCACTAGGCAAATCTGATTCCTGTGAAGGCAAAAGAGAAAGAAGATTTAGCTACAGTTCAAACAGAGCATGAGAAGACTGATGGGGAGTCTTCCCACCAGTCACCCAGGAGAATAAAACAGAGGCTCATAGAACTGGGCTTGCTTTCATTTCCCTGCTGGGAGCTTCAGGAAAGTGAGGACTCTATGTAAAGTAGGTTGTCATTTTGGGATGCACTGATCTGGGCCTTCTGTCAATCAAGTCAATTGATTATTAATTAATCAATTTTTAGCTGGGAGTGCTGGAATTACCTAGGGACATTTTTCAACATACATAAGCCTATACTTTCTCGGCCCTATTCATTAATGTGCTCCACCAAGAACTCAGTAATCCTCTTGAGAAACACAAGCTGCCATGGAGACCTGACAGAGTCTTATTCATGCCTACCACAACTGACACACTGAGAAAAAGATGCAACCATGGAAGGGTAGAAAGTTCTAATGACACAGAAAATAGCAGTCAGCCTTTCTCACATCATAAAGGTTTCAAAAATATCTGAGTGAGCAAGGTCAGGATGAAATTGACAGAAGACTGATCACTAACCTAGAAACACATTGAGAGAGAAAAAATCTGCAAGAATATAGTTGGCTAATCATCTACCAGCAACCCTCCCACAAAATTAATGTAATCCCCAAAGGAACAAGTAGAAACTACTTCATACTTAGTGATGGTTCCTAAGGTACCACACTGTAAAATAACATCACCTTTATTCCTTCTCTTCTTTTCTTTCCATGACAGATACTTCAGTGAAAGGAAGTTGTCCTGGCCTTTCAGGTAGAGCCACTGTCAGCATCATGATTGGAGTACTGGCCAGTGTGGCTCTGATCTACCAGCCCTGGTGTAGTTTATTTCAGGAAGACTAGCAGGTATGATGGCCTTTCCTTTTGTCCTGTTTCCTGCAGGGCTGACTGCCATGCTTGGGAGAGGGAAAGGACTTCTTTGCCCATATCTGGGACTGGATCTCCTCCTCCTCCCACTAAACTCCTGCTTCTCAGCACTCATTCCTGCAGGTCTCTTCTCCCCTGTTCTTCATGCTCCCTGTACCCCACTGTCTCCTACAAATGATTATCCTCAGCCTCTGCTCATTTGTCTCCCAGATTCAATACCTTATAACACCCTCTTGATCCTTTTTTTAACATCTCTCACTTGTGTCATTCTCTCCATTCCCACAACCTCAACAACTGCTAGAGGTACTGCTTGACTTATCTCCAGTTTTTGAAACCTTCCTTGTGTATGACTGCCTTATTACCTTCCTAAATTCTAGTTAACTCCCCTATTCAAAAATCTTCAGGGATCTACTCTTGCCTATTTGATAAGTTCACATTTCTTCTCTTTACTAATTTGTATTGCTTCCATTACCTCTATTCCCTAGAGTAATTCCCCATTGTAACTAAATCTCTCTTTCTACACATCCCTTCCCCTCCACCTGATATACACATAGAATGCTTAGTTCCAGTGCTATGGCTAAAAACAGGGTGATCTCCCATCTACCATCTGCATTATGGGCTTACCCATACCCTTCATCACAAGCAACCTCTGACCTCCCAGAGAACAATGACTCCAGCATTAATGTGAAAACCTGAGACTCAGAACACAACCTACATGTGACTGAAAACATTTTCCTGATGACCCTCTCATACGTTCATGAAAGATACAGAAACGAAGAAGCAAGGTTTCTACCCCAAGGAACATAAAGCCTAAGATAGATGATAAGACCAGAAAAATAATTATAATACCAAAATAGAAAAAAGTGAATGCCAAAAGAAATCAGAGAAATCTGAGGGGAAATACAGCTACACATTGGAATCACTGGAAAACGTTTTTTTAAATGGATGCCCAAGCCCCACCCATAGGATCCAATTTAATGGTCTAAAGTGAGACTCAGACATTGGTAATTTTTAAGTCTTCCTAGATGCTACTAATGTGTAACCAGGATAAAGAACAGCTGTTCTAATAGGTAAAACTTAGACCTAATTTCATGATTATTAGCTGGGAGTATTGGAATTATCTAGGGAAATTTTTCAGCATACATAAGCCTATACTTTCTTGGCCCTATTCATTAATGTCCTCCACCAAGTACTCAATAATCCTGTTGAGAAACACAAGCTACATGGAAAAGCCACTTTATTTGACATGTAAAATTATCTGAAAAGCATTTTCAAATCATAAGTAGTAAAGGAAGCTAAACCTTCTCTATGTTATATTTATGGATATGTTACTGATATGATTGTTCCAGAAATTGTATGAGATTCCTAGAAATTAATTATGTTATCAGCCATAATGTCATGTACCACAGAAGTAACGAACTTTTTATGTGAGCTGTGTTATCATAATGAATTCTCATCAGAGTTTTAACCATAGTCATTTAAAATCTTTGTCATTCACACACGTTGTTTTTATTCTTCCTCAAAGCATTTCCAATCAGCTACAGTCCAAAATTGCTTCCTTTTCAAGGAGATTTATGGAAAAGATGCTGACAAGTAGACTTTAATACAAGTTTCTGATAACTTTCAGATTATACCACTGGACTGTCTAAGAACTTACAAACCTTTAACAAACAGGCTGATATCTTCAGAAAATTCTAAGCCTACCAAGCAGGAAAAACATTGATTTCATTGAAATAATTGATCATAATGAGGATAATGTTTTTAAGATTTTTATTTGAAAATTTGCTGATTCTTTAAATGTTTTATTTTCTAGATTCATGGAATTTTTTTAATCTATCTATAGCTTATAGCAGTTCAATAAACTATACTTCTGGGAACAATAATTGAAACACTTACTTTTGCTGTCTAGCTGACTGCCCCAGAATTGGGCAACTATTCATGAGTGTTGATATGTTTAAGGTAATACACATATTTGCACAAGTACAGTAACAATCTGCTCTATTTTTAACAGGACATATTTGAAATCATTTGTTATATTACCAAGGCTTTGACTGGGTTGTTATATTTAAGAATATATTTAGAATGAACCAATATGAACTGCAGGCAAAGTCTGAAGTCAGCCTTGGTTTGGCTTCCTATTCTCAAGAGGTTTGTAAAAGTCTAATCTCAGATTCCTTATAAAAACTTAGAGCAAAGAAAATTTTAAAAGAGAGCCTATCTGGCTCATTGCTACTCTTGCTGCACTTATGTAAAGAATCAGACTATGTTTGAAGAAACTCAACTTATTTTGCAAACAAACTTATTCTACTGAAATTATCATTGGTAAAACTAGAGATGCCCATAGAGAGAAAAATTATGTGGAAAATAAAAACTGTAGTATACCGGTTATGAGATTGCAGCTCTGTTCATTGTTTCTGTGTTTTTATTATTCACCTGTAGACTGGACATTACCCTGAATTCTACTAGTTCCTCCAATTCCATTTTCTCCCATGGAATCACTAAGACCAAGACCCACTCTGTTCCAGAAGCCCTATAAGTGGGAGGAGGACAACTCAATGTAAATTTCATGGGAAAATTCTTGTACCTGAAGTGTGAGCCACTCAGAACTCACCAAAATGTTGGACAGCATAACAACAGATGCTCAAACTGTAAACCAGGACAACAAGTTGATGACTTCACACTGTGGACAGTTCTCCCCAAGATGTCAAAATAAGACTCCCCATCATGATGAGGCTCTCGCCCCTCTTAACTGTCCTTGCTCATGCATGCCTCTTTCATTTGGCAGGATAATGCAGTCATTAGAATTTCACATGTAGTAGCTTCTGAGGGTAACAACAGAGTGTCAGATATGTCATCTCAACCTCAAACTTTTACATAACATCTCACGGGGAAATGTGGCTCTCTCCACCTTGCATACAGGGCTCCCAATAGAAATGAACACAGAGATATTGCCTGTGTGTTTGCAGAGAAGATGGTTTCTATAAAGAGTAGGAAAGCTGAAATTATAGTAGAGTCCCCTTTAAATCCACATTGTGTGGATGGCTCTCATGATTTCCTAAGAGATACGTTGTAAAACGTGACAGTAATGCTGATTCTAGCAGAATAAAACATGTACCACATTTGCTAATACTGTTCTCTTAAAATAATTTTAAAAGAATGGGGTGGGCCCTCCCATGTGTCCAGGCCAGGTCTCTGAACAGAATCCTCCATCTGCAGTAACAATGCCTAAGAAGATGACATGGACTTGGTCCTGATATGCAGCCATTCCTGTGTACCCTTCCCCTGCTGCAGGGCCGTACCAGCATAGGGCCCAAATCTTCAGCTGCAGAGCTGAGACAGAACATGGGATACCCAGCATCACTTACCTTCTTCCAGTCCACTGCAGTGGCTACTGGCATGGCCCATTTACCCCTGAGGACACCCATCTGCTAACCCACAGTTTCTAAGAGTCAGACTTTCCTGGCTTTTCTGAGCCCCAGCTGCTTTCACTCTGCTGAACCCTTCTTCTCCCCACAGGTGTCATTGCCTTAGCAGACACCTCTTTCAGCTGCAGCTAACAGGTAAGCCAAGACCCAGACCCCAGAGGATAAACAAGGATTTCAAAACCTACTGTGTCCAATGGAGGTGCCCACTTGTGGGCGGCAAGCCACCCAGGTGCTGAGGCAAGAGACTCAGGGCATGAGCTGTTCCAGTATCATAAAATATAAAAGAATAGTTATACCAGATACAGATCTTAGATATGATTATATGTGAATATCATTAATCATTAGTTGGTAGGAATTACTTTTTATTCCAACATTAGAGTAATCATCACTCTGTAATCATAACCTAGGAAAAGCCAGGCCATACAGAGATAGGAGCTGAGGAGACACAGTGAGAAGTGACCAGAAGACAAGAGTGCGAGCCTTCTGTTATGCCCAGACAGGGGCACTAGAGGGCTCCTTGGTCTAGAGGTAACGCCAGAATCTGGGAAGATGCCTGTTGCCAAGCAGACCTTGGTCTAGTGGTAGCCTCAGTGTCAAGGAAACACACCCACTACTTAGCAGACTGGGAAAGGGAGTCTCCCTTTCCCTGGGGGAGTTTAGAGAAGACTCTACCCCTCCACCTCTTGTGGAGGGCCTGACATTACTCAGGTCCACCTGCAGTTATCCAGAGGCCTCACCATCTCCCTATGATGCTGTGCTTCAGTGGTCACGCTCCTAGTCCGCCTTCATGTTCCATCCTGTACACTTGCCTCTGCCGTTTAGTTAGCAGTAGCAAATTAGTGAAAGTACTAAAAGTCTGTAATAAGCAGAAATAATGCTGTAAGCTCTCTCTCTCTTTCTTCTTTCTCTCTCTGCCTTGGCTGCCAGGCAGGGAAGGGCCCCCTGTCCAGTGGACATGTGACCCATGTGACCTTACCTATAATTGGAGATGGCTCACACTCCTTATCCTGACACTTTGTCTTGTATCCAATAAATATCACCACAGCCTGGCATTTGGGGCCACTACCGGTCTCCGCGTCTTGGTGGTAGTGGTCCCCCGGGCCCAGTTGTCTTTTCTTTTATCTCTTTGTCTTGTGTCTTTGTTTCTACAATCTCTCATCTCTGCACATGGGGAGAAAAACCCACCGACCCTGTGGGGCTGCTCCCTACACCCACTGCACAGAGACATAAAGAAGTTGAGATGTATACACCTCCCCCAACAACATTGTATCCCAAAACAATGTCCTCTCTGCCCCTCATCGTGGAACTCACTGTCTCTCACCACGTGGGCAAGTGCTTCCAGGGTCTCACAATTCTTCCACAAGAGGCAAGGCACACTTTAACATAGCACTTCAGCAAATAAAGTGGTGACAGTTTACCTACTTAGATAAAGTTTTTTAAAAGGCTCTCCCAAATTTCCCCATGAAGAAGACAGAAAAGGCTTTCCCAATGGTGAAACATTCGCCTCCCCACCTTTCAAAAAAGGATCCCTGAATAGCCAAAAGAATCTTGCCAAAATAAATTGTAGGACTTGAACTTTCTTATTTGAAATCTCACAAAGGAGTACAATTATTAAAACAAGCTGCTGGCAAAAGAATGAACATAAAGACAAATGGGATAGAATTGAGAGTCTAGAAGCAAACCCTCACACTTATGGTCAATTAGTCTTTGAAGAGAGTGTCAAGACAACTTAATGGAGGAACAATTCTCCTTTCTAATGATAGTGCAGAAACAACTAGATAACCACATGCAAAACAGTGAATTTAGATAACTCTACCTCACACCGTATCAAACAATTCCCTAAAAAATTGATCAGTGAGTTAAATATAAGACCTATAACCATAAAAACATCTCAAAGTAGACATAGAGGTAAATATTGATGACCTCAAATGTGCAATGGATTCTTAGATATGATACAAAAGCATGAGAAAGAAGAAAAACAAGATATATTGGGCTTTATCAAGATGTGAGCATTTTGTACATCAAAGGAAATTATCAAGAAAGTAATTAATAGACACAGAATGAGAGAAAATATTTGCAAACCACATATAGGCAGTTTTCATGTTCAGATAATATAAAGAACTAGCTACAACTCAATAAAGAAAGGACAAATCATCCAATTTATAAATGGGCAAAAGAGTCAAATAGACATTTCTTCAAAGAAGATATACAAAGAGTCAAGAAGGACATGAAAAGATACTCAACATCATTAGTCATCAGGAAAACACAAAGTCAAAGCTGCAATGAGACACCACATCACATCTACAAAACTGGTTACCATTCTTTTAAAATGTTAAATAACAAGTAGCAGTATTATGTAGAATTTGGAATCCTCATATATTGCTCGTGAGAATATAAAAAGGTACAGCCTCTAGGAGAAACAGTTTTGCTGTTCCTCAAAAAGCTAATCATATAATTCTCATTTGAAACAACATCCATTCCTAGGTATATACCCAAAGAATTAAATCCAGGACTCAAACAGGTACTTGCATGATAGTGTTGATTGCAGCATTATTCACAAAAGATTAAATATGAAAACAATCCAAGTGCTCATCAATGCATGAATAAATAAATATGGTGACACATACAACAGAATGTTAATCTGCCATAAAGAGGAATGAAGCTCTGACACCCACTGGAACATGCATGGACTATGGAAACATTATGCTAAGTGAAATATGTCAGAAACAAAATAACATCATTGTATAATTCCATTTATATGAAACATCAAGAATAGGCAAATTCATAGAGACAGAGTAGAGATGATCAAAGTCTAGGGTGGAACATACAGGGAGGTATTGTTTGAAAGATACAAAGTTTCAGTTTAAAGTGATAAAAATTTTCTAGGAAAAATAGTGGTGATGGTAATTTAACACTGTGTATGTGGTTAATTTCACTTGATTGTGCATCTTAAAGTGGTTAGAATAGCACATTATTCACAGAACTGTGAAAAATAGATTTCTGTTATGTAATTCACCCAGGCTAAGGCATTTGTTATGGCAGCTGAAGCCCATGAATACATCATCTGACCCAGTGTTTCAATGAAAGGCATGAGTTTTTCAATCAAGTTACCTGGAAGCTCCTGTCCCCAGGAGTACCAGAGGCCCCAAAACAAGAGCTCCAGCAGAGGCTCAACCAGCACAGGTCCCATAGGGCAGCCTCAATGTCAGCCTCTGGATGGCATGTGAGGCTACAATGATACAACCACAAAGTGAAAATGTCAGTATTTTTACTACTTACAGACACTAGGGAGCACTCGGCACACCTGGAGACCGCAGACACAGAGTTCAGTGAGCCCAGGCAGGGAGGAGAGAAGAGACTGGTAAGCCAATGGCTTTATTAAGTCCAGGGTGTTATATGACAGATTTCCAGCAGGGAGCTTTAATGGATGTGTTCAAAGAAAGCAGCAAACACTGGGACCAGGAGCTCACGCTGTGACTGAGAGGTGGTCACTTTAAATATGAGGGCGAATGTCAGAATTATCAGTTTAAAGAAAGCAGCTGGAGAGAGGGGAGTCCAGCACACCAAGCAGGAGAGATGCCTCTAAGATTTTATCTCTGGACACCAACTGGAGCCACCTGAACCAGATACAGTATTGAAAACTGCCATGGTGACCAAGCCCTGCCTCTGATTTGAGGCAAATAAACTTACAACTTAAAAAATGAATGCCAAGGCAACATGACACTATGAGCATCATGACATCCAGGGACACCAGCAGGGTGTGGTACTGTGCCCTGGAGTCAAAATCGTGGGTTCTGGTCCCTGGGAGAAAATGAAAATGATGTCCCTGCCCCCCTGACATTGATCTTCCCACCCTGCTGCTCCGTCTTCTTCTCCCAAGCCCAAGTGCAGCGCTCAGCCCCAGACATCACTGCCCCCAGGGTATACACAGTGCCGCCTACTGCACACAAACACAAACTCACAGAAAGTGACAAACATCTGCGTTTGGGATATCTGATCGTGAAAGAGGGAGAACAGTGAACGTAGAGCCACACAGACTGGGACTCACGGGGCTGGAAGGTGAAGGAGCTATAACATAACATATGTGTGACCTTGTGTGAAGTGTGCAGATCCACGTAGAATAAAACATGCAGCCTGGCCTGGGATTGCTGCCGTTCACACTTCCCTCCCTGTCCACCAGAAGGCGACAGAGTCCCTCCCGGCCTGGAGTCTTCCCAAGGGATGCCAACCGCCCTCAGCGGAACCCACAGCCCAGCAGGGTCCACCCTCACCAGGGTCACTTCGGACTAAGTCCTCAGCGCCCTCCATGCTCCCCACAGGGTCTCTGTCAGCTCCTCCCTGACCTGGGGGCCACCAACCTAACACCACTCCCCCTACAGGTAGTTCCTGCCCCACACACCTGCTCCTTCCCTGGGCCCAGCTAAAGGCATCTCCCAGGGCAGCGCTGGTGCACGCGATGCCACACTGGGCGCTTTCCCCTCGTGACCTCCCTCCATCAACATCAACTCTTTCTGTCACTGCTCCCTAAATGCCCACCCCTGCTCCATCTGTCCTGTTCACTGGGGCATCCCAGGCCAAGCTTAGCGCTGACACAGAATAGCGGCTGCCTGAGGGCCCACAGCCTCACCGGGAATCAGCCAGGCACCCTGTGACCTGCCTGCTCACTGAACCCCGGAGGGCTCAGAGCGCGTGTGATGGTCACACACAGGCACCATCCGGGATGTGGCCACCTACCCCCAGCTGTCTCTTGGGAAGACAGACGTCTCCCGTGTGCTTGCGGGGAGAAGGGGGGTGTTATTGCTCTTTGCTCCCAGAACACAACTCACCCCCACCCGCCCTCTCAGGTGTGAGCTACGTCCCTCCAGACAGGATCTCTGGCCACTGCCTGTTCCTCCTCTACACACAGCAGCTTGGCCAGGTCAAAACCCTCAGGACAGACCCCTGGGTATCTCAGCACATGGAGGGCTGAGCCCATCATGGCCACGGAGTAAGTCGGGATGAATCTCTCCAGCTCTGAACCCCTGCTCTGTCCCAGGCTCCTCCTCCTGCGTCTCAATAAGTCATGTCCCGCGGGATTCCTGGGTAACTCCCCACTTCCTCCTGCACCACCACGGGGAAGGTGTGGTGACCACAGGACAATCAGCTCGGCAGAGAAGAAAGGACATCAAAGATTGTCAGGAAGAACATGAGAAACCAAGAGCTCCAGCTCAGCTGCCAGACCCCATGGAGTCACAGAGTGACCGAGAACTTTCCCTTTGACTATGGGACTCACAGCCCCCACTGAGCAACCAGCACAGGCCTCTCCTCCCAGGAGGCATGAAAGATTCACCCTGCACACCTCCAGGAAGGACAGTTTCCTCTGGGAAACCCAGGTCCTCAATGTCCATCCTTGGAAGCTGCAGCCAAGCTAGACACGATTGGAGAAAAGAAGGGTCCCTCTCACCAGGCAACACACAGCTCACCCACAGCACAATGGGGTGTCACTCTGACAGGGACCTGGTGCAGCTCCAGCCTCCTGCACTGAAGGGGAGAGCCAGACGGGGATGAAAGAGGGCAAAGGGTGTGAATGTGCACCCCGACCAAGAGCAATGGGGACAGCAGGAGGCTGAGGCCCAGGACTCTGCTTGCCCAACCTGCAGGGTATGTGTCTGACTGTGTGGGTCTGTGTGTGTCTCTTCTGTGTGTGTGTGTATGTGTGTGTCCGCACAAAGTGTGTATTGAGGTTTGGTGAAAGAATCACTGCTGAAAAAGGCAGAGGCCTCCACAATTCCCAGGGACCTGAAACACAGACAAAAGGAAAAACAGAAGGAGGGACAAGGAGGCAGGGCTGAGAGAGGAGGGGACAGAGAGGTGTCCTCGGCCTGACCCTGCCCATGAGCTTGAGAAGTGCTCCTTCCACCGGGAAGAGTCTCAGCGCAGAAGGAGGAAGGACAGCACAGCTGACAGCCGTGCTCTGGAAGCTTCTGGATCCTAGGCTCATCTCCACAGAGGAGAACATGCACGCAGCAGAGATCATGGGGCCCCTCTCAGCCCCTCCCTGCACAGAGCACATCAAATGGAAGGGGCTCCTGCTCACAGGTGAGGAGAGAACTTCCTGGGAGAGGACAGGAGGAGGAAGCAGAGTGACTGGATGGGGTCTCCTGGAGAGGCTCCTGGGGTTCTAAAAAATAAAAAAGCCAGCATTTAGGGAGGCTGAGGTGGGTGGATCACGAGATCAGGAGTTCAAGATCAGTCCAGCCAACAGAGTGAAGCCCTGTCTCTTCTAAAAGTACAAAAAATTAACCAGGTATGGTGGTGTGCTCCTGTAATCCTAGCTACTCAGGAGGCCAAGGCAGGAGAATCACGTGAACCAGGGTGGCGGAAGTTGCAGTGAGCTGAGATAGTGCCACTGCACGCCAGGCTGGGTGACAGTACGAGACTCCATCTCAAAAAAAAAAAAAAAAAAAAAAAGAGAAAAAAAAAAAAAAAAAGGAAAGAAGGCCCTGTTGATGCCTGGATAGGGGAAAATACACCCAAGAGGGACAGGGGTCAAAACAGGAAAGTCACATTGAACCGGAATTGGTAAGAGGTAGGAAACAGGTGTTCTGTTTTCCTGATTAATCATCAGGGGCCACCACATTTTGAAAAATGATAATAATAACTATATCAGATGACACTACAAATAAAAATAAACAGGGCATGAAACACTGTCCTCAATAAAAAACCTCAACAATTGGGGAAAAAAAAAAAAACACCCAGGGCGTGGACGGCCCTGAGAACTCTCACATCTACAGGAGTCTGCAGCCTGTTCCAGGCACTGGGGTGCAACCAAGATCACAAAAGTCCCTGTCCTCACGGAGCTCATGCTGCCATGGGGAGGAAGTCAGACATGCAAAGAGATCTAGAATGTGAGGTCAGGTGTTGACAAGAACCCTGGAGGGAGCAGAGCAGGGAAAGGTCAGAAAGGGAAGACCCAGAGTCCCTGAAGGAGGTGTCAGGAAAGAAGTCTAAGGATGCCCTGATGTGAGCAGGACCTGAGGGCAGTGTGGAGGGGGCCATGCGGACCCCTGGGGAAGAGGATTCCAAACAGAAAAATGCCAAGGTCAGAAGTGTTGAAGGAATGGGGGTCATGCTGCTGACCTTGACCTAGTAGGACAGTAGAACACACACACATACACATACACAAACACACATGCCCCTTTTCTGTGTGTGTATGTTTGTATGTGTGTGTGTGTGTGTGTGTGTGTCTTCAAGGCTGAGGATTGAAGAGACCTTCTCAGGACTCAGGGCCCCATCTTTTCACCCCAATACATAGGTCTCAATATTGACTGATGCTCTCTCCACCTCCTAGCATTACTTTTAAACTTCTGGAACTTGCCTACCACTGCCCAAGTCATGATTGAAGCCCAGCCACCCAAAGTGTCCGAGGGGAAGGATGTTCTTCTACTTGTCCACAATTTGCCCCAGAATCTTACTGGCTACATCTGGTACAAAGGGCAAATCAGGGACCTCTACCATTACATTACATCATATGTAGTAGACGGTCAAATAATTATATATGGACCGGCATACAGTGGACGAGAAACAGTATATTCCAATGCATCCCTGCTGATCCAGAATGTCACCCGGGAGGACGCAGGATCCTACACCTTACACATCATAAAGCGAGGTGATGGGACTAGAGGAGTAACTGGATATTTCACCTTCACCTTATACCGTAAGTGATTCCACATGATCCCTGGGTGTTGGGGGACAGGGGTCACTTCTACATCACACACACAGGATTGTCAGGCCTGGACATTGCCTGTGTCCCTCTCTGCATTATGTCCCATGCTGGGGTTTGGGCATTTAGTGCAGGACACACACAGAGGAGACAAATTTCAACAGATCAGAATTCCTTTCCCGCATCCAGACCCTGCAGACACTCGCTGCAGAGGAAGGACAGTCTGATGGGGGGACTCAGCAGGAGGAGATCAGTCTCAGCCAAGCACCTCATGCCCTCTTCATAAATTTGACCCTGAGAAAGACCCTGGAGAACTGAGTAGAATTTGACCTGAGGGGCCCCTGAGATACTCTCAGAGAAGCTCAGCCCTAGAAGCCTCAAACCCAGAACTCTGTACCTAAATCCTTGTTCCAGATAAAGCTGAGGAGCCTGTTCCAGGGCTGGGTTGTGGCTTCTTGGGCAGGGCTTACTGGGACCAAGAATTTACCAGCTGTCTGAGGACTGTGTCTCCTGGAGCTGTTCACCAGCCAGGGCTCAGCCCTCAGAGCCTCATCTGGGCAAGGACAGAGCTTTCTTCACCTGACACTCAGAGTGGAGAGGACAGAAAGACAAGCTTTGTAGGTCATCAGCCAACTGCCTTAGGAGGCTTAGGACAGTCCATAGAAAGTCTAATGTCCTCAGAAGCAGAAACAGAAGAGAGAAGATGTACCTGGTAGCAGCTTGTCCACAGGGATCTGACGTAAAGGTGCTTTCTCATGGAAGCAAATTAATAATAAATGCTGCTTGTGTGAACACCTCCACTGTGCCAAGCATTAGGTCAGGTGACTGTGAATAATTTAACATTTATTCACAGATAGCATGAAAAGCCACAGTCCATTTGCCATTTAACTTATCTGATTGAGAGAAAACTGAGGCACAGGAAGGCACAGTCACTGAATCAGAGTCACACAAACGCAAAGGGGAGATCAGGGTCACATGAGGTCTGTCTGCAGCCACAGGCCCATCCTCTCCTCCACCAGAAGTGAGGGCTTACTGGGTTCCAAGCACCCCATAGTCATTTATTGGCTCAAATCCTCTCTTCTTAGGCATCCAAACCTCAGAGGAGTGAGAGCAAATGGTCAGCTGATTAGTCTATACTCCAGAACTAAATCACCTGCTTCAACCATCAAAGTCAGTGCAAAAAAAATGTCCAGGCCTCCCCCTCAGATCTTAACCCCCATCACTGAACCTGAAACTCTGTGTTTCCCAAAGTGTCCATGTCACTGTCATGAGAGGATCAAGGAGAGGACCTTGTTTTCTTTCCCCACTCACTCCCTACACCAGCACAGGCCCAGCGAGAGACACACACTCAGGAGCTCTCACATAACAAATGAAGGAATGGAATGAAGAAATGAATGATCCAAAACCTCTTTAGAGACTGGATCTTGAATGCAGAATCCTAGGAGGTTCTAGCCACACCTGTCCCTTGTCCTTCAGAGGCTGACACCCATGTTTCATCCCCCCACTACCTCTTGCCCCTAAAGCCACCCCACCTCATGTAACTCTGAAGCTCTTTGGCCACCAGAGGGTTCTCGGGGCTCCTTGGTCCTGGACTGTGGAACTGGGGGCAGCTGGTTCCTGGGGGCTCTGAAGTCAGTGTCTCCCTCACTGCTCACTGCCATGGTGTCTCTGCCTCTCTCTGCTTCTCTGTGTCCCTCATCTTCCTCCCACTTCATTCTGACTGGCAAGCCCTGTCCTGCACAGCTTCTTCCCCCACCCCTAGGCCTTCCCCAGACACTCCCTCTAACTAGGCTGGCTGTTCTATTCCCTTCCCGCTAACACTGTGGCCTGGCCCACCTCCCAGGAAATAGGAAAGGTGCAGAAATCACCTGGAGTTGCCACTCCTGCCAGGCTTCATCTCGAGCCAATGTCCCCAGGTCACTAAGAGAATGAGCTTCCACTGTATTCCCATCAAGGGCTCTTCCCCTTTGTGAGGCTGACCTGTGGACAAGACCATGGGACAGGGATAGGAAGTCCCTCCAACCACTCTTATCATTGTCAGACAAGTTCTTCTGGCCTCCTGCACACACACACACAAACACACAAATTTATTGAAATGGTGATTTTTAGTAAAGAAAGATTTTAATGACTCCAAGTCTGCCAAACAGGAGGACAGAGGTTTATTATTACTGAAATCAGCCTCCCCAGTGGATCAGGGCTTAGAGATTTTCAAGGATAGTTTCAGGGGCACAGGACTAAAAAATGAGTACTGCTGATTGTTGGTGATGGAATCATGCGGGCGGAGGGAAATGATCTGTTTGTGCTTGAATCTGCCTCTAGGTAGGGACCACATGACGGGCTGAGCCATTAGTCATAGGTATGGATGAGGTCAGCTGGTTGCCAGAATGCAAAAGAATGAGAAGCATCTCAAAAGACCAATCTCACGTTCTACAATAGTGATGTTATCTATAGGAGCAATTAGTTACAAATTTTGTAAACCCTTGCCAAATGACATTGCAGCAGTCAGGGATTATAGAAACTGTGCATACATTTTAGCAGAATTCAGTTCCCTCTTATAATCTAAATCTCATGGTCTTTCACTAGTTTGACAAAGGCAGTCCCTGGGCAAAGTAAGGGTGTTAGTTTTATGGAGGAACTATTATCATTCTTGCTTCAAAGTTAAACCATAAACTAAATTTCTCCCAAGGTTAGCCTTGTCTATGTGCAGGAATGAGTGAGGACAGCCAGCCTGAGACTAGATGCCAGATGGAGTCAGCCATGCTAGTTTGCTGTCACTGTTGTAATCTCTGCACTGACTCACCAGGGTGTCAGAGGCTGGACAGGCCTGCAGTCTCCAAAGCCCATGAGCTCATTTCACCTGTTTCACTCATGACTCCATCGTCAACGTGCTATGGAGCTTACATTCTCTGATCACTTCCTAGAGACTTCTGGCTTCGTGTCAGGCATATGACAAGCTTGAAATTTGTCACTCGGTTCTAACACTAAGTAAAAAGCTGAACAAACTCAAAAGTCAACAACTCATTAAAATCCCTTTGAGATGGCTGGGCACAGTGGCTGATGCCTATAATCGCAGCACTTTGGGAGACTGGGGCAGGCACAAGGTCAGGAGATGGAGACCATCCTGGCTAACATGGTTAAAGCCCATCTGTGCTAAAAATACAAAAAATTAGCTGGGCATGGTGGTGGGCACCTGTAGTACCAGCTACTTGGGAGGTCGAGGCAGGAGAATGGTGTGAACCCGGGAGGTGGAGCTTGCAGTGAGCTGAGATCATGCCACTGCACTCCAGCCTGGCAGAGCAAGAGTCTCTCTCAGAAAAAATAAAAATGCTGTAAGAGAAATGAAGAATTCTTTTGATGCTTACTGGTAGACTGCACACAGCTGAGGAAGGAATCCCTAGCTTGAGGATGTGTCAATAGAAATTTCCAAAACTGAAACAGGAAAGTCCAAAAAGAGTAGGGAAAAAAAGTGGATCAACATATTCAACTTCATATTTAATATTTTGTTTTGACAATAGCATTTTTAAAATTTTGTAGCTGTGGGACAACTACAAAGGCTGTAACACATACTTAAGAGGAATACTGGTGGTTTTGGGGACTAGTTGGAGGTGGCCAGGTGGGTGCTATCTGATGGTTTTACTGCCTGTGCCACATACAACTGTTTCCTCATGATGATGCCGTTTTCATAAGTTGGAGTTCTTCGTGTGGGGAGACACATGAGCCATTGGCATCTCACTTAGACTCCTTCTAATTCACACAAACTTAAACTCTAGTGGTGTTTCCTGAGCTTAACAGAAAATGAAGAAAGCATTTCACATACCTGTTTTGGGGTCCTCCCCATTTTTCCTAACTGCACAGAAATTAGAAGCAGGAAGTTCTTTCTATATTTACTAACATAACACACATCACTTCTTTTAATTTGGCATCCTTCCTCCTTTTATGTAATTGATGCACTGACCAGTTCTGTCCTTTTAACGGGACTCTCTCTACTTAAGGAGCTGCTAATTTCAAATCACCTTTGGCATCTTTCTTTGAGCATAATGTGATCCTGCTGGAATTCATGGCACACCTAAACCTTATGTTGGTCTCAAGAGAAATACTACTACCAGCAATTGATCTTAGATGTTTAGACCATCAGTAAAAATTTCCACTTATGAAAACATTTTAATGTTTCCTCCAAATTTTTTTTTTGTTACTAGAGTCAGAACACAACATGAGGTCTAATCTCCTGACAACTTTTTATGGGATAATTACAGTATTAAATATGGAGCATCCCAAATCCAGAAATCCACAATCTGAAATGCTCCAAAACTTTACACTTCTGACCACTGATGTGATGCTAAAAAGAAGTGCTCACTGGCGCATTGTGGATTTTAAATTTTTCAGATTTGGGATGCTAAACCAGTACATGTACTGCAAATATTCCAAAATAAAAAAAATTAGAATTCCAAAACACTTTGTTTTAACCTTTCTGCATAAGAAGCACTTTATCTGTATGAACTATAGGCATGAATCTGTACAGGAGATCTCTAGAACCTCCTCGTCCTGCATAACTGAAACCGCACACCCACGGAACAACACCCAATTCCCCTGATCCCAGCTCCTGGAAACTACTATTCTACACTCTGATTCACTCTGGAATCCACTGATATCAGGTACATAGAGTAGTCAAACTCAGAATCAGAGGGTAGAATGTCTAATGAGAGAAAGTATCTGCAAGACTTCTTCCCAAATATTGGTCTAATATCTACCAAACACATATGGTCCATGAGGGCCAGACTTCCATCATCAGTTCATGTTTGCCCTTTCCACCAGTCAGTTCTGCATTTGCAAACATCCACATGTATTTCCAGAAAGATCCACATGGTCCTCACCTGCCCTCTACTGGGGGAAGGGAGCATCATAGACCCACAACAGGGAACATGGTCTTGGTTCAAAGCTATCAGCTCTTGCCTGTCCCCTTCACTCTTTGTAGGTCATTCCTTGGACTCTGCTCTATCTTTAGAGGTCACTGGCTCAAGTCAGTCACTATGAGACACCTGGGAAAACTGCCCCACCTTGTGGCTGCACTGCCTGATGACTGAACTGACCTCCAGGCTTGACTCTGGTCTCCCCTGTGTTATTTCTGCTGAAGTACCCAGTCCCAGGCCAGGCTTTCCAGTACCCAAAGGGTTTAAGGACAATGGGAAGTTCCATCATCCATCTCTAGGATGTCCTTGGCAAGGGAAGCTGCAGAGAAAACATACCTTGGGGGGAAAAGTAAGACTGAAACTAAGAAGATTCCAGCACTGCATGCTCCAAGTCAGGACCAAAAGGTGGGCCAGGCAGGCAGTTGGAGATGGAGGGACTCAGAGAGGCACCAGGGGCTATGACTGCTGGTCCTGTGTCTTTCCATGACCCAATGCTGCTGCTCAATTCACACCTGAGAAAGTCTGTGCTTCTCCCACATAAAGCAGGCAGCCTCACAATCTCTTAGCCTTCAGAATGCCATGCATCTGTGTTGTAACACACACACCTGCCATGGGCTTTTAGGGACTCGGGTGGGCTGAGAGGTGGCAAATGCCAATTCTGATTGAAAAATGCCTTTGGAGGAATCAAAGGTGCCACACAGGGCAATCTTCTCTCTGTTTTCTGCACAGTGGAGACTCCCAAGCCCTCCATCTCCAGCAGCAACTTAAACCCCAGGGAGGCCATGGAGACTGTGATCTTAACCTGTAATCCTGAGACTCCGGACGCAAGCTACCTGTGGTGGATGAATGGTCAGAGCCTCCCTATGACTCATAGGATGCAGCTGTCTGAAACCAACAGGACCCTCTTTCTATTTGGTGTCACAAAGTATACTGCAGGACCCTATGAATGTGAAATATGGAACTCAGGGAGTGCCAGCCGCAGTGACCCAGTCACCCTGAATCTCCTCCGTGAGTATCTTCTGTTCCTCTGTGAGCCAGGCTGCCATCCCAAATACACATGGCCAGAGGCCAGGCCTCTCAGTCCCTCTCAGGTCCAAGTACAGAGACCTTTACCACTGGACATCAAAGCTGGCCATGACTTTCTGCCCCAGACAAACCACAGTAGGCCTAGGCTTGATCCACAGTGGGAGAAAAGAGGCTGCTCCTGTCATGGGAGGCTCAGGGTCCACAGATTGTGATGGGAGAAACAGGTGAATGTCTCAGGCTCCAGATCAGTGAACACAGCGAGGATTTGGCTGGGACTTCAGTCTTGCGACTTGGCTCACAGGGTCACTGTGGCCCTTCCACAGACCAGGATTTTCCCTTCCCTCTGACAATGTCACCTGTGACTTTATTCTCTTTGCTCCAGATGGCCTGGATGCCCTCACCATTTCTTCCTCATACACCTATTACCATACAGGGGAAGTCCCCAAGCTCTCCTGTCTCATAGACACTCACCCACTGGCAGAGCATTCTTGGCTGATTGGTGGGAAGTTCCAGCAATCAGCACAAGTGTTCTTCATACCCCAAATCACTAAAACATATAGAGGGGTCTATGTCTGTTTCATCCATAACTCAGCCACTGGTGGAACAAATCTCATAATCAAGAGGATCATAGTCCCTGGTAAGTGGATCCCTGGAGCATTGGCACTATGTTTTCCAGGGAAGTCTATCTAGCTATCAGGGAAGAGCCACCTGCCCTCTGCAAAGGGAGAGGGAAAATCAAAAACCCAGGACAGGGAATATGTTTCTGCTCCAAAACCACCAGCATTTGCCTGTCCCCTTCACTCTTTCTAGATCATTCTTTAGACTATACACTAACAATGAACAATCTGAAAGGAAATTAAGGAAAGAATTTCAATTCACATTAACATGAAAAGGAATAAAATATTTTGGAATAAGTTTAACCAAAAAGGTCAAATGATTATACCTTGAAAACTACAAAACATTGCTGAAAGAAATTAAAGACAATATCATTATATGGAAAGACACTTCATTTTCATGGACTGGAAGAATCAATATTGTTAGAAAGACAATACTACCCAAAGTGAGTTGCAGATTCAATGCAACCCCTACTAGAATCCCAGTAACATTTTTTGCAGAATTAGAAAACTCTGTCCTAAATCTGACCTGACAGGCACTTATTAATGACTGCCACAACAGAAACACTGTGAAAAAGATGCAACCATGAAAAGGTGGAAAGTTTTGATGACATAGAAAATAGCAATCAGCCTTTCTCACATCCCAAAGCCTTCAAATATATATGAGTGCAGCATGGCCAGTATGGAATTCACCGAAAACTAATCACCAAGCTAGAAATGTGGTGAGAGAAAAAAAAGGGCAAGAATATATTTGGCTTATCACTTCCCACTTTTGTCTACTAATCTGATGCTGAAAAGAAATTCTCACTGAAGCATTTTAGATTTTGAATCTTTCAGATTTGGGATGCTAAACCAGTAAGTATATGACAAATATTTCAGAATCAAAAAATGTCAGAAATCCAAAACACTTTTTGTCCTAAGTCTTATGCATAAGAAATAATCTGTGTGAACAATACGCATCAAGCTCTACAGCAGATCTCTAGAAACTCCCCAACTTGTATAACGGAAACTGCACACCCATGAACAACTTCTGATTCTCCCCACTCCCAGCTCCTGGCAACCAGCAGTCTCTTCTCATATTCACTCTGGAATCCATTTACATGAGGTCCCTAGAGTAGTCGAACCCAGGGGATCAGAGAGTAGAATATCCAATGAAAGAAACTACTTGCAAAACTTTTCTCCAAATTTGTCTCATATCCATCAAACACATATGGTCCATGAGGACCAGATTTCCAGCAGTTCATTCCCACCCTTTCCACCAGTCAGTTCTGCATTTGCAAATGTCCACATGTATTTCTGGAAAGATCCACATGGTCCTCACCTGCCCTCTGCAGAAGGAAAGGAAACTTAAAGGACCCAGGACAGGGAACATGGTTCTGCTCCAAAGCCACCAGCTCTTGCCTATCCCCTTCACTCTTCCTAGATCATTCCTTGCGCTCTGCTCTATCTTTAGAGGTCACTGGTTCAAGTAAGTCATCATGAAACACCTGCAAAACACTGCCCCACTTTCTGCCTCCACTGCCTGATGACTGAACTGACCTCCAGGCTTGACTCTGGTCTCCCCTGTGTTATTTCTGCTGAAACATCCAGTCCCAGGCCAGGCTGCTCAGTATCTTCAGGGTTTCAGGACAATGGGAAGTCCCATTATTACTGATCTCTAGAATGTCCTTGGAAATGGAAGCTGCAGAGAAATCACATCTAGGGGGGCAAAGTAGGATGGAATTTGGAAGGGGCCCAGCAGTTGCACATTCCAGGTAAGGAACCCAAGGTGAGCCAGCCAGTCAACTGATTATGGAGGGACTGGGAGGGGTACCAGGGGCTGTGACTCCCACTGACGTATCTGTCCATGACCCAACACTGCTGCTCAATTGACACTTCAGAAAGTCTGTGCTTTCCTAAGATGAAGCAGGCGGCCTCACAGTCTTTGAGCCCTTAGATCATCATGCATCTGTCTTGTGACACACGCACCAGCTATTGGCTTTCAAGGACTCGGGTGGGCTGAGAGGTGGGAGATGCCAACTCTGATTGAAGGATGCCTGTGGAGGAATCAAAGGTGCCACACAGGACAATCTTCTCTCTGTTATCCACACAGCAAAGCTGCCCATGCCCTACATCACCATCAACAACTTAAACCCCAGGGAGAATAAGGATGTCTTAACCTTCACCTGTGAACCTAAGAGTGAGAACTATGCCTACATTTGGTGGCTAAATTGTCAGAGCCTCCCGGTCAGTCCCAGGGTAAAGCGACCCATTGAAAACAGGATCCTCATTCTACCCAGTGTCACGAGAAATGAAACAGGACCCTATCAATGTGAAATACGGGACCGATATGGTGGCATCCGCAGTGACTCAGTCACCCTGAATGTCCTCTGTATCTTTTGTTCCTCTGTGGGCCAGGACACCAGCTTAAATCCAAACGACCAGGGGCCAGGCCTCTCAGTCTCTCTCCGGTCCAAGTACAGACACCTTTACTTTTGGACATCCGAGGTGGCCATGACTCCCTGCCCTGGGAAAACTTGGGTAGACACAGCCTTAACCAAGAATATAAGGAGAGGGGATGCTCTTGTCATGGGAGACTTGGGGCCCACAGCTTGTGGTGGGAGAAACAGGTGAATACTTCAGGCTTCAGCTCAGTGAACATAGAGGGGGTTTGGCTGGGACTTGAGGGTGTGTCTTGGCTCAGAGGGTCACTGTGTCCCTTTAAGAGACAAGGAGCTTCCCCTTCCCTCAGATGACATCAACTGTGGCTTTATTCTCTTTCCTCCAGATGGTCCAGACCTCCCCAGAATTTTCCCTTCAGTCACCTCTTACTATTCAGGAGAGAACCTCGACTTGTCCTGCTTCGCAAACTCTAACCCACCAGCACAGTATTCTTGGACAATTAATGGGAAGTTTCAGCTATCAGGACAAAAGCTCTTTATCCCTCAGATTACTCCAAAGCATAATGGGCTCTATGCTTGCTCTGCTCGTAACTCAGCCACTGGCGAGGAAAGCTCCACATCCTTGACAATCAGAGTCATTGGTAAGTGGATCCCAGCATCCTTGGCAATAGGGTTTTAGGTGGAGTCTATCTAGCTTTCAGAGAAGAGTCAGGAAAACATTTTTATTCCCAGCCTGTGTCCCATGGGCACAGGCAAATCCCAAATTCTCCTCCTGAACCCTCCCAATTTGTCTCTACAGACTCTCTTCTCCTTTTTTTTCTGTTTTCTCATGACTGACCTTGTGTCTGGCCTGAGAAAGGTAGGGAGGGGGCTTTATCAGCCCTGAGCCCTATGTGGTAGAAGAGGCTTCACAGAGGGACAAGAAGGAGAGTGCTGAACATCGAGTTGCTTCTCACTGTCACCAACTCATCCCCTTCTGTCACGTCTTTGTTTTCTTGTACCTCTTCCATGAACTACAAGGAACATCTGAGGCTTTGAAACAAGCTCACACTTTTCCCCCAAATGAGAGGAGGAAGCCCCTTGGGTGAGGGAGGAGCAGCTCAGACTCTGCTTCCTGCTCTGCTCCGGGCTCCTCTGGTGACTGGCCCTGCCTCACTCAACCTGGGGTGGGACCAGCATGTGTGGAGAAAGAGTCCTGGTGGCCTGTCCTGAATTTGGCTAAATTGAGCTGCCAGTTCAAGCCAAGCCTCCCCCGGGCCAGGCTGCAAGGAAATAAGAAGAGAAGCAACCTCAGGGCAGACTCCTGAGCTGCGTCCTGGCTCTGAAGTCACTGGCTGTATGAGGCTGTGGGCACAGCACGTGGGACACAGCACTGAGTACAGTGACTGATGCAGAGCTGGAGAAATAGGAAGATTCACCCCTGGGGCTCTGCATGGCAGGAAAGGGGCAGTGCCAAAAAGTGTGTAATTATAGAGAGGGTAAGACTACCAGACACTATATATATCTAATATAAGGCTTACCATTAACTGTTTCTAAGTGTGCAATTTAGTGTTATGTAACCATCACACTATCCATTTCCAGAACTTTTTCCTCTTACCATATTAAACCTCTGTACCCAATAAACAGTAACTCTCACTCCTTCTCCCCCTAACACTTAGCACCCACCATTCTACTTTCTGTCTCTATGTAACTGGCTACTCTATCTTTTATAAATGGAATTATATAATAATTACCTTTTGTGTCTGGCTTATTTCAGTTAGCATAATATCTTCAAGGTTCATCCATTTTGCACGATATATTGGAATTTTATTCCTTGTTAAGTTTGAATAACATTTCAATGTATAGATACACCTCCTTTGCCTACACACTTATCTTTCAATGGACTTTTCAGTTGTTTCCATTTTTTGGCTAGTGTGAGTAATGCTTCTCTAAACATCAGTGTACAAATATTTGTTCAAATTTCTTTCAATTCTATGGGGAGTATGTCCAGAAGTGGAATTGCTGGATCAAATGGTAATTCATTGTTTAATTTTTTGAGAAACAGCACACCAATTTTTACAGTGGCTGTAACATTTCCCATTCCCATCAGCAATGCACTAGAGCTCCAATTTTTCCATCTACTTGAAAACACCTGTTGTTTTGTGTTGCTGTCATTGTTATTGTTTATCAAAACCATCCTAAATTTTGTGAGGTGGTGTAACATTGTGGTTTTGATTTGTATATCTCTAAGTATTCATGATGCTGAGGAACTTTGCATGGGCTTATTGGATATTTGTGTTCCTTCCTTGGATAAAACTCCATTTTAATCCTTTGTTCATTTTTTAATTGGGTTTTTGGATGTCTGCTGTTGTTGACTTGTAGCTTTTCATGTATTCTGGAAATTAATTTCTTATCACACATATAATTTGCAAATATTTTTATCATTTCATGGGTTGCCTTTTTACTTTCTTGATAATGTTCTTTGATATATAAAAGGTTTTGATTTTTGTGAAGTCCGATTTATTGATTTTATTTGTTGCCTATGCTTTTGTTGTTACAACCAAGGAATTATTGTGAAATCCAGTATCATGAAGCTTTTCTTCTAAGAGTTGTATAGTTTTTGCTCTCACATTTAGATCTATGATTTATTGTGGGTTAATTTTTGTACATGGTGTTAGGTAAAGGTTCCACTCTTCTTGCCCTTGGATATCCAGCTTTCCCAATACCATTTGGTGAGAACACTGTCCCTTCCCCATTGAATGATCTTGGCACACTCGATGAAAATCATTTGGCCATATATGCAAGCATTTCTTTCTGGGCTATGATATTTCATTAATTTCTATGTCCTCCTTTATGCCAGTACCACACTGTATTGATTACTGGGGCTTTGTAGTAAATGCTGAAATCAGGAAGTCTGAGTCCTCCAGCTTCATTCTTCCTCTTCAAAGCTGTGTGTCTATTTAGAGTCATGAGATTCAATATAAATTTTAGGACAGATTTTTCTTTTTCTGCAAAAATGTCACTGAGATTCTGAAGGAATTGCATTGAATCCACAGCTCACTTTGGGTAGCACTGTCCTCCTAACAATATTGAGTCTTCCAATTCATGAAAACAAAATGTCTTTCCATTTATTGATATTGTCTTTCATTTCTTTCAGCAATATTTTGCAGATTTCAGGTATAATCATTTCACCTCTTTGGTTATTCTTAAATATTTTATTCTTTTTGAGGTTAATATAAATTGAAATTATTTTTCTTAACTTCCCTTCAGATTGTTCATGGTTAGTGTATTGAAATACAACTGATGTTTGAATGTTGATTTTGTATTGTGCAACATTACTGAATTTATTTATTAATTCTAATAAGTTTGTTCCACCTTTAGGATTTTCTACATATAAGTTCAAGTTATCTGTAAACAGAAATAATTTTACTCCTTCCTTCCAATTTGAATGTCTTTTTTAAAATTCTTGCCTAATTTTTTTGACTAGACCTTTCAATACTATGTTGAATAAAAGTGTCAAAAGCAGGCATCCTTGTCTTGTTCCTGCTCATAGAGGGGAAGCTTTCAGTCTTTCTCCATTGAGTATGATGTTAGCATTGGGTTTTTCACATATTGCCTTTATGTTGAGGTGGTTTCCTTCCATTCTTAGAATGTTTTTCTTATGAAAAAATATTGAATTTCATCAAATGCTTTTATGGATTGAATCTTGTTACTGATTATAGTTTTATTCATATTTTTGTGTGTTTCTAGGAGTTTGTCTATTTCATCTAGGTTATCCAATTTATTGGCATACAATTATTTATAGTACTTTCATAATCATTATTTTATTATAATTGGTAGTAATCGCTTCATTTTTCTTTCTTTTTTTTTTTTTAAGAGAGAGAGACAGACTCTCACTCTGTAGGCCAGCCCAGGATGGAATACAGTGGTGTGATTATGGCTCACTGCAGCCTCAACCTCCTGGGCTCAAGCAATTCTCCTTCTTCAGCCTCCCAAGATGCTAGGACTACAGGTGCATGTCACCATGCGCAGCTAGTTGGCTTTTTAATTTTTTTGTAGAGACAGTATCTCCCCAGGTTACCTATGCTGGTCAAAACACCTGGTCTCAAGAAATCCTTCTGCTGTGACCTCCCAAAGTGCTAGGATTAAAACATGACCCACCATGCTCAGAGTCCATTTTCATTTCTGATTTGAGTAATTTTAAACTTTTCTCTTTTTTTCTTAGTCAATCTAGTTAATGGTTGTCAATTTTGTTGATTTTATTTTGAAGAATCAACTTTTGGTTTCATTAATTTCTCTATTCTTTTTCCATTCTCCATTTTATTTATATCAACTCTAATCCTTATTATTTCCCTCATTCACTGTGCTTGGGTTTAGTTTGTTCTTCTTTCATATCCTGAAGTGTTAAAGTAGGTTGTTGACCTGAGATCTTTCTTCTTTTTTAATGTAAGAGTTTACAGTTATAAATTTCTTGCACAAGACTCAACTTCTCTGAACCTCTGATTCCTCACCTGAAAATTGCAATGAGAGTGTTTTCTTCGTACCATTCTTTTAAAGGTTTCATGCAGTCAATGAAACAAGATGCCACATACAGAGGAACCAATGTCAGCTACTATATTACTATCATCATCATTAACCTTGAGGTCAAATAGTCCTAGAATCAAATCTCAGATCCACCTGTCACTAGCCATATGACACCAGGAAAGTTTTTACAGCACGCTAAGCTTCTGTCTTTTCATTGGCAAAATGGAAATAATGTCTACCTCACAGGGTTATTGTGTGGATTAAATGAGATACAGGTAAAGTATTTAGCACAGGGCCTGGCACATAGGAAGTGCCCCTCAACAGTACCTTCCTTTTTCCATATATATATATATATATATATATGGAAAAAGAGGTAACACATAAAACACTAGAACAAGGCTACTGACTACTTGTGGGAGAGAAAGATAAAGAGCTAACTGCAAAGAATCAAGCCTGGTATGTTAGTTTTTACCAACTGAGATGCATCCAAGACGGGATTAGACCTAAACGATAATTTATCACGGAAGACACCTGTGAGGGAATGTGGGGCAGGCATGAAGGTAGTACAGGAGAACCCACAGACCACTATGCAGAGCTGATTCCTGTGAAAAAGAAAGAGAAAGAAGTTTTAGGTACCAATGCAATTCTAAGAGTTTTTGCAAGGCTGATGAGGAATCCTCCAACCAGTCACCCATTAGCGTTAAAGAGAGCCTCAGAGAACTAGGCTTGCTTTCACACCCTTCCTGGGAGCCTGTAGGAAAGAAGCTTTCTGTGCAAAGGAGGTGGTGAATTTGAAATGCACTGACCTGGGCCTTCTGTCAATCAGGTCCCTGCCATGGAGATCTGACAGAGTCTCATTCATGACTGCCACAACAGAGACACTGAGAAAAAGATGCAACCATGAAAAGGTGCAAAGGTGACAAGTTCCAATGACATAGAAAATAGCAATCAGCCTTTCTCACGTCTGAAAGCCTTCCAAAATACCTGAGTGCAGTAGAGAATTGACAGAGGACTGATCACCAACTGAGAAACATGGTGAGAGGGAAAAAAAACTGCAAGAATATAATCATCTCCCATCAATTTTCCAACAGAAATAATGTAGTCCTTGAAGAAACAATTATACAGTATCTCATGTTACATGCTTGTTCCTGACGCTCCCCCATGTAAAATAACATCACCTTCATTCCTTCTTTTCTTTTCTTTCCATGACAGCTCCTCCAGGATTAGGAACTTTTGCTTTCAATAATCCAACGTAGCAGCCGTGATGTCATTTTTGTATTTCAGGAAGACTGGCAGGTATGATGACCTTTTCTCTTATCCTGGTTCCTGCAGGGCTGACTGCCATGCTTGGGAGAGGGAAATGACTTATTTGCCTGTATCTGGGCCTGGATCTCCTCCTTCATCCACTAACTCCTGCTTCTCAGCACTAATTCCTGCAGTTCCCTTTCTCCCTGGCCTTTATGCTCCCTGTACCCCACTGTCTTTTAGACATAATTATCTCCAGCCTCTGCTCATTTGTTTCTCAGATTCAAATGAGAAACACAATTTCACATGGTGAAACCTTCTTCATTATTTTTAACATATCTCAATAGTGTAATTCTCTCCATTCCCATAAAGCTCAACCACTTCTCAAAGTATTGCTTGACTTCTTGTCTCCAGACTTTGAAATGTTCCTTGCATATAACTGCCTCATTACCTTTCTAAAATCTAGTTAATTCACTTAATCAAGAATCTCCAGGGGTATACACTAGCCTATTTGATAAGTTCACATTTCTTCTATTTACTAAGCCTTCTCACTTCCTTTACCTCTACTTCCTAGTATAATTCCTCCATCCTAATTAGAACTGTCTTCCTACACATCCCTGCCCCTTCACCCATATAGACATAAAATTCTTAGTTCCAATGCTATGTCTAAAAACAGAGTGAAATCCCTTCCACCATCTGCACTGCAGACTTAACCACACCCTTCATCACAAGCAACATCTGACCTCGTGGAGAACAAAGACTTTAGGATTAACATGTGAACCTGAGACTCAGGACACAACCTATGTGTGGTTGAGATCTTTTCCTGATGATCAGTTCATGTGTTCAAAAAACATACAGAAATGAAGAAGGCAAGGGCCCCACCCCAGGAGACACAAAGCCTAAGACAGGAAATGAGACCTGAAAATAATCATGATACCAAAATAGAAAAAATTGAATGCCACAAGAAATCAGAGAAATCTGATGGGAAATAGAGCTACACATTGGAATCACTGGAAAACATTTTTAAAAGAGGATGCTCAAGCCCCACCCATTAGTTCCAGTTTAAAGGTCTGGAGACGGACCCAGGCATTGGTAATTTTTAAGTCTTCCCTGACACTACTAACATGTAACAAGGATGGAGAACTCTTGTTGCAATAGGTAGAACTTAAAACTAAATGAATGATTTTCAGCTAGAAGTACTGGAATTACCTAAGGATCTTTTTCAACATACATAAGACTATACCTTTTTGGCCCTATTTATGAATGGGCTACACCAAGAACTCAGTAATCCTCTTGAGAAACAGAAGCTGAATGGAAAAGCCACCTTATTTTATATATTACATTATATAGAAAGCATTTTCAAATAAGGGATAAGTGATGCTAAACCTTCTCTAAATAATATTTATGGGAATGTTAATAATATGAGTATTCTAGGCTGGGTGCGATGGCTCATGCCTGTAATCCCAGCACTTTGGGAGACTGAGGTGGGTGGATCATAAGGTCAGGAGATCCAGACCTTCCTGGCTAACACAGTGAAACCCCATCTCTACCAAAAACGCAAAAACAAAATTAGCTGGGTGTGGTGGCAGGCACCTGTAGTCCCAGCTACTCAGGAGGCTGAGGCAGAAGAATGGCATGAACCCGGGAGGCAGAGCTTGCAGTGAACTGAGATTGCACCACTGCACTCCAGTCTGGATGACAGAGTGAGACTCCATCTCAAAAAAAATTTAAAAAAATGAGTGTTCTAAAAATTATATGAAATTTCTGGAAATCAAATATGTTACCATAGTGTCATAAGCCACAGAAGTAACTAGATTTCTATGTGAGCTGTGTCTTTACCATAATAAATTCTCATTAGATTTTTAAACATAGTCATTTTAAATCTTTGTCATTCCCAGAAAGTTGCTTTGATTCTTCCTCAAAGTATTTAAAATCAGCTACAGTCCAAAATTGCTTTTTCTTCAAGGAGATTTATGGAAAAGACTATGAAAAGGACTCTTGAATACAAGTTCCTGATAACTTCAAGATCATACCACTGGACTAAGAACTTTCAAAATTTTGATGAACAGGCTGATACCTTCATGAAATTCAAGACAAAGAAGAAAAGAACTCCATTTCATTGGACTAAATAACAAAAGGATAATGTTTTCATAATTTTTTATTGGAAAATGTGCTGATTTTTTGAATGTTTTATCCTCCAGATTTATGAATTTTTTTCTTCAGCAATTGGTAAAGTATACTTTTGTAAACAAAAATTGAAACATTTGCTTTTGCTCTCTGAGTGCCCCAGAATTGGGAATCTATTCATGAATATTCATATGTTTATGGTAATAAAGTTATTTGCACAAGTTTAGTAAGAATCTGCTCTCTTTATAACAGGACACATTTGAAAACATTGGTTATATTACCAAGGCTTTGACTGGGATGTTATATTTGAGAATATACATAGAATAAACCCATAGGGAATGCAGGCAAAGTCTGAAGCGGGCCTTGGGTTGGCTTCCTAGTCTCAAGAGGTTTTTGGAAGTTTAATCTGAGATTCTTATTAAAAACTTCTAGCAAAGAGAAGTTTAAAAAGAGCCTCTATGGTCCCTTGCTACTCTTGCCGCACTTAGCTAAAAAATCTGGGCAAGTTCGGTGAGACTCAACCTATTTTGCAAACAAATTCATCCTACTGGAATTATCTTTGGTAAAAATAGAGACTCCTATAGACAGAAAAACTATGTTGAAAAGAAAAACTGTAGTACACCTGTTACCAGATTGAACCACTGTTCATTATCATTGAGTATTTATAATCCACTGGTAGACTGGACTGGACCCTGAATTCTTTTAGTTCTTCCAATTCAATTTTCTCCAATGAAATCATTAAGAACAAGAGTGGCTCTGTTCCTGAAGCCATATAAGTTGGAGGTGGACAACTCAATGTAAATTTCATGGGAAAACCCTCATGTCTGAGGTGTGGGCCACTAAGAGCTCACCAAATGTCCAACACCATAACTTAGAGACACTCAAACTGCAAACCACGACAACAAGTTGATGACTTTACACTGTGGACAGCTTTTCTCAAGATGTCAGAACAAGACTATCAATCATGATGAGACTCTTACCTCTCTGAATTTCTCCTTGCTTATGCCTGTCTCCTTTGCTTC
The DNA here is from genome assembly GCF_000001405.40 of Homo sapiens. Classification (NCBI taxonomy): domain Eukaryota; kingdom Metazoa; phylum Chordata; class Mammalia; order Primates; family Hominidae; genus Homo; species Homo sapiens. The sequence continues at coordinate 43,006,859 of NC_000019.10, read as the reverse complement.
CCAGAATAATGCTGTACTTAGGATTTCACAAGAAGTAGCTTCTGAGAGTAAGTTAACAGTGTCAGATATATCATGTCAACCACACTTTTTTTTTTTTTATAAGATGGAGTTTCACTCTTGTTGCCCATGCTGGACTGCAATGGCACAATCTTGGCTCACAGCAACCTCCGCCTCCTGGGTTCAAGTGATTCTCCTGCTTCAGCCTCCCCAGTAGCTGGGATTACAGGCATGTGCCACCAAGCCCAGCTAATTTTGTATTTTCAGTAGAGACAGGGTTTCTCCATGTTGGTCAGGCTGGTCTTGAACTCCCAACCTCAGGTGATCCGCATGCCTCAGCCTCCCAAAGTGCTGGGATTACAGGCGTGAGCCACCACACCCAGCCCACACATTTTTACATACCAAGAGATCCTTTAATCCACCCAAAGGCTGACATTAGCTGCATCTGTAACACAACTTTTTCCTCAAATGTATGGAGATTTTTTTAGGCTTCCACTTCTATACTTGCCTATTCTCACTCCCTGTTTTAATTTAACATAGACATGCAATGCTAGATAATAGAATTGCTCTCTATCAGCTGAACGGGGGGAGCCTGTGCAGTTTCTGACACTTCTTATTGCATATGGATAAATACATTGGGTATTACACAGTCAGTTGTAAAAATCATTAAATGTGCTGCCTGGTTAAAATGACTAGACCCTTCTGGCTTCTTCTTTGATCTATCCTATTGTAGTTGGTTTGCATCTTGCCTAAGGTGTATATACCAAACTCGATATTTTCCTCCTGATAGTCATACTGGTAGTCTCCCTCGTGTGGCGCAATCCACAGATGTTTTTATTTGTGTGCAGCCATTCTTCAAACATCAAATGGTTTCTCTTGTGCTGGAATTACAAAAACTCAAAGAAATGTGTGATTTATGGGCGAGGCACAGTGGCTCACATCTGTAATCCCAGCACTTTGGGAAGCCAAGGCAGGTGGATCACAAGGTCAGGAGCTCAAGATCAGCCTGGTCAATATGGTGAATCCCTGTCTCTAGTTAAAATACAAAAATTACCTGGGCATGGTGGTGCACACCTGTAGTCCTGTAGGGAGACCCACCGAAACTATTGCTATAGAATAAATGATGAAATGCTCCTGATTATGATAAATACAAAATTGCATGCAGGATTGTGTAAAGACAATGCCAGGTTGGGCTGCCAGAATGAGCCTACAGCGCGTGATGTGCTTCTGTTATATGGATGGGAGATAGAATTATGAGATTAGAACATAGATTACAAATGCAACGTGATTGGAATACTTCTGATTTTTGTATAACTCCATTCCAATATAATGAGTCTGTTCACAATTGGGAATCGTAAAATGCCATTTACAAGGAAGTGAAGATAATTTAAGTTTAGACATAAGGAAGCTAAAAGAACAGATTTTTGAAGCTTCTCAAGCACTCTTAACTGTTTTACCCAGTGCTGAAGTTTTAGACAGTTTGTGCTATTGGTTTATTGTTCATGTGTAAAATTGGAAAAAATATTCTTCAATCCAATCGTGATCAGTGCCAAGCTATGATTGCTATGGTTCATTGAAATCAGAGAAAAGGGGGAGATGTAGGGAGACCCCCTGAAACTATTGCTACGGAATAAAAGATGAAATGCTCCTCATTATTGTAAATATGAAACTGCATGCAGGATTGTGTAAAGACAAATGCCAGGTTGGGCTGCCAGAATGAGCTAACAGCACATGATGTGCTTACCCCTGCAGAGAGCCTATGAACGGACATGCAGTCAGGGAGGTTTCACATTACCAAGATTCCTATCCCAGAAAAGCAGATGTCCATAGCTCTGGGAATGGAATGTGACCCTTGTGGAGAGCCTATAAATAACCCTAAATCCCTCAGTAACCTATCCCCACTCTCACTAAACTTAATAATAAATGCTGGTATATCCAGTGCATTGGCAGCATTGCAGGACCAGAAGGCGGTGACCCCTCTCGATATGGCTTTCACTATCTTGTGTGTGCCTTTTATTTCTCAACCTGCCGATCTGCCTGGGAACAAAGAAAGAGCCCCATTGCATTGCAGGCTTCTGGTCAGATCCTGCAATATAGTCCCAGCTACTTGGGATGCTGAGGCATCTGTAGAGGGAGAGCTGCCCCAAATCATAAATCACAAATAAAAGCCAATTACATCTATAACTAAATTAGTTGTAATTTTGTCTTATCACACATGTTCACAGCAAGCAACGGCCAGTGGAGTCTCTCAGGCCTCATCATTCTCACCCGGCCCCTCCTGCCTTTCCCTTTCACTTACAAGGACTCTTATGATGACACTGGGAGCCACATAGATAAGCCAGAATAAGCTTTCCATCTCAAGATACTCAACTTCATCACCTTTGTACAGTGTTTTTGCCAAGAAAAGTAAATGCATGTGTTCCAAGAGTTAGAATGTGGATTTTTTTTTTTTTGAGACAGAGTTTCCCTCATGTTGCCCCAGCTGGAGTGCAGTGGCACAATCTGGGCTCACTGCAATCTCCCCCTTGCAGGTTCAAATGACTTTCCTGCCTCAGCCTCCCAAGTAGCTGGCATTAGAGGCATGTGCCACCACGCCCAGCCAATTTTTGCATTTTTAGTAGAAATGGGGTTTCACCATGTTGGCCAGGCTGGTTTCGAACCCCTGACCTCATGATCCACCCGTATCAGCCTTCCAAAGGCTGGGATTACAGGTGAGAGCCCCTGCACCCGGCCCGGATGTGGACATTTTTAAGAGGCCATTATTCTGCCTCATATGGGTCACTTTCATAAACATCACCCACAACAAAAATGTTTTGCCTTCCTTCCATGTCTCACTTTTCTGTCTGCACAAACCACAGTGAAACACACTAGCTCTGCTATGAAGTGGCTGGATGACCCTGGGCCACTCATTTGACCTCCCTCAGCCTCTTTCCTCACCTGTAGTGTAAGACTGACTCTTACCGCATCAGAAAATGACAGTGGAAGAGTAAATTAACATGTGTAAGACATTAGTCACAGAGCCTGGTACCTGATGAGCCCTTGGTAAACATTCCTTTCAGTCCTTTCCTTTCACCTTCCCATTTTTCTTGCCCTCACCCATCTTCTCCTTCAACTTCTTTCTCTTCAGTAACTTACTCAGTCTAACCTGCCAATTAAAGAAGCCACACTACCCATTCTCTCATGACTCTGCTGGAATGTTCTTGTGATGAGGTCTGCTATCCACTCAAGGCAGGAGGTATTATTTATGTAGAGAGGTCTGTTTGCAACAAGAAATCAATTTTCTGTTCACACAAAATTTATACACAATTTCTCTTAACTTACACATACCAGTCTCAATTCTACCCTGTTATTTCATTCATGTACTTCATTATTTTGTTCTTCAGTCTTTCTCCTTACATCTTAAAATTAGGATAGTAAAAAAACAAAAATAATGGTCTGGGCCAGAAGAGGGGATTCCTTTAGCAAGATGAATGCTTTCCTTTTTCAAGATGAATGAATGCTATGTGCAAGGCAGCCCTGAAGCCCATTTCTGGGTTTGGCTTACATCAAAGCCATTTGACTCTAGGACACATTCTTAGATTCCCAGGAGATAATGATTGCCACGGAAGACACACCCACTCTGAGTATTCCTACTGTTGGGTAAAGGAATGTTTACAGTATGTTGTGCATTCTGTTTACTCCTCCTAAATTCTTCCACTCCTGGAAGTTAAGCTTCCCCACTAATCAGCTTCGTCTCCAGCTGGCCTGCCTGGACCCTGACTGGAAAACATCTCCCCACTCTGGATGTCCAGGGTGGCACCTTTTTCTATTCCCATAATTATAATAGCTCACACTGATGCAGGAATCACTATGTACCAGGCACTATCCTAAGAGCTTTCCAGGTAACTACACTCCTCACCAAAAGATCCCAAGTGCCACAATCCCCATTTTTACAGATTAAAAAAAACAAAAACTGAGGCAGAGAAGTATGTACCCACTGTCACCTAACCCCACAATTCAACCTCATCCTCCACTTCATCTGGTAAGAGGACACTCTAAGATGTACAAGGTCTCCTGAATGACATCCTCCTTCAAACATGATTTTTGTCCCATTCACTTTCAGGATTTGACAAACAGCCAGCATTTTGTTTTCTGTCTCACCCTTCACTTATGCACCTGTTCTGTAAAACTACAATCATAACTGCACAGCCCTCCATAAAAGCTAGCTTTTAGAAACCTCAATCTCTTTTAGAAAAAAGAAAGGCCAGCTTCCAAGTCTCACAAAATGTCATTTTTTATTCTATTGTCAACTATTTGCATGGCCATTCTCTGGCCATAAATGAGTGCACTAGAAACAGAAAGAGTAATGAGAAGAAAGTAGGAGGAGGGTGAGTTTCTAGATAGACACAGAGGGAGAAGATTATGAATCCAGAAAAATTCATAAAATGCACCCAGAGTGTGTGGCTTTGAGCAATGACAGCCCCACCTGCCACTTTCCATGGCAGTTGGCCTCTTACTTCCTTCTCAACCTGCCCCTCCTGGTCTTGCTTTCTTAGACCAATACAAACAACCTGGGAGCTGGGGTCAGATCAGAGCACACAGCACTGAGTGGTAGGGTTGGGAAAGACAGAAAAGGAAGACGAGTGTTGGACTCATGAAGATCTGACTCACCTAGGTACACATCACCTAGGCAGGCAATAGATTACTGAAGGGCTTTGCAGGACTCATGGTGGTTATCCAGAATGACTGACTGAGGCAAGGGTCTTGACCAATTGAGTTTTATTGAGCCAGAGCTTGACAGTGCACCCTGGGAATACATGAGTTGCAAAAAACCTCTGTGGCTTGTGTTTTCTCTGAAGACGTTTCAGGAGGCTTAGTATTTATACATTTGATTAAAGGGGACAAGGCAAGTTGGAAGAGATGGAGTGGGCAGAGAAACAATTGATCTAATCTTGTCTTTCTTCTTTGCCTCAGAAAATAAATATTATCAGAATGAGAGTTAAAATACTTCAGTTTTAGGACCTAGATTTTGATTGCTCACTTAAAGTTACGATTCGTATGTCCTTCTTTTACAAAGAAATATGCATCTTGAAAGGTTTTGAAGCCAAGAAAAAACAATTTGTTCAGGCAAACATCTGGAGATGCCCAAGATCTTTGGCTTTCCTGTTTACCCTATTCTTTTCCTTTCCTTTTTTTTTTTTCTTTTAGAGAAAAAACCTTGCTCTGTCACCCAGACTGGAGTGTACTCACTACAGTCTTGAACTCCTGGGCTGAAGCGGTCCTCCAGCCTTAGCCTCCCAAGTATCTGAGACTAGAGGCAGGCACCGCTGCACCTGGCTAATTTGATTTATTTTATGTTTTGTAGAGACATGGTCTCCCTTTGTTGCTCAGGCTGGTCTTAAACTCCTGGTTTCAAGTGATCCTCCTGCCTTGGACTCTCAAAGTGCTGGGATTACAGGCCTCTGCCAGCACACCTGGCCCCTCAATTCCTCAAAAGCTTTCAGAGAAATCATTGTAGAAGACATGACTTTGTGACTGTATGTTCCATCTGATCCTACATCACTAGGAAGGCTCATTCTTAAGAAGTCATGCCCCGTGGAAAAGGGGATGAAGACAATTCAGAAAAGGGCAAAGGGAAGTCACAGCAAAAAAGGGACAGTATAATCCTGGAACCTTATTAAAGTCACACAACTGCTGCTTCAATTAGAGGAATTCATTTGGCAAACATCGCTCTAACTGTATAGACTAGGTTTTCTAGAGTTTCTGAAGTGTCTTCCAATTGCAATGGCAATCTGACACATTTTTCTGAATTGCAGTCTGAATACAGTGTTCATGTGTACCTTTTGTGTAGTCCACACATCAGCAGGCACAAAGGTTGTTTATATATAAGTTGCTATGATTTCTCCAGAAGTTTACATAAGTCGTCAAGTTTCAGCTTGCAAGGTTTAATCTATCCATCTGACAAAAGGCTAATATCCAGAATCTACAAGAAACTTAAACAAATTTACAAGAAAAAAAAAACAAACAAGCCCATCAAAAAGTGGGCAAAGCACATGAACAGACACTTCTCAAAATAAGAAATTTATGTGACCAACAAACATACGAAAAAAAGCTCATCATCACTGGTCATTAGAGAAATGCAAATCAAAACCACAATGAGATACCATCTCATGCCAGTTAGAATGGTGACCATTAAAAGGTCAGGAAACAACAGATGCCAGAGAGGATGTGGAGAAATAGGAACGCTTTTACACTGTTGGTGGGAATGTAAATTAGTTTAACCATTGTGAAAGACAGTGTGGCGATTCCTCAAGGATCCAGAACAAGAAATATCATTTGACCCAGTAATCCCATTACTGGGTATATACCCAAAGGATTATAGAACATTCTACCATAAAGACACATGCACACATATGTTTATTGCAGCACTATTCACAATAGCAAAGACTTGGAACCAACACAAATGCCTATTAATGATAGACTGGATAAAGAAAATGTGGTACATATACACCATGGAATTCAATGCAGCCATAAAAAAGGATGAGTTCATATCCTTTGCAGGGACATGGATGAAGCTGGAAACACCATTCTCAGCAAACTAACACAGGAACAGAAAACCAAACACTGCATGTTCTCACTCATAAGTGGGAGTTGAACAATGAGAACACATGGACACAGGGAGGGGAACATCACACACTGGGGCCTGTTGAGGGGTGGGGGACTAGGGAAGAGATAGCATTAGGAGAAATACCTAAGGTAGATGATGGGTTAATGGGTTCAGCAAAACACCATGGCACATGTACACCTATGTAACAAACCTGCACATTCTGCACATGTATCCCAGAACTTAAAAGTGTAATAAAAAAGATAAAAATTTAAAAATCACAGTTTTAATTTATAATATACCAAAATGGAAGAAAAATGGAAGAAAATTCTGAAACCATTAGTTTTGAAATTTGAGCCAGGAAAAAATTTAGGATTCAGTCCAAATTGTAGGTAAATAACAAAATTTAAAAAAAAATGAACAGATCTAAAATTCAATAACCATTGTTCTGTTGTTTTCTTCTGAAAAATAATTTTCCCCCTCCTGTCTCCCATTTTTATGAAATAGAAATCATATGGGACCAATGTATTTCCAAAATAAGTTTTAGTCTTATACCTGGATTGTTTACATAAAGTGCAGCAAGAATGTAGATTCAAGGCCTCTATGAATACATAAATTTTATATATATATATATATATAAATATAAGAATATATATATTCTATCATGTAGAATGGCACTAAACTATATTAATGGCAGCAAATCTGTACAAGCCTGCTGCAGCCTCAATTCTTGCTTCTTCAGAAGAAAGAATTCAACTAAGTGTCATAAAGCAGAAGAAGAGACAGGCAAATTTTAGAGCAAGAGTGAAAGTTTATTTAAAAGCTTTAGAGCAGAAATTAAAGAAAGTAAAGTACACTTAAAACAGGGCCAAACAGGCGATGAGATTTCAAGTGTGTGGTTTGACCTTTGACTTAGGCTTTTGTATGTTGGCATAATTCTGGGGTCTGCATCTCTTCTCCCCTGATTCTTCCCTTAAAGTGGGCTGTCTGCATGTGCAGTGGCCCACCAGCACTTAAGAAGGGAGCCTGTGTAGTGTGTTTCCTGGAGTACAGTTGGAAAACAGAGACCAAAATAAAAGCTATATATGTAAATAAAATTGGTCTCCTTATAAAATCCTGTTATAAATTTCTATCATTTTTGTGTTACCTTGGCAACTACTTTTAATCTTCCTTGAACACACCCAAATTCCTTCTCTCTCTCTCTCTATCTCTCTCTGTGTGTGTGTGTGTGTGTGTGTGTGTGTGTGTGCTTTGAGATGTAAATTTACTACCTACTTTCTCTAAAACTCAGCAAGGGCTTCCTCAATTAAATGTTAACTTTTGCTTTTTGCAAAAGCACAATTTAAATCCAGCTGTTTTTTTTAACAGTGAGTTTTATGGGTTCATGCAAAAAGTTTTAAAAGAAAAAATCTGAAGTATTTCTGTCTCCCTCTATCTTTATGTGCACATGTATATGTTCTATGGTGTATCGCATATCACATATGTATATGTCCATACTTTTTTATACGTGGTATCAAATAAATGTAAAAATAAATGAGTACTCATCAATTAAGTAAATAATCCCAAATGCTTTTCAATACATGTGATTTTAGTAATCTTCAATAAGGGAAGAATGCTCACCTCCAATGAGCATGCATACCCATCTGCAGCCTCCTTAAAAAAAAATTATCAGGCCGGGTGCAGTGGCTCACGCCTGTAGTCCCAGCACTTTAGGAGGCCAAGGCGGGTGGATCACAAGGTCAGGAGATCGAGACCATGCTGGCTAACAAGGTGAAACCCCGTCTCTACTAAAAATACAAAAAAAAATTAGCCGGGCCTGGTAGCAGGCGC